>NC_000011.10:48847878-49150909 GCF_000001405.40 Homo sapiens | reverse complement strand
TAGTAAAACTAAATTATGAAAAGCAAGAAGTAAATTAATGAACAAGATGATTCATGCTTTCTTATTGTAATGATTTTTCTCAGTTAATTAAATTGTGAAATAATTGGTATATTAAATTCAGTAACTCATTGTTGAAGTATTCAGAGCTTGCTGATAAACTTTCAATTATATTGAATCATTCTTATTATAATAACAACCCCAACACTCCTTTTAGAATGTAAGTTCTGTAAAAGCAGGGAGTGTTTGATAAATAGCAGGTATCCAAATATTGTTGAAAGACTTAAGTAATCACCATCTGTTGTGTTCATAATAGGTTTAGCTTTAAAAATAAAAGGAATATTATTAGTTATCACTTGGTAAATATTTATAATTTGCCAGGCATCTTACTAAACATTAGCAAGTCATCTTATTTTAATATTGATATTACTTCAGTGAGTAGATTGCTAGGATACCTAAGGTGAAGAAAATCTTGCCTATATTTGTATATCTGGGTTGATCAGTTAATTATGCCAATGTAAATAAAAATCACTATTATTTTTTCCATTTGCACATACAACTGTTTCTGTGCTTTTATAAGCCTGAGCAGTATAGTATTTTATAAGATTTTAAAGATGTCATAGCTATGTATGTTATTGTTCTTAATTTGCATATTACAGAATGTTAAAATTTACAATTGACATTTGAACAACAGTGATTTGAACTGCACAGGTCCACTTATTTACGAATTTTTTTCAATTAATACAGTGAGCCCTCTCTATCCATAGATTTCACATTAGCAAGCAAACACAGATGGAAAATTCAGTATTATTCACTGTAATCCCAGGTACTCAGGAAGCTGAGGCAGAGGAATTGCTTGAGCTCAGGTGTTTAAGGCTATACTGAGCTATGATTAAGCCACTGCACTCCAGCCTGCGCAACAGAGCAAGACTCCATCTCTTAAGAAAACAAAATAAAATACAGTATTGAAGGACTAAAACCCACATATATGGAGGGCTGACTATTCTTGTTATTTTTAAATATGGAAAACTTTTTATTTTGCCAAATTAAATCTTTTATTTTCAAGCTTACATTTGAAAATGTTAGCATTGCATACATAAAATGATTTCATTAAAAATATCTAAAAGTAGGATGGACATAAATCTAGAACAAAAGTATTTTAACTGAGAAAATTCATTTATGTGGAAAAAATCTCAACAAGCATCTTTCTTTTAGCTTTGATATATTAGAACTTTTATCACAGAATGATGCTCACTCTACAAGCTTGAATCTGAGAAACTCAGATGTAGCTAATGAAAAACTAATGAAAAATATAAAGTAAGAGAATTATAGAAACTTAAAAAAAAACTGTTACATTCCATTTGGACTACTAGCCATGTGTTCCACAAACATTTTCTATTTTATATAATTGCCTATCTCATTGTCTTAACAACATGAAGACTAAGATGTGAAAGGGGGATTAAGCATGTGGTAAGAGTTATACTGGGGGCAGCTAACCCAAGGGAGATCAGATGTGGCTTCAGATTCCACATACACAGCTACATTTCCTCACTGAGGCAGAGCAAGTTAATCCAGAAAGTCATATCAGGCTCCAAGAACGCTGTACTTAAACCATTCTGAAAATCACTTGAAACGATATAATTTTAAGTAACTTTTAGACTTAAATCTGGATCATTATACCGAGAGATCAATTTAATTTGTTTGGTAGTTTGTTCATTTTCACCCTGTTAATTCCACAGAGGACTCGTCATTTACATTAGGTATACCTCCCAATGCTATCCTTCCCCCCTCACCCCACCCCACGACAGGCCCTGGTGTGTGATGTTCCCCACCCTGTGTCCAAGTGTTCTCATTGTTCAATTCCCACCTATGAGTGAGATAACGGGTGCAGCACACCAACATGGCACATGTATACATGTGTAACAAACCTGCACGTTGTGCACATGTACCCTCGAACTTAAAAGTATAATAATAAAAAAAAATTCCACAAAGGAGGAGGGCCGACTTTTCACATACATGTGTCCTCCTTGCAGGACTTGAGTATGCACAAATTTTGGTGTAGAGGGTGGTCCTGAAACCAATCCCCGGAGATAACTAAATTCAGTTTTGTTCTGAAATTTTTATTTTCTGAGTAGAAACATATTTTCATGAAGTTATAATTATATTCATTTTCTTTCTCAGCCCAATAGTATTAAGAATGATGAATGATCAACTCATGTTTCTGGAAAGAGCATTTATTGATCCATTAGGGTTACCAGACAGGCCTTTTTATAGGTAAGAAAAGAAAATATGACTCCTTTCTGTAATATCACTTTTTCTTCTAATTATTTTTATTTTTTTCACTGTGGAAAAAATATTGTAGTTGATTTCTTGCAAGCAAATAGAAAATTTCAAAATATATGTAGTAAGTGATAGTTGTATTGTTTCTTCATATAATGTAATATGATTTTTGCATATCTTTATTTTGAGTATCTTTGTTCTGATTATAAAAGAATATAAATTTATTTTAGAAAATATAGAAGATCCAGAAAGCCATGACAAAAAATAAAAATCTCCCCAATTTTATCAGAAAAATATAAAATCATTGTTATATTCTGGTGTGTATAATTTTAGCTCCTTTTCTATTTTAAATATATTTTTACTTATGTATACACAGAACCCAAACATCTCTCTATATATAATGTATATAATAAATATATATTTATTTATTCTTTTCCCTAATGTTGATATTTAGATATTTTATTTCCTCCTAAATCCTGACAGTTGGATTTTTTTCTGCCAAACATTGACTGTCCCCAGGTTGATCTTCTAAATATTGCAGAATGAGATAGATCATTGGACAGCCAGAAATGGCCCTAACTTTCTTTCTAGGGATTATCAAAGGGTCGGGCTTGGGAGTAAGAGCATCTTCCAAGCAGGTTGACTGGATCAGATCACCAGTAGCAGCATATTTTTATCCATCCCCCACCCCCCCTTTTTTTCCTAAGAGACAGGGTCCCACTCTGTCTCCCAGGCTAGAGTTCAGTTGTGCAATTTTAGCTCACTGCAGCCTCAGACTTTTGGGCTCAACCAATCTTCCTGCAGCAGCCTCCAAAGAAGCTAGGACTACAGTCACATGCCACCATGCCCAGCTAATATTTGTACGTTCATTTGTAGCGACAGGGTGTCCCTATGTTGCGCAGGCTCGTCTAGAACTCCTGGCCTCAAGCAATCCTCCCACCTTGGCCTCCCTAATATATGGGATTACAGGCATGAGCTACTGCTTCTGGCCTTATTTACATCTTTACTATGGAGTTTGTCCTTCTCTTCTGTGGGCTATTACATGAACTGTCATAGCCCATTCTATAAAACATTTTCTGCCTTGGTCACATGGAACATTACAAAATTGTTTTTGATGATTCTTCAAACTCTATATTAAGTATTCTAACATGGTAGTGTGACTTTTTAAAAAAAGACAAAAAAAAAACCACAATAGAGGGTTGGCTGATCACAAGCAAGACTGTAATGATTACAATTGTGCTATAATATAGGGGGTAGCATGATATATTAAAAAATCAGCAGTTACTTGTCGTGTGCCTTGAGACAAATCATTTAGTTACTTGATCTCTCAGACCTCAGTTTCCTTCTCTGTGAAATACTAATATCAACTGTGTAGAGTTTATTTCTAAACATCAGAAAAATTGCAAGTAAACATTAAATACCAAGAATGATTGCTGTGGTTACTATCATCATTGTTAGTTTTGTAGCACTGAACCACTTTAATTTATTTGTTTGAAATAAAAATATAATTAATTACTATAGATTTCATATAATAGTCTTCAGAGATGATTGAACTTGGAAGTTCAGTTGACAAGTGGCTTGTTCAAATTGTTATAGGAATATGCAATCCAGGAATTGCAGAGTGCTCTTGTGTTTCTCTTGTATATCATTTGGGCACCTAATAAACAGCAAACGATTTTATCAACAGGCATGTCATCTATGCTCCAAGCAGCCACAACAAGTATGCAGGGGAGTCATTCCCAGGAATTTATGATGCTCTGTTTGATATTGAAAGCAAAGTGGACCCTTCCAAGGCCTGGGGAGAAGTGAAGAGACAGATTTATGTTGCAGCCTTCACAGTGCAGGCAGCTGCAGAGACTTTGAGTGAAGTAGCCTAAGAGGATTCTTTAGAGAATCCGTATTGAATTTGTGTGGTATGTCACTCAGAAAGAATCGTAATGGGTATATTGATAAATTTTAAAATTGGTATATTTGAAATAAAGTTGAATATTATATATAGTTATGTGAGTGTTTATATATGTGTGTGTTTATATTGTTTATCTTCTCCCTATGGATTAAAACTGAATTTCATAATTATAAGAGGTTATTCTGAAGTGGAAAAATTTAACTCAGTATTAAATCTAAGGAGAATGGCCTAATATAGTAAAACTCTCATCTGGCATTATCAGGGAATCAAGTCTAATCTATTCATGTCACTTCACACAGAAGAAAACATCAGTATGTCAGAGAGCACACTGGGGAATATGCACAAGATTATCCCAAGCCAGAGGCCTCACGGCCTACCTGGCCAGCCTGGGCTGAGAGGATCACTATCTCAGCACACTATTTGGGAAATGGATCAAATCACACTTTTAGTAAATGTTATCACTCTATAGCATAAGAAATAATTATTTTTTATTTATATAAAAGGCTATAGTATAAAATATATGTATAGTAATTAAATGAACACTTGTGAACCTAATAGCCATATGAAGAAAATAACATTTCTAATATCTTTGGATGCCCCATGTACTAATGACAGTTATGCTTTTGCATTTTCTTGAATTTTATGTTTATTTATCTTTCCTCTGTCATTATTTATAATTTTATCACACATGGCTGTATCCTTTACATGTTTTGGCATTATGTATTTTTGAACTTTTTGTAAAGACAATCATACCATGTGTAATTTTCAGGGACTTGATTTTTTTCATTGACTTTTAAGGGTTCAAATATATTATCACTGTGGCTGTAGTTTGCCATATTTTGCTGATATAGAGCATTCATTCACATGAGGGTAGGATTCAGGGTCCATCAAGACAGAGAAAACATACAGTAATGTGAATAGGGAAAGTTAATATGAAGAATTATTAATTGTTACAGCATTGGAACAATGAAATATTGTCTAGTAATATGTAAAGAGAAGTCTCAAGAATATGTGATGAGCAGATGTAAGGAATTGCTCTTGTCTCCATGGTGAATTTGGAGCAGCCAATGAAGAGTCCCCTCACATTGTGGCCTCGCTCAAAGTTAAGAAGTCGCTGTAGTGTTGCCCTTGAAGAATCTGCTTCAAATTGACACTTCAGAACTCCCCAGAAACTTGTCTTCTGGGCCAATGTGTAAAGCTGTTTATGAAGAAATGTCAAGCCAGAGGGGCTCTACTACAAATTTGGCAAAGGACAATTTCAGGAGAAGCTCTTGGCCGCTGGGTTCTCCTGGCCACCATGAACTTCAGGAAGTGGGTGCCATAGCAGCAGCCTGAACTACAGAATCTGGGCACTGGTGTAGCTCTGTATGCCCTCCGTGTCAGATGCTGGAGATGTCATTTGCATTGCCAGAGTTTGCCAAGGGTGCACACAGAAAGCAGATTGAAAAGCACCCTCTTGGAACATCTCTCCAATGCCTTCTACTCACAAAGTTTAACATCATTAACACGTGACAAAGAAGAACTATTTAATGGGCCCAGATCTATTTATGAAGACAATCAAGTGGGAGTTTGGAGTGGATAACCCAAATTTGGATAACTGGTGAATAATAAAATGTATTTATTTCTGCTGGTGTATATTTGGAATGTTTTCTATATTTTGCTTCTGTGAACATGTATCCTAATGCAAATATTCAAGAGATTCTCTTTCCTGACAGTATCTGCCTATAGGTTGAATGTCTGTGTTGTAAAGTGTGTGCATCTTCAATTTTACAATGCCAAGCTGTTTCAAAGTGATTTTATTTATTTGTATTCCCACTGGCAAAGTAATCATGTTATTCAAGATAAAAAACAAGTATGGAAGATTGTGGCATGTTAAAGAAATACAAAGAACTCAGTGTTTCTAGAATCCAAGGGATTTGTGGGAAGAACAATCCATACATTGAGCACCAAATACATCACATAGGGCGTAGAAGACATCCAGAGGAGTGTAAGTACTTTCCTGTAGTTTATCAAAAGCCCATAGTAAGGTTAAGCAGGATAGAGATACGAGCATATTTGCATTTCAGAAAGCATTCTGGCCTAGATGGATTAGAAGGCCATCAACCCAGCAAAAGATGAGATTTTTTTTTTTTTTAATACAGGTTCTCACTCTGTCACCCAGGCTGGGGTCAGTGGCACAATCCCAGCTCAACGTAACCTCTGCTTCCTGGGCTCAGGCGATCCTTCAGCATCAGACTCCCAAGTAGCTGAGATTACAGGTGTGCACCACCATGCCTGGCTAATTTTTATATTTTTGGTAGAGATGCGGTTTTGCCATGTATCCCAGGCTGGTCAATAACTCTCCGGCTCAAGGTATCAACCTTCCTTGGCCTCCAAAAGTGGTGAGATTACAGGCAGGAGCCACCATGCCAGGTCCCAAAATCTTTTCTCATGACAACAGTTGCCATGTAGCCTTTATCCCCAGAAAAGATAAGACTACCCTCATCCTTCAGGTCTCAGCTTACATGTCATCTCTTCTAGGAATACTTCCAGAATGACTGCCCCTTCCCTTATATTCCTTACTAGACCATAAGCTCCTTAGAGACTGAGTCTTGTTTTTTTATTTTCACTTCAATCTCTATCAGTAGGGAGAGTCCATAGATGACACTCATTTTGTGAGTAATCAGAGTGGCGTGCATATGAGACTTTCTGAGGCATTCTGTGCTTTGAAAATCAAAGCTGCAGTGCACACTAGGATTTCCACAATGCCTTTGTTACAGGGTTTGGCTGAGCATGCTAACAGGATTTTTGTCATGTCAGTGTTAGAGAGTTGGACAATACTGTAGATGTAGGATAAGGTGAATATTATTATTCTAAAAAATGGACCAAAACCTACATAATACTTGAAAGCTTTGTCAAGTTTCAATCAGTTCTGCAAGCATGCAATAATCATCTCCCCAAAATATTATATGTAATTTGGTGGCTTAGGAACATACTTTGGCAACATATTTAATGTCACTGTCATTCATAAGAGGTAGTGCAATGATAGAAACACAGTTGTTTTTGTTTTTGTTTTTGTTTTGAGACAGGGTCTTGCTCTGTCACCCAGGCTGGAGTGCATTGGTGCAATCTCAGCTCACTGCAACCTCTGCCTCCTGGGTTCAAGTGATTCTCCTGCCCCAGCCTCCTGAGTAGCTGGAATTACAGGCACCTGCCACAATGCCCAGCTAATTTTTTTGTATTTTTAGTAGAGATGGGTTTTCACTAGGTTGGCCAGGCTGATCTCGAACTCCTGTCTTCAGTTGATCCACCTGCCTCCACCTCCCAAAGTGCTGGGATTACAGGTGAGAGCCACCTCTCCTGACCAGGAACAGAGTTTTTAGAGACAGACTGCCTGAGGTCCAACCCTAGTTCTCCCACTTACTTACAGTATGTCTATGGGCAAATTATTAAAGCTTTCTGTTATTAAGAAAGTAAATGGTAGCTTGATGGAGATAGCATTGAATCTATAAATTGCTTTGGGCAGTATGACCATTTTCACGATATTGAGTCTTCCTATCCATGAGCATGGGATGTTTTTCCATTTGTTTGTGTCCTCTCTTACTTCCTTGAGCAGTGGTTTGTAGTTTTCCTTGAAGAGGTCCTTCACATCCCTTGTAAGCTGCATTCCCAGGTATTTTATTCTCTTTGTAGCAATTGTGAATGGGAGTTTACTCATGATTTGGCTCTCTGTCTATTATTGGTGTATAGGAATGTTTGTGATTTTTGCACATTGATTTTTTATCCTCACACTTTGCTGAAGTTGCTTATCAGCTTAAGGAGATTTGGGGCTGAGACAATGGGGTTTTCTAACTATACAATCACGTCATCTGCAAACAGGGACAAGTTTACTTCCTGTCTTCCTATTTGAATGTCCTTTCTTTCTTTCTTTTGTCTGATTGCCCTGGCCAGAACTTCCAATACTATGATGAATTGGAGTGGTGAAAGAGGTCATCCTTGTGCATTTTCAAAGGGAATGCTTCAAGTTTTGCCCATTCAGTATGATATTGTCTGTGGGTTTCTCATAAATAGCTCTTATTATTTTGAGATACCTTCCATCAATACCTAGTTTATTGGCTGTTTTTAGCATGAAGGGTGTTGAATTTTATCAAAGGCCTTTTCTGTATCTATTGAGATAATCATGTAATTTTTGTCATTGGTTCTGTTTATGTGATATGTTATGTTTATTGATTTGCGTGTGTTGAACCAGTCTTGGATCCCAGGGATGAAGCCGACTTGATCATGGTGGATAAGCCTTTTAATGTGCTGCTTGATTTGGTTTGCCAGTATTTTATTGAGGATTTTCGCATTGATGTTCATCAGGGATATTGGCCTGAAATTTTCATTTTTTGTTGCGTATCTGCCAGGTTTTGGTATCAGGATAATGTTGGCCTCATAAAATTAGTTAGGGAGGAGTCCCTCTTTTTCTGTTATTTTGAATAGTTTTAGAAGGAATGGTACCAACTCCTCTTTGTACCTCTGGCAGAATTCGGATGTGAATCTATCTGGTCCTGGGCTTTTTTTGGTTGGTAGGCTATTAATTGCTACCTCAATTTCAGAACTTTTTATTGGTCTATTCAGGATTCCACTTCTTCCTGGTTTAGTCTTGGGAGGGTGTATGTGTCCAGGAATTTATCAATTTCTTCTAGATTTTCTAGTTTATTTGTGTAGAGGTGTTTACAGTATTCTCTGATGGTAGTTTGCATTTCTGTGTGATCAGTGGTGATATCCCCTTTATCATTTTTTATTGTGTCTATTTGATTCTTCTCTCTTTTCTTCTTTATTATTCTGGCTAGCAGTCTATCTACTTTTGTTAATCTTTTCAGAAAACAGCCCTTGGATTCATTGATTTTTTGAAGGGTTTTTCATGTCTCTATCTCCTTCAGTTCTGCTCTGATCTTAGTTATTTCTTATCTTCTGCTAGCTTTTGAATTTGTTTGCTCTTGCTTCTCTAGGTCTTTTAATTGTGATGTTAGGGTATCGATCGATTTTAAATCTTTTCCACTTTCTCATATGGCCAATTAGTGCTATAAATTTCCCTCTAAACACTGCTGTAGCTGTGTCCCAGAGATTCTGGTATGTTGTGTCTTTGTTCTCATTGGTTTCAAAGAACTTATTTATTTCTGTCTTAATTTTGTTGTTTACCCAGTAGTCATTCAGGAGCAGGTTGTTCAGTTTCTATGTAGTTGTGCAGTTTTGAGTGAGCTTCTTAATCCTAAATTCTAATTTGATTGCACTGTGGTCTGAGACACAGTTTGTCATGATTTCCTTTCTTTTACATTTGCTCAGGAGTGTTTTACTTCCAATTATGTGGTCAACCTTGGAATAAGTGCAATGCAGTACTGAGAAGAATGTATATTCTGTTGATTTGGGGTGGAGAGTTCTGTAGATGTCTTTTAGGTCCACTTGGTCCAGAATTGAGTTCAAGTCCTGAAAATCCTTGTTAATTTTCTGTCTCACTGATCTGTCTAATATTGACAGTGGGGTGTTAAAGTCTTCCATTATTTTTGTGTGGGAGTCTAAGTCTCCTTTTAGGTCTCTAAGAACTTGCTTTATGAATCTGGGTTATCCTATATTGGGTGCATATATGTTTAGGAGAGTTAGCTCTTCATGTTGCATTGATCCCTTTACCATTATGTAATGCCCTTCTTTGTCTTTTTTGATCTTGTTAGTTTAAACTCTGTTTTATCAGAGACTAGGATTGCAACCCCTGCTATTTTTTTGCTTTCCATTTGCTTGGTAAATCTTTCTCCATCCCTTTATTTGGAGCCTATGTGCGTCTTTGCACTTGAGATGGGTTTCCTGAATACAGCACACCAATGAGTCTTGACTTGTTATCCAATTTGCCAGTCTGTGTCTTTTAATTGGGGCATTTAGGCTGTTTACATTGAAAGGTAATATTGTTATGTGTGAATTTGATCCTGTCATTATAATGCTAGCTAGTTATTTTGCTCATTAGTTGATGCAGTTTCTT
Source organism: Homo sapiens (assembly GCF_000001405.40). Lineage (NCBI taxonomy): Eukaryota > Metazoa > Chordata > Mammalia > Primates > Hominidae > Homo > Homo sapiens. The sequence goes on along the minus strand of NC_000011.10, from coordinate 49,140,734 downwards.
CATATTGTTGATGGTCTTTACAATTTGGCATGTTTTTGCAGTGGCTGACACTGCTTTTTTCCTTTCCATACTTAGTGCTTCCTTCAGGAGCTCTTGAAAGGCAGACCTGGTGGTGACAAAATCCCTCACCATTTGCTTGTCCGTAAAGGATTTTATTTCTCCTTCACTTATGAAACACAGTTGGCTGGATATGAAATTCTCGGTTGAAAATTCTTTTCTTTAAAAATGTTGAATATTGGCCCCCACTCTCTTCTGGCTTGCAGGGTTTCTGCAGAGAGATCCACTGTTAGTCTGATAGGCTTCCCTTTGTGGGTAACCCGACCTTTCTCTCTGTTGCCCTTAACACTTTTTTCCTTCATTTCAACCTTGGTGAATCTGATGATTATGTGTCTTGGGTCTGCTCTTCTTGAGGAGTATCTTTGTGGTATTCTCTGTATTTCCTGAATTTGAATGTTGGCCTGTCTTGCTAGGTTGGGGAAGTTCTCCTGAATAATATCCTGAAGTGTGTTTTCCAACTTGCTTATATTCTCCCCATTACTTTCAGGTACACCAATCAGACATAGGTTTGGTCTTTTCACATGGTCCCATATTTATTGGAGGCTTTGTTCACTCCCTTTTATTCTTTTTTTCTAATCTTGTCTTCACACTTCATTTCATTATGTTGATCTTCAATCTCTGATATCCTTTCTTCCACTTGATTGATTCAGCTATTGATACTTGTGAATGCTTCATGAAGTTCTCGTGCTGTGTATTCAGCTATATCAGGTCATTTGTGTTCTTCTCTAAACTGGTTATTCTAGTTAGCAGTTCCTCTAACCTTTTATCAAGGTTCTTAGCTTCCTTGCATTGGGTTAGAACATGCTCTTTTAGCTCAGAAGAGTTTGTTGTTACCCACCTTCTGAAGCCTACTTCTGTCAATTCTTCAAACTCATTCTCCATCCAGTTTTGTTCCCTTGCTGGCGAGGAGTTGTGATTCTTTGGAGGAGAAGAGGCGTTCTGATTTTCGGAATTTTCAGCCTGTTTGAACTGGTTTGAACCTTTGGTCTTTGATGTTGGTGACCTTTGGATGGGGTTTTTGTGTGGTCATCCATTTTGTTGATGTTGATGCTATTGCATTCTGTTTGTTAGTTTTCCTTCTAACAGTCAGGGCCCTCTTCTACAGGCCTGCTGGAGAATGCATACTTTTTTCCCTTAGAAATAAAAAATATGCAAGTCAGGGCGTGGTGACTCACACCTCTAATCTCGGCACTTTGGGAGGCTGAGGCGGGAGGATCACTTGAATTCAGGAGTTCAAGAGTAGCCTGGCCAAGGGGGTGAAACTCCGTCTCTACTAAAAATACAAAAATTAGCCAGGTGTGGTGGGACAGGCTTGTAATCCTAGCTACTTGAGAGAGGCTGAGACAGGAGAATCACTTGAATCTGGGAGGTGAAGGTTGCAGTGAGCTGATATCCTGCCAGTGCACTCCAGCATGGGCAACAGAACAAGACTCCGTCTCAAAAAAAAAAAACAAAACAAAACAAAACAAAAAACCCATAAGATGAATTAATTTAAATATTTCTAGGCTTATGAGCTTTCCAAGCAGGTCACCTTGATGTGCCAAGTTGATAAAAGTTATGTAATTAATTTCGGTTTCCTTTTCAGGTATAATATCTATCATTGCTTTGAAATATATAAACTTACATGATTTTTATTTCCTTTTTTTCCTTCCTTGTGTATGAAAATTGTGGATTTCTGGAAGGAAAGTTCTAGATATCATGCAGTTTTATCTATGGCATGATGTTTAAAACTTAATTGGAAATCTGTGTTGTAGAATGTGAAAAGTGCTATGATGTTTGGAACTTTAAGTTGTAGCCTTGGTCATTAAAGTGCTCAATAGCAATTCAGAAACTTGTCATGGTTGTGGAAAGGTGACATTGGTGACCACACTGAATACCAGGAATGAGAGGGTTTTCTGCACTCTGCACCACAAGTAAGAATTTTTATTATGTCTAGTTATTTACTTTAAAACTGTAATTTATTAGATGGCAGCAGTTGTCATTTTAACTTGGAGTTTACGTTATTTCCAAATGTGGATGACCTTTGAAGAGTAAATCTGACATGATTGTGGAATATATTGCTCTTCTGTTCCCAGTGTTGGATACCGTTTATATTAAGGTTGCCTAAATGCAAGAGCATTGATGCTAAAAAGGAGAGAGAGGTAAATTTTTAATACTAAAGTTTGCAGCCTACCAAAGATTGATGAAACACTAATCAATTATTTTGTATTAGGGATTGATAGGATGGGGTTTTCTAATATAATAAAATAAAGCATTGTAGGTGACTAATTTTAGGTCACTGATTTTGGAGACTAATTTTAGTGTCTGTGTGTGCATAATCATTTTTCTCAGGTTGATCTGTCCATAGGTGGCAAGAACTTTTCTATGCACACGTGCAGATAAAAAAATGGACAAAGTGTAAGAACTGCTTCCTAGTGTCAGCTCATATAGCATGTGCACGTTTCTCCAGAATGGCATTTTTCTGTTGATATTTTGTTTGTATCTGTGAACTTCTGATAAGAAAGGGATGATTTTCTTAATCTTCATACATGTGCCAAAACAGTCTCAATCTTACTGTATAGGATGTTAAATAATATGGTTATTATAATATTTCTTAATCTAGAAAAATGTTCATTGACTTTATGAGAAGTGAAGAATTAAGTTTCTTAACTACTTGATTTCACCCATACGTGGAATACACTTTTTTCTCATCTTCCCAGTGTAACTTACAAATTTTTAAATTGTATGAACATTGTGCAAATTATTGTCTGTATGTAAAATTAAATCTGTATGTAAAATGAAATAGCTGAGCATTGAGACATGGTATGATTAGATCTTCTTTTCCTTACCATTGTTTTGTTTTTTCTTGGAGTTAAATTTTATTTTTCCAGCTTTCAGTAACCGTATCAAAAAGTCATACTCAAATTCTATACTAAAATATCTTCTCAAGATTTACATACACATTCATCAGTCCCTCAAATTCATCTACAAGTTTTTTTAATCCCTGGGGTTTAGAAGTGGTTAGAGTGTACCCCATTTTTGGAGCTGGGTGCTTTGCCCTTGTTGGTTCTCCTCACCTTTTTGATAATAGTGTTAGCAGCCCATTCATTAACATCTGTTGAACCACCTGAATTAGACTTTGTCTCTTTTTCTGCTGCTAATATCATATTTTTAAAAAGCTCATTAGTTATTCCTCTAATTTCTCAATTTTATTTTTTAAATATTTTATTGGAGTTTTAATTTTGCAGTGGTATTTCAATTTACAAAATAAATATTTTATTTAAATGTTCTTTAAAAAATTTTCTTGTTATTTTTTCCTACTCTTTTCACTATTATCATAACTTTGGGAAGTTATATAAACTTTTGATGGGAAGCTAGGACAACTATGTAATGGAATAATAATGATAAACCCACCCAATAGAGTTCGGAGGAAGAAAATCGGGTAAGTGTCCAACATTTGTGTATTATTTTTATAAGGTTGCCATAATAAATGACTACTGAGGAGTTTAAAACAATAATTTATTATCTCACAATTCTGAAAATCTGAAATTTAATTTAAGAGTTTGACAGAGTTGGTTCTCTCTGGAGGCTCTGAGGGGAAATCCACCTTCTTCCTCTCTGCTAGCTTCTGTTGGCTGATGGCAACCCTTGGCTTTCATTGACTTGCAGCAGTATAAATCCAATCTCTTCCTCCCTCTGTCTTACCCTGGATGTCTCTGTCTCAAATCTTCCTCTTGTTTTTTTCTATAATGATAACAGTCACTGGACTTAGGTTTCACCCTAAATCCAGAATGGTCTCTTTTGGAGGTTATCAAGTTAATTACATCTGCAAAGAACCTATTTTCAGAAGTCCATTTTCACCGGTATCAGGGGTTAGGACTTAGACATCTATTTTGGAGGGCCATTCTTCAACTCAATACAATCTGAAAAAATGCCTGGCCCATAGGAGCCACACAATTAAAAAACAAAAACAAACAAACAAACAAACAAACAAAAACTGTGTTTCCGTTTCCATGAATTTACACACATCATCCTACCTTTTAGAATTGGAAACACAGTAATTCATCCTCACTAGTTTCAGATTCTAAATATTTCAGATCTCTTTTCTAATGTCAATTTTGTGTGATTTCTCCTTTTTCTGAGTTAGAATACATCTTACATATACATATTTTTATTTTTCATAAGTATCACTTACATAATAGTTGTAGGTTGATGGCAACTTTTTAACCCTGAAGAATTTGAGAGTAAGTTGTGACCATAAACAAGAGGTAGGGAATTTATTTCTTCATTTTTCTACTTTCTTATGTGAATATTACTTTTTCCTTAAAACCAAACTTAATATAACAGAAATAATAATTATTTTAATTTTTCTTAGGAAATCGATGAAATAGTATTTTTTCTGAGTTTTGAAATGAAAAATTCTGTAACTTTCAAGTTGACTCTTCAATCTTCTGCACTCATCAACTTCAAATCTTTTATTTTTTTGCCATTTTGTTTTTTATTCATATTTTAATTTATTATAGGAGAATTTTTCAAAAGCCATTTCTAAGTCTAATATCTTTGCTATTTTCTCTTCTCTCTCAAATATGAACTTAAATTATGTTCTTAATTTTTTAGATTATTTTATTTTTCTGATACATCATTTATCTGAAGTTACCATAATTATTGAGTTATTTCCTCTTCTGGTAAACATTTTAATGCCATTCAAAAGCTGGATACTTTTATATTCTACTGAGAATTAAAAATACTAAAATATGTTTCTTAGATATTCCAAAGTTCATTCTCTAAAGTTCACCTTCCTTTTGACTCTTTGTCTTATGTTGTCTCTCCCTTCTGCATATTTTTTTTCCTGAAGGCCTATGTTATGTTCTTCTTATTAGCCCACTCCTCAGGCAAGATCTAGATTTATTAAATATTTTATTTGTTTGTATTTAATTTGACTCATGTGAAGCATAGTCTTAGAAGGTTATCCTGAAAATGCTATATTGAAAGAGTTAGGATAGTTCAGGGAATGATCTGAGGAAATAAGTTTCAAAGACATTAGACTAGAAAAGACAAGATTAGTAAAGATATTGTAGCTCTTAGTTCTTTATATGTTTAAGTACTAATAAATGACATATATATATTAGAGGAATTTTCTGTAAGATACAAAGCACTGTGACTTAAATAGAACATTTCCAATTTTATGAAACACCTGCCATATGAAGGGAAAAAACCATGCATTCTCATGCACAGGGTCCTGAAGAATTGAAGGTTCATGTTCTACCCATAAGGAAAACAACAGCTGGATGCATGTCTGGAGGAGCTCCTCGGCTTGTCTCATTGCATCTCCAGCTTTCCAATTGCACCTCTTGCCATGCACATCTGGGCTGCACTTAGAAAGTGACCACACTCAGAGCAATAGAGATGGAAAGTCCTGTCCATTTTAGTCATTTTTTTTTAACCACCCTTTTCCAGCATCTTTTTCTTACGGCAAGCCTCTTGATTGAGTGGCCTGGCGTTTGTCTTATTCAGCTATATTTGTGACAGGCTCTGGTAAGACTTGGCAGAAGCTGGGCTGGGATGGAAGGGGAGGATTTTGAATATTGTACATGTAGTATATGAAAGACAAAGAAATTGTAATTCAGAAGTAGGCAACTTTTCATTTATATTGTGAACGGTAAATTATTTATATAAACAACATATCACAAATGGGGTGATTTTTCTTACTCAAACCATGGAAAAAGAAGAACTTTCATTGTCCTTCTCCTCAGAAATACATAATAACACACATAGCAAGAATTTCAGAAATAATACCCTCTGAAATGTATCCTCCGAGTTGTGAGAGTAAAGGCATTTGAGTTCCTGCTGAGGTGTCTGCAGAACTGGGACATTATCAATGACTCAAACACCTGGAAATGGCATTACCTAAAAACCAAGACTAATGGTCCTAAGAGGAACTCCTAAGGTTTCTGGAAGGCATGAATACTAACTTTCCATCTAATGAAATCCAGCATTTCAAAATAACCCAGTTAATGCTGGATTGAGAAAAAATAGCTTTTAAAGATTATACTGGAGTAATATGCATATTCAAGTGGCTAGAAATTTCCTATGTGTTCAACAAGTATCACTCTGACAGAATGAATCCTAGAAACTAAGAAACATATTAACAATTCCTAAGAGGCAAAAAAAAAAAAAAAAAAAAACAAAATAAATAAAACCAAAAACACCCATCAGCACGTCTCCGAGAAGCTCTTAAGTACTTGTTTCCCACAACCCTATAATGTATTCTAAGTAACTAGGAGCTGACCAATGTTCTGAGGCTCCCAGAGAAGTGGTAGTTGAAATGTATTCAAGATTTCTATGACAAACAGGAGTTTGAGGAAAACCTGTTCTCAACTCAGTGAAGACCCCCCCAATCTAGTTCAGAACTCCAAGAACTCTGTTGTGCCCAAGAAGCACCAATCCAAAACATCCCCTTATCCCAATAAAGCCTCAGAAAATGTGCAATTGAGATCTCAACCAGAAAACTATGACTCTTCCACAAAGATACAATTCCATGGAGAGCCCAAGAAGCCCCTCATGAATGGATTCCAAAAGTATCATCAAGATTCGTGATTGAGTAGGAAGCTGCAACAGGTGCCACTGAGTAAGACCATGATAGAGACTGGCAGATACCATCAGTATACTCTGAAGAGCCTTAAGGAACATAAGAGTCATGCTGAGGAGTTGCTGAAATACTGCAAGGTAGACCTGAATCTCTGGCTCAATTGTCTGTCTCAAAAAAATTATGCTGCATAGACAGTCAACTTCTAATTAGCACAAGAACATGAGCATCACAGGAGGCCCAAACACCAGGTTTGATAGAAAGATCTGCCATCCCATCAGAATGGAATCTGAAAGAAGAATTTGAAGAGGAGCAGAGGCTGCTGGGTCCAGGAACAAATCCATTAGAAACCATTTGGGTCAAGTATAATTCCTCACAGGGATTAGGAAAACAAGAAGGAAGATGGAAAGAGGATGAAAGTAGTAACTGCTCCGACTCTAGCAGTGGGAGTGAAGATGAAGATGGCTAGTCTGAGGGCAGCAGCTCTAGCTCAGCTTCCTCAGGGTACTCCTGACTCAGGCTCAACCTGAGCCTGGTTAATACCCTAAAAGGTTGGACAGTCCTTCCAAGCCAAAAGTCCATCCATGTTATCTATGTCAAAGGGAGGGGACCCTCCTCCTGCTCCTTTTTACTTCCTTGCTTTTTCCCTTCCCTCCTTTCTCCCCCTCCTCCTCTGTACAAAGTGGGACGGGTTATAAACAAGGAACTTGATGCAGTGCACTACTCTATATTAGGTCCATAAACCCAGGAAGTGGGGACCAACCATAGAGAACAAATATTCGTATTAGCCAGTATTGCCTCCTCACCCATATACACAACTAGCCAGAGAGAGGGAGTTCATGGAATTGAGGTTTTTTGAATAAACAATGAGATGATTGGGCTATGGGGTATTAGACTGAGTATTCCAGAAGTAACAAGTTTTTCTTTCCTTATTTTCTGCCAGCAAGAGGTGGTAGGGGGACACTGAGTCTGTAATCTCCACCTTCTTTGTGAAGTGTCCCTCAGGACTCCTGTGCTGAACGTAGAGTGAAGAGTAGCTGGTGGGAGTTAGGGCAGGTGCCTTAAGAATGTTGCCAGACTCCTGCCGTCACTCTCCCCACTCCCTGAAGTAAGGACTTGGCCATTCCCATGCTTGAGTGTGGGCAGAGTGATGTAGGGGGCAATATTTTTACATGTATATCTGATTCAGCTCCCAAAGAGACTTCTTACTGATTTCAAAAACTTGAAATTAAACATGGAAATGTATCTATTTCACTTGAATAAACTTCTCCATAGAATCAATGTTTTGTGACTGGGCAGGGCACTGCTGCTCCAAGTGGTGTCTGTTGTATTTTTTCTCCTGGGTGGAAGCTCCAGATTCTTCCTGCTGCCTCAGGTGCAAGTCCACCTCACCTTTATCATTCAGGAGATACAGAAATATACATGGATACCTAGAAAGATACAGGAGTAGATATGCACACTACACTGTTCTCCTGGTCCACCTGTGAATTCACCAATACCACATAGCTTTAATTATTTTGGTTTACTGCTATCTTTTAAAGTCAGTTGAAGGCTACTGCATTCTCATACTTTCCTCTGTTTTCATGTTCTCATTAATGTTTGCATCATAGAAGAAGTGGCATCCATTTTATATCTATTGATTTTAGTGTTTTTGTTCCTAGATTTCTTAATAAATTATAAGTGATTTTCTAGGTAAACTGTACCAGAAAATAATGGTAATATTTATATTTTTAATATTTCAAATCCCTTATTTATGTGTTCTTTTAGAAAATACAGAGCAATATTAAATAATAGCAGTTATATGTTTTTGTATTGCTTCTAATTTTTAAGCTAATGGTTACACCACTTACAACTGTAACAATTATGCTAATATTTGAAATAATAACATATTAATAAAATGCCAATTTGGATTAATCAGTTTTATTCCATAATGTGTATTCATTTTTGTCAAATTTCTTTTATTATGTATCAATGTAAATTTTCCTTAAGGTATTTGTCAAAAATCTCCAGAGAAACAGCATCAATAGGGCACTGTTTGTGTGTGTGTGTGTGTGTGTGTGTGTGTGTGAATGAGCATGTGTGTGTGTGAGCATGTGTATGTGTGAGAGAGAATGTGATTTTATAATGAGAAATTGGCTCTACAATCCTATCATCTCTAAACAAGAAGCTCTGGAAAAAGCTAATGGTGTAATTTAGTCGTAATCTGAAGGCCTGAAATCCAGGGCAGCTAATAATGTAAATCCTAGTGCAATGGCAAGAGATGGTATGACACATCTTAGCTTACCAGTAAGGCAGGGAAAAATAAAAAGGTTGAATTCCTCTTTCCTCTGCCTTTTGCTCTATTGGGTTTTTTCATGGGAGAACGGGAGACAAATGAATACAGACAGAAGAAAGTTCTCTTGGCAGCAAATTATTTCATGCGCTCAGTAATGGTACTTAATACACAAAAAGTAAGGAAACTGGACAATTTGCCACATATTTTGGAGGTAAAAGCAAGATAATTTCCTGAAATGGAAAGTAAAAGTACAAGAGAAATCCAGATGATTCCTAGTTATTTTGACATTTAGAAAAAGGTAAGCAGGTTTTGTCAGGGAAGTTGGGAGTTCTAATTTTTGAAATGCCCATTACCTATCCCAGTGCATGTAAGAATCTGGAGCCCAAATATTAGTTTACTACTCCATGGCCGGGCACGGTGGCTCACGCCTGTAATCCTGGCACTTTGGGAGGCCGAGGTGGGCAGATCACGAGGTCAGGAGATCGAGACCATCTTGGCTAACGTGGTGAAATCCCGTCTCTACTAAAAACACAAAAAATTAGCCGGGCTTGGTGGCGGGCGCTGTAGTCCCAATTACTCAGGAGGCTGAGGCAGGAGAATGGCGTGAACCCGGGAGGCAGAGCTTGCAGTGAGCGGAGCTTGTGCCACTGCACTCCAGCCTGGGCGACAGAGCGAGACTCTGTCTCAAAACAAAACAAAACAAAAAAAAATAGTTTACTACTCCATAATATGTATTACATTTGTTTGGTTCTGTTAAAAAACCAAAGTGACAATCATTAATTTAAAGATCCTCATTGGCTTTATCTGTGATTCCTGAAGTTGGCAACACTGTATTTCATAAAATAGAATAAGTGTGCACAACATGTACCCAAAAACTTAAAGTATAATAAAAAAAAAAAGAAAGAAAAAAAATAGAGTAAGTGTTCTTATAAGCTGAGAAGAGCTTGGTTTTATATACAGAGCTGAAGAAAGCAAAAACAATGAACAGAAAACTGGCTGATCACCTCAAAGTTATGTTCCTTGTAAGGCAGGGACAGGGAGAAAGAGTACAGAAAAATAACTGATTGGTTAATATCAGAATAGTTCAGGTTACTTTTTGGGGTAAACATTAAAACAGAGAGAACCTCAATATCATGCCGACTGAAACTACCCTATTTGGGAATTTACTTGTCATAATCTCTATCTTCTGATTTCTATTAATAGGACAGTCAGAAATCAACCCAACAACGAAGACTTAGTTTTGGTTTGGTGATGTAGAACTTCAGTATGGGAAACTTCATTTTGGTTTTTAGTCTGCTCTGTTGGGGCCCAGCACAGGAGCTTAGTCCAAAACAAGGGCCCCTATAATTTTTACTGAACAGTTTAGAGTCTGGAACAATGCCTTGCACTCACATTTAGTGAGTAAATATTGAATAGATGAATACATCAGTGAAGCATAACTTTGGGTAACATTATCAGGTATTAAAGCATCACACCATATGACACTAATTTTGAGCATAATCAAGGAGGGAAAGGTAGCAAAACTGAGCACTTGGACAGTCTAATAGTTGGATATGAAACAGAAAAGAAGGAGACTTCCAAAAAGTCTGCTAAAGGGTGTTCTCTGAGGTAGGCTGGAAGTCAGATGAATATAAATTTTGTCTGAGAATCTAATAAAAATGAGTGTTTTCAGAATATGAAGTTATAAGAATAAAAGGAAATCAAGAAGAAATAAGTAACCAACAGTATTATTGAAAAGAGAGTGATTAAAAGGAGGTTAGAGATAGGGTATTGTACGTAACAACGTTGAAGTGGATGGTGACTTAAACAATCAAATGGAGTAGACATGATGGAAGGCTGTAGAGTTGGTTGTAGAAGGAAAGGTAAGAAAATGTAAGGGTCAATTTAGAAATATTTTATCAAAGGGTCTATTTCATGAAATGTTTTCAGTAAAAGTGAATTTTTAACGGCTGCTCGTTTTAAATAATATAATCCACAGACATTTATAAGAGTCTATTTAAAGTTCCAGGCACTGATTCAGACATACATAAATTGATCACTATCTGTGTGATGGAATCATTCGTACCCCAAACCTCAGCATCACGCAATATACCCATGTAAAGAACCTGCACATTTACTCCCTGAATCTGAAATAAAAGTTGAAATTATAAAAAATAAAAGTTAAAAAAAGAACAAATCATAGATACATAAAATCATGATGAATCTCAAAAACATATTAAATGACACAAAGGATTATATATTGAATGATTACATGTGTAATATTTATTAAAAGTCAAAACTTGATAGACAGGTCAGGTGGGGTGCCTCACACCTGTAATCCCAGCAGTTTGGGAGGCCAAGGCAAGAGGATCACTTAAGCCCAAGAGTGTGAGACCAGCTTGGGAAACAGAGTGAGACCCTGTCTCTACAAGAAATTAAAAACTAGCTGGGTGTGGTGGTGTTTGCTTGAAGTACAAACTATGCAGGAAGATGAGGAGGGAAAACTGCTTGAGACCAGGAGGTTGAGGCTACAGTGAGCTGTGATAGTGCCACTGCACGCCAGCATGGGCAACAAAGAAAGACTCTTCTTTACAAACCAACGACAAAAATAGCAACAACAAAAACAGAAATCTTACAGACAAGAAACAGAGCAGCGGTTCCTTGAAGACAGGGATGTGAGTAGAGATTGACTATAAAAGGGGAGAAGAGTGCCACAATAAACATATGTGTGCACCATGGAATACTATGCAGCCATAAAAAAGGATGAGTTCATGTCCTTTGTAGGGACATGGATGAAGCTGGAAACCATCATTCTGAGCAAACTATTGCAAGGACAGAAAACCAAACACCGCGTGTTCTCACTCATAGGTGGGAAGTGAACAATGAGAACATTTGGTCACAGGGTGGGGAGCATCACACACCAGGGCCTGTCCTGGGGTGGGGGAAGTGGGGAGGGATAGCATTAGGAGATATACCTAATGTAAATGACGAGTTAACGGGTGCAGCACACCAACATGGCACATGTATACATATGTAACAAACCTGCACGTTGTGCACATGCACCCTAGAACTTAAGTATAAAAAAAAGCAGGGGGAGAAGAGATGTTTTTGAAAGAATTAAAGTGTTCTAAAAGTGGATATGGTGATCATGCATAAAATGAATTTAACAGCAATTTATTAACGTCTTTAAACTCTATACATTAAGTAAATTTTATGGTATGTAAATTATACCTCAGTTAAGCTGATGAAATAATTGAGAGTCTCCACAAGCTTTTGTTGATGTGGGTTTTTTAATGTCAAGATATGCTGTATTAGAAATTAAAGCTGAAAAATATTAAATATCTATTTATTAATAACTTAAAATAATTATAAAACCATAATTGGTAATGTAATATTTCTATAAAAAATAAGTATACTTTGCAAAACCATAAAAATAAAGAAAAGAGTGGCTTTGATTACATATTTACAAATCCCTTTAATGTCTGGCTTAGTAGAAGTCATCTGGATTCTCACATCTGCTTCTCTATTCAATCTTTTGTGATATTTCATGTCATGTAGCCCCTGGGAAAATCTCCTGTATACTCATGGGATAATAAAATTTCAAAGGGCAATTAATGTCTAAATAGTATTATTATTATAAAAATAGTTTTGACTTTATGAACCTTAAAAATATTCACAGCCACACATTGTGAACCTCTGTAGTAAGGGCCCATTTCCTGATCACCTACTGGTTGTAACGTTGGGGTAAGGAAAGAAATGTCTAAAACTAGGGCTGCCTGGGACCCTGGACATTGGGTCTATATCTTGTTCCTTGAGCTCCTAGACCCTGAAAAGCAAGAGTCCTGCACAGTAGCCTTCCCACTGTGCTGTAGTTGTATGGGCAAAAGGGGATGCATTTCCTACCATTCTTTTCACCCACCACAAACCGCAAGAAGCTACAGTGGCAAGTTTACATCCTGGACTTCTATTTTTGTGCTTTCCAAATAGATTTTTTAAAATTGTCCATCCTTTTACAACCTAAACATATCATCTTTTATGAACATTGGGCTAAATCAGAGATTCTCAAAGTATGGTTCAGGGACAAGCAGCAACCTCTTATAAGTTGCCTAACACTCAAACTCTCTGGCCCCACCCCAGACCTACTGAATGAAGAATAGCCATGGGTAATCCCCAGCAATCTGTGGCCTCAGAAGCTTTCCAGGTGATACTGATGCACCAGCTAGGCTAACTCATTAGCCTGGCTGTTAATCTGAGAAGGATCCCTTCTCAGAGAGCAAACAAAGCACAGCTGGTAATGAAGACTTTAGCCCTCTCCCATCTCCTCCTCTTCCTGGATCTGGACAGTGCAGGCAGCTACAAAGCATCAGTTCTGTGTGGTGGGGCAGGCAGGATAAGACAAAGGAGGTTCCTTGAGGAGAAGCACCAACTGTAAGGTGAGAAAAGTGAGCTTCATGAACTAGGCTACCTGACTTCTGGTTACTGTTTGCTTTTCTTTCTCCGTAGTTTTCACTGAGCCTTTAATAAAGCCTTTAACCAAAGGTCCAGTTGCATCTCTTTCCTATGTTTCAGAATAGATTGAAGCTGAGTTCAACAAGCATATTAATGTGGAAAAGCCCCATTTGTGGTCACCTTGATGGTGGCAGTGGTTATCCAGAAATCTTTTAAAGGAGTAGAACTGGAATGAGAACCACTCTCTGCACCTGGAGACCCCCCTCCTGAGTGCCTTAACAGGTTCTGGACTTTTTATGTTAAAAAGTTTTGTTATTGTTAATTAAAAAGCCTGTGGTTATTATACAGATACCTGTCTACTTTTATTCTCCCAATTCAACTGTGCACATATATTTTTGCTACTTGTAAAAACTTTCAAAATGAAAAATAACATAAAAATAAATTGCATTATATTATTTTAATCCATGATACATAACTAGTCTTTGTCACTATTATGTTAATATTCATTAACATAGTTGGTATAAATTATTTTAAATGTTGTGTTTCAGTGGGAGAAACATTAAGAAAATTAAAATTTCATCAGATTCACTGGAAAGGGTTCTTTTATGTTTATTGAGAAAGGCAAAGACTGGAAGAAAGAGATCTGATGTGAAATCACTTTCAGTTTTAATATAGTGCTTGGGGAAAATGCATGGTGAGCAAAGCTTCTAGGAATTAAAAGATGTTTTAAAATGTATTTTTTCTTCTTCAACATTTAAGTTAAGAAGTACATGTGCAGGATGTGCAGGTTTGTTACATAGGTAAACGTGTGCCATGGTGGTTTGCTGCACAGATCATCCCATCACCAAGGCATTAAGCCCAGCATTTATTAGCTATTCTTCCTGATGCTTTCCCTCCTTTCACCCCCTACCCTTGACAGACCCCAGTGTGTGTTGTCCCCCACCATGTATTCATGTGTTTTCATCACTCAGCTTCCACTTATAAGTGAGAACATGTGGTGTTTGGTTTTCTGTATCCTGCAGTTTGCTGAGGATAATGGCTTTCAACTCCACCCATGTCCCTGTGAAGGACATTGTCTCGTTCCTTTTCATGGCTGTGTAGTATTCCATGGTGTATATGTACCACATTTTCTTGACCTGGTCTATCATTGACGGATATTTTGGTTGATTTCATGTGTTTGCTGCCATTTTTCTCTGCCAGCCAGTACCACAAGAAGGGAAAATTTCTCTTGATTCTTCCTGGTTTTCCCTGTGAGAGCCTCTTGGCATTTCTGTTGGAAAGGTCTGCCCTTTGGGTGAGGATTCTTCTATGTCTGCGACCCTAAGGGTCTTTGCACGCTCACTCTAGCCCAGCTTTGATTTTTAGCAGTAAATTAAAACCATTTGGTTTATTTTCTGTTTTTGTGGACTTTGGTAGAATCTGCCCCAGATAAACATATGCATGGGTCCTGTTTTTCTCAGTGCTGTACCTGTCTCTATCCAGAACTGATTGAGTTGTCTTGTTACCTCTGTTCTCTAACGGTTTACAAAACAAACAAACAAACTAAACCTCATTAATCTTTAGTTTCTCTCGCACTTTTTTTCTTGCAGGGAGGCGGCAATAGTATTTTCATCCTTCTCCATTTCTGAGCTGCAACCATAAGACTCTATTAGGTTTTATGAAATCCCTGAATGTCCTAATAATGTCCTAATGGCTGTTACTTTTTTCAAACCAGGTACAAATCAACGATACTATAGTTACATCAGAGTTAGATTTTTTATTTCTTTTAGTTATCTTTGCTATATAGCTGTTTCCAGACATTTTCTCCTTAGAAATTAAAATTATTTTTAGTAGGCCAGCCTTATTTTTTGCATAGTGTTTTTCAAATGCATTTATCTAATTTCCTCCCATGGTTACATGCAGGTAAAATGTTTTTGGCAAAAATACTACAGAGGTGTTTTGTGTCCTTAGTCATCTACCTCTGTGTACATTAAATTATATACTTTCACTTATCTATTATGCCTCAATAACACTGTGGATAGAGCTAATGTGGGGTAGAACTTTGATGATATGTAAATAGGCTCTTTCACAAAATCTATGACTTAGTTATTTTATTATCCATTAATGATTCTTGCCTGATTCAGTTATTTTTATGGCATCTGTAAAATGAGGATTGTCCACCATTCCTTCTATTGCATTAGTTGGCCTCTCCAGAATTATGTAGTTAGTGTTCTTTTGTATTATTAAGGATGCAGGTTCTTTCCACCTTTCTGTTTTCCTTAGAGTATTGGCTTTTGTCTTAGATTAGTTCACTATGAGCCCACAAAATGGTTACACAAGCAAATATTGCATCCAAATAATGTCCAGAGGCAGAAAAAGCAATTGTTTCTTCTATGTGTCTCTTCTGTAGCAAGAACACCTTTTACAGAATTCTTCTACGAGTCTACTTTCTTGTTCTCTTAGCCAGAATTGGAGTACATGTCTTATGATGACCAATCAAAGAGAGAGAAAAAAAGGGGGAAATCTTGATAGCTTTGGACAAAATAATGATCCACTGCCTGCGGCTACAGATGAGCCCAGGACCTGTGATTTTTATGTTTTTGTAGAAGAGATAACAGATATGAAAAATATTGGATTTCTATTAGGGAACTGGAAAATAGTGCTATAGGCCAAGGTTGTCAAGAAAGAGGGCATGTGATCAATCTGTTGCACTGTTTGTGTCTCTCCATCCTATTTTAGTCTTTCAGAAAACATGGCCTGTCATGCTATAGTGCATACACAAATTAGTAAAAAAGGTCTTAAGCTCCTTTCATATGCCTTGGGGGAAAGAATGACACTTTCCTTTTATTTTCTCAGAAACATGGCTTCTGCTATCACACAGTGTTCTACCAGTGAGCTCACCTGCTCGATCTGCACAGTCTATTTGACAGACCCTGTCACCATTGGCTGTGGGCACAGATTTTGTAGTCCCTGTCTCTGCCTCTTGTGGGAAGATCCACTAACTCCTAATTGCTGCCCTGGGCGCAGGGAAATATCACAGCAAATGTACTTCAAACGCATTACTTTTGCTGAGAAACAAGTTATTCCTACAAGAGAATCAGTCTCCTGCCAGTTATCAAGCTCTGCCATGCTGATCTGTAGGAGGCACCAGGAAATCAAGAACCTCATCTGTGAAACTGATAGGAGCCTGCTGTGTTTTCTCTGCTCTCAATCCCCAAGGCATGCTACTCACAAACACTATATGACAAAGGAGGCTGATGAATACTATAGGGTAAGTAAATGCTACTGATTGGACTTTGAAATATGAAGAACCCTGAATCCTACAGGTAATAAGGAAAGATATACTTATCATCATCATTATTAATAATTTTATGCAATAAACAAACAGAATTGCTTATGACCATAAATTAGACACTGTTCTAGACACTAAGATAAAGCACTGAAGAAACCAAACATCCCTGCTCACCTGAAATTTAAATTCTCTTGGGTTGAGGGAGAATAATGATGATAAAGTTGATGAACATTAGGGTTCTGGTATTTCAGTGTAAGAAGCTCTATATTAATCACTAGTTTCCATGATAGTCATTGGCTAACACAGTCATGATTGCAGTGAATCTATTATAGAAAATTCTAATAAATACTGGTCAGTATGCTCCAATAGTACTGTAGATAAGTTGAGGGCTAGCATTTTAAAATTAAATATAAAATAAGAGTGACTTCTGAAAATTGGCAAGGTTGTATCAGTTTCAGTGCCAGACTTCTAAGATAATGGGTCTTGTTTTCTAAATTTGGGAATTCTACCTTTGGTTTCATTGACCTCTCAGACTTGATAATCAGTGCCCTTAAGAAAAGCCCCTGCATGTCTGCATTCTGCACTCTTTACTTGTCCCATGTCTGTACCTCTTTTGGAAGTATCTGAAATATACTATATTTTATTTTCTAGTGCTCAAATTTATAGTTTTGTTTTTCAGAAGAAACTCCTGATTCAAATGAAGTCCATCTGGAAAAAAAAACAGAAAAATCAAAGAAATCTAAACAGAGAGACCAACATAATTGGAACATGGGATGTAAGCAGTAAGCTAATTTCTCTCAGAACCAGTTTGGAATAGAAAATGTGACTTGTGGGAGAAGAACTTGAGTTAACCATATGTCCCCTGAATAGGATGATCAGAAAAAGGACCTACATGTGTTTCTCTACAATGTAACTTAATCTTTAGTGTGAGATTTCATGTTGAATCCAATATATAACTAAAAATATCCTGATTTTTGTGAATAAAGCAGTATCTACCAATAATACATCAGCAGTGACAAGAAATGTGCTAAAAATGGCATGCAAGATCACTAGAATGAAGGTAAAAATGTGGTTCTACAGCAGCTTAACAGACATGAAATGCTAAAAAAAAATAGCTTCTAGGTGAAAATCAATCTGATGCTAATGTATTAGTAAAATTTAGAAATTTACCGATGATAATGTTGGAAGATTTTAGGAATAAGAAAGCTGAAAGTTAGAAAAGCAGTAAAATTATTTGGACATGTGAGTAACTCCTCTTGATTAATTCATGAAAAAGAGTCAGGCAGTGATGAGAGATATGGCTATAAATGTACTTATGGCCAGGTCTAGAATGTGAATGCTTAGGTAAGAAATTAGGATTATATAATCCATTCACAAATATGAATTAAGTACCTAAAACTGAATAAGTAAATTAAACAACATTTTTATTCTCAAAGATCTCAAGCACTTCTGAAGGGGACATATAAACAGGGACCAGTAGAGAATAATAATAATTGATACATGATACTGTGAGAATGCCAAAGGGGAACAAAAAAATCTTGTTGATCATTTCAGATGGATTTTCTGAGGAGTCCTGCATTCTCTTGAGGTCCTATCATGTGTTGCTCACTGCTGTAGCCCAACAAAATGATACAGAAGTGGACAAAAGAAGAAATAGATCACTTACCCTAGGAGTCTATAATCTAGTGGGGGAATTCAATCTACAAATTAAAATGTAAACTTTATAATAAATAATGTTCGTGAAGTGCTTCAGGGAAAAATAAAGCAGAGAATGGATACAAAGAATCCAGGTTTGTAGAATGTATGCTGGCCAAGAAGAACCCATTTTCAGGGATAAGAAGGTGCAGAAGAAATGAATCAGTGGCTTTGTAAGAATGTATTTTTCTGTGGCAGGAAAAACAAGGTATGGTTAAAAGGAATAAGTAGAAAATGGTGTCAAATGCAGAAGGAAGGTAAAGAATTCTAGGACTAAAGCATAATATTTGGATTTAGAAAAAAGAAGTTCTTGGTAAGTTGTAATGTTTGGTTCAGGAAAGAGTAGGGAATAAAGGTAAAGGGGTCTTTAATCACACACATGAGCACAGCAAGTTTGATCACATTTGATTAATAAATTTACCTTTGATAAGGATAGAAATGTTTTAGCAAGAGAAGCTAGATGAGGTAATTGGGACAAGAATATTTTAATTTTTTTTCCAAAGTAATTTGCAAAATTTGCACGTATTTAAAGGTGATGTGGAAAGAAGGGAAAAACTGTGTGAAAAAGTAATTGAGATCAGGCGCGGTGGCTCATGCCTGTAATCCCAGGACTTTGGGAGGCCGAGGTGGGCAGATCATGAGGTCAAGAGATTGAGACCATCCTGGCCAACATGGTGAAACCCTGTCTCTACTAAAAATACAAAAATTAGCTGGGCATGGTGGCATGCGCCTGTAGTCCCAGCTACTCGGGAGGCAAGCTGAGGCAGGAGAATCACTTGAACCCGGGAGGCAGAGGTTGCAGTGAGCTGAGATCATGCCACTGCACTCCAGCCTGGGTGACAGAGGGAGACTCCGTCTCAAAAAAAAAAAAAAAGTAATTGAGTAGCCTGGCATGGCGACATGTGTCTGAAGTCGCAGCTACTCAAGAGGCTGAGGTGGGAGGATCTCCTGAGCCCAGGAATTCAAGGCTGCAGTGAACGATGATTGCACCACCATACTCCAGCCTGGGTGACAAACTGAGACCTTGTCTCAATAATAATAATAATAATATAATTGAGTGAAAGAGAGATAGGGGAAATAAAGACACAGTGACAGAAAGACAGAGACAGAGAAAATCAAAGACAAGCCAGGGAAAGAATGAGACAGAGAAATGGAGCCAGAAAGAGAGAGTAGGCAAACAATAGGGACAGAGACAGGAAGACAGAGGCAGGCAGAAGGAAAGAATGAACATTGTAAGAAAGTAATCTAGACAAGGGGTGGATAGAGATGTGTAGTCTTGGGTAATAGGCAAGCATAGCCAAACACTGGTGAAAACACCGAGTGTTTTGGAAATGGAGGTACTTTAGAAAGATGCAGCAATATCTTATGTTCTCTATTTTCCTGAGGAAGTAAATTGTTATGAGTAGGAGTATTGAGAAAAATGGAATAAAATTTAGGTATAATGATGAAGAGGTTAGAACATTATATAAGACAACATAAATTTGATCTTAATTTATCTTTATTATCTTTATTTTTAAAAAGTAAATATGGAGGTTTGAGGGAAAGTAGGTAGAGTGATGCAGGGAAATGGAAGGAAGGAAGGGAAGGAGGAAGAAAGGAAGATTTATACTGTATTTGAAGTGGAAAGGCATTAAACTATATTTAATAGAATAGCACAAAACATGAAACAAAGCAGAATAGCTGATAAGGAAAGAATAAAACCACTTAGACACATGATTTAATTAATCAAATATCACTACAGGTTTTTATAAATTTGCAGAGCATGATGATTAGCGCTGAATATCCTAAGGTGTGTCAATACCTCCGTGAAGAAGAGAAAAAGCACTTAGAGAGCCTGGCAAGAGAAGGCAGGTTAGTTTTTCAGCAACTCAAGAGAAGTCAAACTAAAATGGCAAAGATGGGTGTACTCCTGAGAGAAATGTATGAGAAACTGAAGGAAATGAGCTGTAAAGCAGATGTGAACCTGTCTCAGGTAAAAACTGAAGGAGGTCAGGGTGCTGAACACCACCCTGCTTGGGAATCGTATCGCTAGAGTCTATATCCTTTTTGATCTATATTACTTTTCCGGTTCCAAATATTCAGATTCTGCCTCTCCTGACCTTATGGTGACAGGTTTCACTCCTCTGTAGACCCAGTCTCACTCTTTCTTGTCCCATAGAGGAGAAGGAAAACTATTTGGAAAGGTTCTAGTAACAAATTCAGGAAAATTCTCTTCTAAAATTATCTTACTACACCCACTGATTCTTAGTAGTTGCAACAGAGCAGCTCGTGAATACATGATTCAGTTTTGTATAAGGATGTGTCAATATGTGAAAGTGTGAGATTTATGAATTTTATTTACTCTTTTAGTTTTAAAGTCCTAAATTTGGGCCCCACACATCCTTATAAGAACTTTGTGGGGACCTCTGTCAATCTTGTTGCAGATGTTTGTACAGCAGAATGTCTTCCCTTCCTCTTCCCATTTGTTCAACCTCAGTCCATCTGACTATGTTTCATCAAGAGTGTAATTTTATCAGCTATATGTAGATGTCAGACTGGGTTTCATATTTATAAAGAAAAAGAAAATGAAAAAATGCCTTTATCCAAAGAAGGAAAGTGGAAGACATTAAGTTTTCCAATTCAGTGCATATCCTCAGACTGCATGTCTAGGATATATTGAGAGAACCATTTTGTGCTGCAAACTAAGCAATCCTCTCTCTCTTTATAGGATTTGGGAGACATAACGAAAAGGTAAGTTTGCCCCTCTATCCAAGTCCTGGTAATTGTGACAATAATAAGGCTGTTTCTGCTGGGATCGACTTTTAGTGAGGAATTTCTGTCTGTATTTATTCCTTTCTTTTCAAAGGTCATCCAGGCTTTGTATATTGACTACTTCAGATGAAAGTGAAGGATGGGAAGCAGTTTTAATTGCAAGGCCTAATGTAGAAAGAAGTTTCAATAAGACAACTATTTTTCCTGCCTCTAATTTTCTACATCCTAATTATTTGAAGGTTATTCCAGGTTGTCAATGGGAAAGGCAAATAATCTCAGAGAGGCAGCTGATGGAGAGATGGTGAAAATAGGAGAAAGGGAACATCACCAAGAAGGAATGTAGTATAGAGCTGAGGCTCCATATGTAGCAGGTGGCATGTTCCAAAAATTTGACAGCTATCAGATTTCAGAAATTAAATTAGTATTTCTGCATGGCTCACCTAAGGAAGCTGCAAAGGTGAGAACTGATATAATTATGACTGAGATAACCTACTTTACTGGCATAGAGGTGTTAAAAGCAGCAGAGCACATCATAAAATACAGTTACAATTGCAATATGTCTTAGTTCTTGAGTTCAAGTCACACTCTTCAACCTAATTGTGAGGATTCTGATCAAGCATCTTATTAGTGGATTGCTAATGATTCCTTTGGGACTGGTAATAAAAAGTAGGTATTTTTCTTTGCAGGAATGAGTTTCTGAGGCTGGCCATGCCTCAGCCTGTGAACCCACAGCTCAGTACATGGACCATCACTGGGATGTCAGAAAGGCTTAACTTCTTCAGAGGTGAGAGTGTGAACTGCACTAATGTTTCCAACATAAGTATTTTTATATGGGTGACCTATATTCACTTTAGTCTATATTCACTTCTCTGTCTCTATTATTATTTTCAGTGAACAAGCAGGTAAATATGGAAACCTTTATAACCAATTTTAAAACTGTTAATAAACATTCAGGAAAAGCTAACTGAAGTCTGGAATAAATAAACAAATAAGAAATACAGTACGTAACATGATTATTTTAAGTGATTTAAAAAAAAAACACTCAAAAAAAGACCTGGAGGAATGCTATAAATAAAGCATTCATTTTTCAGTGTAGCATATAAAACTGCATATTCATTCAAAGCATTTCAACTCTGGTTATATTTACATGATCCAATTCTTAGAAATATCTTAATGTTGTTATTCGAATGTTTACCTAAAGATTGAAGTTTTTAAGGAATACATTTGAAAAACCACAGGATTCTCAAAAGCAGAAAAACAAGTTTGTAAACAATAGGTACAACAACAAAGTAGTCTGAAAGAAAATCCCTTCACTGTGTAGAGGGCTATACAGACAAATGGAAATGGAGGGTGAGTCTGGCATATAGAAGAGAGGCAGCCATGGGATGAGATGAAGAGAATTCTGATTTAATGGTGTCCAAACCAGAAATTCTGGGAGAGAAACCGCCTTTTTAAAAAGGCACATATAGATTTTCAGTTTATTTCACTTTTGCTTGCTTAAGTTGTGAAGCCCTCATTACTTCTTGGCCTTTTGGCTAAGATCAAGTGTGAAGCCCTCCCATCTTAGGCAAAGTGGTATTGTTTAGGACTAATAATGGTAACAATGTCATAGCTTGAGTATAATTAATAATATTTTTATTATTTTTAGTATGTTTATTTTATTTTGTGAAAATTGGTTAATAAGGAGGCTTAAATAAAGGGCCATTTTGATGTTTTCTTGGCATCTTATGAATAAGCTGGCAAATTTTTAGTAGTCTAGTAAAAATTAAATCAGAGCTTGACATCCTACATCTTTATGTTTTCTCTAAATTTTCTTTCATCTTAGTTGCTTGATTAAAGATTCATTTGCCCTGCAAATGGGCAAGAAGCTGTTGCTAAACTGTCTCCATAATTCCTCTGATATACTCTGTATGCCACTCGTGATAGAGTGGTGTTCTGGAGCCAGTTAGTACTGACTCATGAGAGCAAATTGTTAAATGTTTTGAAATTTTTTGACTGATTATTAAATTGTTGGTAACTTGAAACTGTCCTTAGTGAGGTGGAAATATTCCTAATAAACAAAACCAGTTGCTTTTGTTTATTTGTTTGTTTTCAGGGATTGGTTGTTAAGCATTTGCCAGACTGCCTCTGCACCTGTACCTCTGAACTGTTAAACTGTTTTTTGCATTCACTGTTTTCTTTTGCTACAGTGTATATCACCTTGGATCGTAAGATATGCAGGAATCACAAGCTTCTGTTCGAAGACCTGAGGCATTTGCAATGCAGCCTTGATGATACAGACATGTCCTGTAATCCAACAAGTACACAGTATACTTCTTCATGGGGAGCTCAGATCC
Source organism: Homo sapiens (assembly GCF_000001405.40). Taxonomy (NCBI): domain Eukaryota; kingdom Metazoa; phylum Chordata; class Mammalia; order Primates; family Hominidae; genus Homo; species Homo sapiens. The sequence continues at coordinate 49,117,356 of NC_000011.10, read as the reverse complement.
TCAGCTCTGGCAAACATTACTGGGAGGTGGATGTGAGAGACTCTTGTAATTGGGTTACAGGACTTTGCAGAGAAGCCTGGACAAAGAGGAATGACATGTGACTTGACTCTGAGGGTATCTTTCTACTCCTGTGTCTTAAAGTGGATGACCATTTCAGTCTCTTCTCTACCTCCCCACTGTTACCTCACTATGTTCCAAGGCCCCAAGGCTGGCTAAGGGTGTTCCTGGATTATGAATGTGGGGTAGTGAGCTTTGTTAATGTTGCCCAAAGTTCCCTCATTTGTAGTTTCCTCTCACGCATCTTCTATTTTCCTCTCAGACCTTTCATTTGCCATGGATCTAAATAATCAGGGACAGGTCACAAACCTGACCAAGGCCTTGGGAATTCTAATAGCAGAGGAGGCTCCTATTCTGGTTACTTTCTTAATGGGGAAAATCAGTCATATCTCATCACCTTTTACTTCATTTTACCTCCTGGATATATATTTATTGTATCATTTTTTAAAGTGTTGATAATGTACATTTGTCATTTCTATTTTATTTGAATAGATGTAATGTCTCTTATTATATTGTTTAGGATGCATGTTCTTTTAAATTGTTATCAAAGCGTACTAGAGGTGAAAGAATACATGAGCATGAAAACCCAGCTAACTGAGTCAAATTAAAGCACAGACAAGTTGCCTTCCAGATAGCCCTTATTCAAAACTCAGTGTCAGCCTAAAATTCTCTATTCCCTGCCTTCATCTGGATAAAACTTTCCCTTCACCAGTTCCCACCTTTCTGAACTAGACAAGGTCTCAGATGTCAAGAATGGCTCATACATTTCCCCTGTAAAACTCCTAACAGAATTTGGGTCTTTTTTTCAAGTTTGTAAATTACAAAAAGGGAATGCCAATGATAGTTCTTCTCATTCATTATAGGAATAAGAAACAGTCTGATGATATGAGAGATATTCAAGAAATATGTAAATAATTAAATGAATAAACATGTAAAATTATTAAAATCAAAAGCTATAGAACCAACAAAAATATACTACAGTATAGCCATAATTAGCAAGACAGAACAGGCTGAGAAATATCATTACGTAAAGGATACATAGATATGGTACCATGGTACTTAAGCCTTCTTGTTCAATTGAACCTTTATCATTTTGTAATGCTCTTCTTTATTGTTTTTGGTTTAAAGTCTTTTTTATCTTATGTAAGAATAGATGCTCCTGCATTTTTTTGTTTTTATTTGCATGGTAGATCTTTCTCCATCCTTTACTTTGAGCCTTTGGATGTCATTATATATGAGATGGATCTCTCAAGACCAAATACACTTGGGTCTTGTCTTTTTATTCAGTTTGGCACTCTGTGCCTTTTAATTGTGGAGTTTAGATCATTTACATTTAGGATTTGTATTGATATGTGAGATTTTGATCCTGTCATCATGCTGTCAGCTGGTTGTTTTGTAGAGTTGATTGTATAGTTGCTTTATAGTGTCTGTTAGCTATATGGTTTACTCAATATTTTGGTCTCTTTCAGCAGGAACGGAGCTTTCCGGTTGCATCTGTTTGGCCATCTTCCATTCTTTTTTAGCTGAGTGGTTTTTCATACCTTGTATACACCACGTTTTATTTATCCAAACACCAGATGATGTACATCTTAATTGTTCCCAATTTTAGCAACTGTGATTTATATTTCTGTTCAAATCAACCCACATATATTTCATTTATTGTGGGTAGTTACTTGGGGTGAAAGTACTGAATTATTTAGTGGATTTTTTTAATCATTTAAGAACCTGTCAAAATACTTCTTTAAAAAGTGACTGTACCATTTTACATTGCCACCAGCATCTTGATAAGCGTTCTAATTCCTCTACATCCTCACTGACATTTAGTATTTTCAACCTTTATTACATAAGCTTTTCTATTTTTTAGTGTATAGTAATAGCTTATTGTGGGTTAATTTGCATATATATTACTAGTGATTAATGGTGTTGAACATTTTTTTTTTTTTTGAGGGAGGATCTCCCTCTGTCAACCAGGCTGGAGTGCAATGGCAAGATCATAGCTCACTGTAACCTCAAACTCCTGGGCTCAAGGTATCCTCCCACCTCAGTCTTCCAAGTAGCTGGGACTACAGGCACACATCACTGCCCAGCTAATTTTTAAAATTGTCTGAGGAGATGTGGTCTCTCTGTGTTGCCCAGGCTGATCTTGAACCACTGGCCCCAAGTTATCCTCCCGTCTTGGCCTCCCAAAGTGCTGTAATTATAGACATGAGCCACCGCACCTGGCCTTGAGCATCTTTTACTATCGTTAGTTTCCATCCAAGTATCTTCTTTAGTGAATCATCTGCTCATTGTACAATGATTTCATTGGATAGTGTGTCTACTTGCTGAGTTGTAAGAGTTCTTTTTGATACAAATCCTTTATCACATATACGTTTTGCAAATATAATTTCTGCCAGTCTATGGCTTATATTTTAATTTTGTTGTCTCCTTGGAAGAACAACATTTTTAATTTTAATAAATCCACTTTGTCATTTTTTAATGTTTCCTTTTTTGACACCACATGTTAAGAAATACTTGTCTAACACAAGGTCACTAAATTTTTTTATATGACTACATCTAGAAGTTTTATAATTTCAGCTTACATTTAGGTAGGTTAGTGATCCATTTTGAGTTAATTTTTATGTACAGTGTAATGTGGGTTTGAAGTTCATATTTTTTGCTCCTAAATTCCAAAAATTTAAACACTATTTGTGGAAAAGATTATCCTTGAATCTTTTGAATGATCTTACCACCTTTGTCAAAAATCAATTGACCATATATGTGTTATCTACTTCTGGACTCTAATTCTGTTTTATTGTTGTAGATATTTATTTTTCTCACCATACACTAATATACTTTCTTGATCCCTACAGACTTATAGCACATTTGGATACAGATAATGTAAATCTCATTTTATTCTTTTTTGAAGAGTACTTTGGCAATTTTATAACTTTTATATTCCTCAGTACTTTCAACAACTTTATTGAGATATAATCTGTATACCATAAAATTCTCCCATGTAACATTCTCCCATATGTAACTTTCAATGAATTTTAGTATATTTATTGTGTTCCGCAACTGTCACCATAATTTAGTTTTTGACATTATCATTACTCCAAAAGGATGCCTTGTGCTGGTTTACAATTAATTTCACCTTCTACCCTAGTACCAAGAAATCAGTTACCTCTCTCTAATGTTCTGCCTCTGAATGTTCCATATATATGGAATTATACAATATGTAGTTTTTAGGTTGTCTTTTAACTTGGCATAATATTTCCAATATTTATCCATATTGTAATATAAATCAGTATTTCATTATTTATTATTTTTCTTATTAGCATTTCAATGTATGAATAGTTCACATTTTGATATTCATTAAAGAGTTTATCAAGACTTGGATTGTTTTACCTTTTTAGCTATTATAAATAATGCTATCATGTATATATGAGTTTAAGTCTTTGTATAAACATATTTTTATTTCTTTTAGGTAGATACTGAGTAAAGGGATTCCTGGATTTTCTGGTACATTTATGTTTATTTATTTATTTTTTTAAGAAAACAAACTTTTTCAAATTGGCTGTATTATTTTACATGTTTACCTAGAATGCATTAAAATTCCCATTTTTTCATGACCTTAACAACAAATACTATTGTCTATGTTTTTTATTATAGCTGTTGTATTGAGCTTATAGTGGCATGTAATTGTGCTTTTAATTAAAATAATCTCAATTACTATGATGTTGAGTATCTTTTTTGTACTTATTAGTTATATTAGAGATGTTCAATTCATGCACCATTTATAAAATAAACGTGAAATGTCTTAACTTACCTATTAAAAGATAAAAAGTATTTTTATAAGCTCAAATATAATTCCCAGCTATGTCCTGTATACAAAAAAAGACACCTAAAGCAAAATAATTCAGAAAGACTGCAAGTAAAGAGAAGGACAAAATTATGCTAGAAAGATGGAGACATTAAGAAAGAAGGATCTGAGAATCTGATAAGAAAGTCAGTATAATTTAAATCAACAACTTTCAATGTGACAACTTAATGCTATCAAAATTTGCAATGAAAAATTAAACCTTATAAATAGCTATGTACCAAATGTATAGGAACCAAAATTGTAAAGTTAAAAGTTAAAATAGATGCTAGAAAACCTAGGTAGAAACATACTCAATATAGAAAATATTTATATAGGACTTTTAGTATCAAATAGATGAAGAAGCCATATACATATATATATATATATATATATATATGGAATCTTTATCTACATACATATATACACACACACATAAACACATATATATACTGTATAAAAGACTTTAAGATCATAATATAGATCTTGTGTGTATTTTAACACTGTGGAATTTACTATTTTCCTTTTGATTTAATTTATGATTATTTGGTTTACAGAATATTCTATATTATTAAAAAAATTGTATTTTCTATGATCAGGCTAAATAATTACACAAACATACACACAGATAGATGAAACAGTTCTGATTAAGCCTCCGTTATAGGCAGACTCTGTATCTCTGGGACTTGTAAGTGGGACTTTCTCAGTGATCTTGCTCTGCCTTTGGTTCTAGGTCTTAATCTAACACATATTTATGCTATTTCCCATCTTTTAATTTCTTGTTCCCGTCTATGAGCTGGAATAAATTTTTACCAGTACCTTAAGGGAAGCTATGTTTCTCGATCTTCCTGCAGTGGTTTAGACTTCTGTTATATTGAGGAGATAGGGAAGAAGAGACAGGGAAGGCCCAGGTCTTTGTGTGTGACATAATCTTTAGATACATTGAAAGAGGTAAAGAAAAAAGTGGGGTAAAAGAAGAAAAATCTTTAGATAGAATAGAACTTGTCTGTTGTCAATATTTAATATTCTTCAATATTAAGTATTCTTTAAGAATAAGTTTTGTCCAGATTCGTTTCTTAAAGTGATGTTTGATATTCTTTCATTTTGTTGCATGTAGTGAGAGTTCATTATTTTTTTTTTTTGCTTCATAAAATTTATTTGCATGAATATATCACAACTTATTTAGGCATTCTACTGGAGATAAACTTTTTAATTTAAATTTTGGTATACTATGAACAGTAATGATATGAAGAATGTTGTACTGTTGTACACATATTTTAATTAACATATGAGTGCAGCCTGTAATTCCAGTCCTTTGGAAGGCCGAGACGGGCAGATTGCTTGAGCCCAGGGATTTGAGACCAGCTTGGGTAACATAGTGGGACCCCATTTCTACAAAAAAAAAGATAGTGTATTATTTATGTAGGATGTATATTTAGGAGTGGATTAGTGGGTCATAAGGAATACTTTATGTAGATTTCCCAAAATGTTTTCAAAGTGGTTGTATAAATTTACATTCCCCTGTGTATGACTGGAATTTCATTCATTCTGCATCTTTGTCAACACATAGTAATAAATCTCTTGGTAAATTCTGGTTGCTCTTCTGGGCAATTAGTGGTTCATCTTGTGATTTTAATTTGCCTTAATCTAATGATTAATAAGCACTTTTTCACATAGAATAGCAATATGCTATGCATCATGAGTGATGATTTTCATAAAATGAATAAATAATATACACAAGCACATTTTGAAAAGTATAAATTACAGGTACAGGCCACCTGTAATCCCAGCACTTTGGGAGGCCAAGGCAGGCAGATCACTTGAGGCCAAGAGTTTAAGACCAGCCTGGCCAACATGGTGAAACCCTGTCTCTACTAAAAATACGAAAAGGAATTAGCCAGGCATGGTGGTGCTCACCTGTAATCCCAGCTACCAGGGAGGCTGAGGCCTGATAATCACTTGAATCCAGAAGGCAGAGGTTCCAGTGAGCCGAGATTGTGCAACTACACTCCAGCCTCCAACAGAGCAGGACTCTATTTCAATAAAATAAAATAAAATAAAAGTATAAGATGTCCAAATACGTCCAATAGTATCATAGTAAATGTGCTTTCATTAAATTAGAAGGAACTTAATCAGATATAACCCATGCATCTTATTTGAGAAGACACACACACTAGAAGGGCTCCTTCAGCTACTTCTGTTACTCCATATATGGATAATTTCCTGATTTGTTTCTGGTCAGAAATAACTACAGTAAAAGACAGGCCTGACAAAGAGAAGGAGTGCTATATAAAAGGGAACTGAACAATATTAACAAAGTTCACAGTTCCCTTTCCATTAACTAGAAATTCTTCTGACTGAAAGACCATGGCACATAATGAAATAAAAGTGAGGAAGTGGTAAATAGATTGTAGTGAAAGTTCTCTTTAACAATCTAAGGAGAGAATCTCTCCACGTCATTTATCTCATTATCCCTATTCTTCCCTTTCCAGTAATAATTACAGACACCAAAAGCCCAATTTCAAGAATCTCTCATCTCCAAGTAATGTCTGCCAAAAGTGAGAGTCTGAGTTCTCATTCAAGAAAACACTTAGATCTTGGAGCTGTACATGGTAGATCTTGAGGATCACGTCCAGCACTCATGCTTCTCAAATCTCCAAGTAGGAGGATACGGCTATTAGCTTTGTCAGGATACAGAGTAATAGTCATTGCAAAAAGAAAAAAGATACATGCATACATATACATACATGAGTAATGGGATCTTATCTCACCAGAAAAGCATATAAAGTGTATTTTTTCCCAAGGTATTATATAACTGAGCAATATGAGGTCAAGAGGCCAATGACAATTCCGTTTAAATTGTTTAATAAAGTAGAGGATTACTAATACATGTGCAGAACAAACAAATCTCTAACCACAGACATTAATCATTTTCTGAAAATTCAAATAACAAAAATCAAATACAAGACTAATGTATTTGAGTTCAACTTTCATAACAAAATGCCCTATAAATTATCTGTCATTAACTCCCTTCAGCTATCAGAGATGGCTGAAAACATTTGTTAGTTCTAAATAATAATTTCCAGGAAAACATTTCTTACTTCAAAATAACAACATCATTTGCCAAGGATGTCAGAATTTGCCATTTATTCAAGATCTTCCCTAGAAAACAAAAGGAAGTCCACACATGTTATTTTTTGAAGTGAATATATATATAAGCATTTTAGAGGTATTATTTATAAATAATTTTCTTAAAATTCTAGTCTGTCTGACTCTCTGCATTCACACTGGGCTACCCTGAATTTTCTGATTTAACATTAGCTCTTCATACCGTAAGTTAAATTTTTTTTTGCTTCCTTGCTTAGTTTTTATTTTAGTTTTTTAAAAACAACTTTTATTTATTCAAATTGTATATCATATGAATAATATATGCCATTGTAAAAATAATATAAAGAACAGCACACCAGTACAAAAGACAACCCCAAAAATCTACTCTTAGCAATTGAAAATTAAATACACTGAATAAATGTACAATTTTATATGTAACATTGAATAATTTACCTGAACTCTGAACATTGCACCATTTATTCCTTTTTTCCCTTACTTTGTCATTCTGTTTGCCTATTATGTAAGTCACCGATTGTGAGCCTAGATCTATTTAAGTTTCATACTGATTCATTCTGCATCTTGCCAATATGATTACAAGGATGTATGCAATTATAAAAAGTCTGCAAGGTCAAAATGATGTAATAATTTCTGAAAATAAATTCAATAATTAAAGTAAAAAGATTATCCATATGATTTCACAAAAAAATACTAGATTATGAGCATATTGCTAATGGGCTGCCCCTTACATAGAAAGCAGTTGAGCTTTTTAATCAGTCTAGAAATCAGCCCTGCTCTGAGATCTGAGTTCACAGCCTAGGGCACTTGCAGCTATACTGCCTCACTTTTATAAGGAAAAATTTGCAGTTAACATTTATACAGCTACAAAAAAAGTCACTAGTATTATGTATTTAAGATGCTTCAACAAAATCTTATTTTATTTCACAATTTGAAAACTACAATATCATCACTTTGTTTTTCCCAGATTAATTCCTATTTGTGGCTCCTAAATTTTCAAATCAAATGAAAATTCTCAGTCAGAATTGAGTCTATTCTTTACTTCCAATAACCAGTAATTTTTAAAGACCCTGACTCTCTTATGTCTTGAGAATATTCAGGAATAAAAGGCTAGTATACAGTTTTTACCAGACTCCATTGCAATGCTCCCTGTGTGGAACAATGGGATTTTTTTCAAGGCTAGTAGTTTATGTTGTTTGTTTGCCAATGTGGATGCTGTGAGATTGGTTTATAGAGCTGCCCTTGGGACCACATTTTTCTCACACGTATAGGGTCTCTTTCATCTATTCTAGCTGTCAATTGTAACATATAGGAGTAACTCACTAGGTTTTTCACTCCAGCGAGACTCCTTCTCTCCTTCTCTATTCTGGCATCCACTATTCCTGCATTCACTAAAGTAATTGTCTCTGTTAACACTTAAAAAAACTTAGCACCTTCACATATGCATAGGATTTTTAGAACTAAAAAATTAACCTGGAATAGATTATTAGGATTCTTCTTTTTTTTTTTTTTTTTTTTCGCAACTTTTCTTTTAAACCATGCCAAATAAAATTACTGAATACCGGAAACATTTCTATATCAGAGGAAGGGAAAAATAGATTCATAAAAAATTGAGTTAACATTTTAATAATGTGTGAGCTCATTTCAGTAGCTGTTGTGAAAACTCTGAAAGTGCACTGCTGGAATCAGGGACAGACTCAACTGTACATTATGTCTCCAAAAGCCAGTGAAGGCAAAAACAGGAGGCTTAGTGGTCTTCACAGGACATCTCTTTCACTAAGTCCTGTCAAAGAACTTGAGACAATTTTGAAAAATAGTCTTTCCTCAGTTTCCTCATACTTGAGAAGTCATTGCCTATTTTCTTTACAATAGAGACTCCCAATTGAGCAGATTGACAGAGGGGAAACCTCTGAAGAAGTCTCATTTCTAAGGATCTTCTCAGAGTGAGTGGGGTGGAAGGAGATCTGGGAAGCCAATGTGCTCTGTTATAAACACGAATGAGTTGTCCAAAAATTCCCAAGGTGTCATTCTTAAGTATATCTGACCCAGAGATGACCACGATACAAATCTAGTGATAACAGTTAAAGAGAAAATAGAGGAGGAAGGCAGTTAGTTAGCTAGAATCTCAAGCTTTTCTCATATTTCTATGACCAAAATATTAACCTAAATATCATTTTATGGATTTACAAGAAACTAAATAATTTTTTTTTCATTTAAATGGCCAGTTTTCCTTCGGCCTTCTACATTCACCAATTCACAAAGTTCATTTGTTCATGGATAAAGTATAAGCAAGCTGCACGAATTCTAGAGAATTTTTTGAGGGGAAACAATAAAGCAGCCACAGTTATAGAAGTATGTTTTCGGAAACAAATAATGAAAGTTGGAGGGAATGTAGATTTCATCTGAGAGAAATAATTTCCATGCATGTGAATGTTCAACACCTTGACACCCTAAATCTCCTTTCTCACCTGAGCAAGTCCGTATCTGGCTTGTGGCACATTTCCTTTTTAAGATCCCCCCTCTTATGAGCCATTCTGGTCTTATAAACCAGAGCTACATAAACATATACATATACACATATGTATACACACACATATGTGTGTGTGTGTGTGTATATATATATATATATATATATGAAGTTACTAAAAATTCTTCTTGCCCTCTATTTTCAGTCTTTCTAAATTATGTTGTCTGTCCTCATGGAGAAATAGAGGCATCTTCTAAAACTAAACACTGATTATTTTTCTCCTTACATTCATATAATTCTGCAGTGGTATTGGGTTAGCCAGAATATAAACCCATTTATCCATCTATTATTGAATCTTACTGATACTTCCTTGCTATCTTGCTTGTTATCTTCCTTGCTATACTTCAGGCTTATTTGCCAATTGTCAGAATCCATAAAACCTTATTTCCTTTTTTCTCTGCACCAAGAAAAGCTATTATCCACCCTACTTAATAAATTCTTGATGAAGTGCATGTTAAATGAGCCACCAAGAAGAAAAAAATAATTGCCTATTGAAGAAAAAAATAGTTGCTTATTCCTGTCTTGCAACCCATCTTTTTGGAGAGGTAGGACAGCTGGTCCTTAAGAGATGGGTTTTGAAGTTAAATTGGCTGTATTGGAGTTCATTATGGACTCCTATTTCCAAGATTAGACATCTCTAATTTTTGTAATTACTTTTGTGCCGATAGGATATTTTTAAATTTTCCTGTAATGTTATTGGATTTCCTTTTTGTTTGTTTTTGTTTCCCCACCTGTCCCCCACCCCACTCTTTCTCTTTTTCCTCCTTCCTAGTATGACTGTAGAGCAGCGGTCCTTAACCTTTTTCGCACCAGGGACTGGTTTCCTGGGAAGCGGTAAGGGGGATGGTTTCGGGATGAAAGTGTTTCACCTCAGATCATCACGGGTTAGATTCTCATAAAGAGAACGTCGCCTAGATCCAATGCATGCGCAGTTCTCAATAGAGTTCCAGCTCCTGTGAGAATCTAATGTCACTGCTGATCTGACAGGAGGTGGAGCTCAGATGGTAATGCTTGCTCACCTACTGCTTACCTACTGCTGTGCTACTGGGTTCCTAACAGGCCAAGGGTTTGAGGACCCCTTGTTGAATAGGGTGTCCTTTCCCCACTTTATATTTTTGTTTGCTTTGTCAAAGGTCAGTTGATGTAGAGAATGCTGGGTTTGGCTGGTCTTTCAGCTTCTCTCATACAGCCCTAGGCATTTCTGTCTACAGGTTTTTTTATTGGGCTGTACGGTTCGACCTACAAGCCAGTAAATGGTGCTTATGTGTTAGAGCTGGTTTTGACCAACATGGCTGGGTTTATACTTGACCCTTGTTTACTAGGAGAAGCCCCAGGCAATGGGCTGATTCTTGGAGTACACAACGTTCCCGGCTCCCTCCTCAGCTCTGGGGGCAGCTGGGGCAAGATGGGCAGGGCCATACTGGGCAGGTTCACCTACAAGTCCCCCAGTGGCAGGCACAAGCACAAGTACCTAAGGAGAATCCAGTGGGTGGCCACCTAGTGCCCATGGAAAGTGGTTTTTCAGAAACAATTCTTGAGGCTAAATCTAATGGCAGAAGTAAGTCCAAAAATTAGAAGAAATTTGGAGGAGATAATGAAACTTTGAATTAAGAAAGAAGAAATTAAAAATGTGAAGGACAAAATATACCTGACAGACATTTAAAGTTTAATCACTTAATAACACTGTGTAGGGCCTGACAGGATGTAGAGGTTGAGGAATAAAACAGCGTCTAATTCAATTAGGAAAAGAGGAAGTCAAAGTGTCCCTGTTTGCAGACGACATGATTGTTTATCTAGAAAACCCCATCGTCTCAGCCCAAAATCTCCTTAAGCTGATAAGCAACTTCAGCAAAGTCTCAGGATACAAAATCAATGTACAAAAATCACAAGCATTCTTATACACCAACAACAGACAAACAGAGAGCCAAATCATGAGTGAACTCCCATTCACAATTGCTTCAAAGAGAATAAAATACCTAGGAATCCAACTTACAAGGGATGTGAAGGACCTCTTCAAGGAGAACTACAAACCACTGCTCAAGGAAATAAAAGAGGACACAAACAAATGGAAGAACATTCCATGCTCATGGGTAGGAAGAATCAATATCGTGAAAATGGCCATACTGCCCAAGGTAATTTACAGATTCAATGCCATCCCCATCAAGCTACCAATGACTTTCTTCACAGAATTGGAAAAAACTACTTTAAAGTTCATATGGAACCAAAAAAGAGCCCGCATCGCCAAGTCAATCCTAAGCCAAAAGAACAAAGCTGGAGGCATCACACTACCTGACTTCAAACTATACTACAAGGCTACAGTAACCAAAACAGCATGGTACTGGTACCAAAACAGAGATATAGATCAATGGAACAGAACAGAGCCCTCAGAAATAATGCCACATATCTACAACTATCTGATCTTTGACAAACCTGAGAAAAACAAGCAATGGGGAAAGGATTCCCTATTTAATAAATGGTGCTGGGAAAACTGGCTAGCCATATGTAGAAAGCTGAAACTGGATCCCTTCCTTACACCTTACACAAAAATCAATTCAAGATGGATTAAAGATTTAAACGTTAGACCTAAAACCATAAAAACCCTAGAAGAAAACCTAGGCATTACCATTCAGGACATAGGCGTGGGCAAGGACTTCATGTCTAAAACACCAAAAGCAATGGCAACAAAAGCCAAAATTGACAAATGGGATCTAATTAAACTAAAGAGCTTCTGCACAGCAAAAGAAACTACCATCAGAGTGAACAGGCAACCTACAACATGGGAGAAAATTTTCGCAACCTACTCATCTGACAAAGGGCTAATATCCAGAATCTACAATGAACTCAAACAAATTTACAAGAAAAAAACAAACAACCCCATCAAAAAGTGGGCGAAGGACATGAACAGACACTTCTCAAAAGAAGACATTTATGCAGCCAAAAAACACATGAAGAAATGCTCATCATCACTGGCCATCAGAGAAATGCAAATCAAAACCACTATGAGATATCATCTCACACCAGTTAGAATGGCAATCATTAAAAAGTCAGGAAACAACAGGTGCTGGAGAGGATGTGGAGAAATAGGAACAGTTTTACACTGTTGGTGGGACTGTAAACTAGTTCAACCATTGTGGAAGTCAGTGTGGCGATTCCTCAGGGATCTAGAACTAGAAATACCATTTGACCCAGCCATCCCATTACTGGGTATATACCCAAAGGACTATAAATCATGCTGCTATAAAGACACATGCACACGTATGTTTATTGCGGCACTATTCACAATAGCAAAGACTTGGAACCAACCCAAATGTCCAACAATGATAGACTGGATTAAGAAAATGTGGCACATATACACCATGGAATACTATGCAGCCATAAAAAATGATGAGTTCATGTCCTTTGTAGGGACATGGATGAAATTGGAAACCATCATTCTCAGTAAACTATCGCAAGAACAAAAAACCAAACACCGCATATTCTCACTCATAGGTGGGAACTGAACAATGAGATCACTTGGACACAGGAAGGGGAATATCACACTCTGGGGACTGTGGTGGGGTCGGGGGAGGGGGGAGGGATAGCATTGGGAGATATACCTAATGCTAGATGACACGTTAGTGGGTGCAGCGCACCAGCATGGCACATGTATACATATGTAACTAACCTGCACAATGTGCACATGTACCCTAAAACTTAGAGTATAATAAAAAAAAAAAAATTAAAAAAAAAAAAAACAGCGTCTAAACTAAATCTTAGTTTTCCAGTATGGATAAGGAGGTAAGTAGTCATACTGATTCCTGAAACCAGGAAGACAAGATGAGAATAACTTTTCAAGAACAAAACCTGATGGGTTCTTTTGGATGTGAGGAACTTGAAGTGGCTGTAATTTATATTAAGAGCCTGGGTAATATCTAGGTGGCTTTATGAATGTGCAACTCGGAAAAGAAAATAGAGCAAGAAATAAGGATTTGGAAGTCCTAAGAATAAATTGCCTCTTAAAATCTGGACATATATAAGAAAAAAAAAGGAATTCAAACAATATTTAGTAAAGTGAAAATAACCTGTATTTATTTTAATTTGTTGACTATAACATTCTATGTTATATTATTCTGTACTTTCTGGAGGTGACTAAAGAAAATGACTTTTGAAATAAGTTCATAAAATGTAAAGTCAGCTGAGGTGGAAAACTCACAGTAGTGTTGGCCTGAATTAATTGAAAAGTTTCTAATATGTCTTTCTTATAATCTCCAGGGTTTTCTCTTAGCTAACAGAATGTTTAGTATATATTAACTTTATGAGAGTTAAATCTCCCAAATATAAAGCGTTAGCTAACCATGTGTGGGTATTGATTATATTAGTGAGATTAGCTTAGTCTGCCAAAGAATGATATGCAGAGTAATGAAGAAATTATATATAGCTATCTTAATAGTGAAAATAAATCTATTAGTCTTGTATCAGTCAGGGTTCAACTGGAGAAGCAGAACCAGTAGGAGGGCGGGAGGGAGAACAAAGAAAATAATGACATATTACTACAGAGACTGACTACGCAAGTTGGAGATCAATAAGGCAGTCGTTTTGGGGAAACAAACAAAAAAAACAAACAAAAACTGGAGCAGGAAGAAATGTAACTGGCACCATTGGATCCAATTATCCCATTACTGAGTATATACTCAAAAGAAAATAAATTATTCTACCAAAATGACACATGCACTCCTATGTTCATGGCTGCACTATTCACAATAACAAAGACATAATCAACCTAGGTGCCCATCAATTACACACTGTATAAGTAAAATGTGGTACTTATACACCATGGAATACTACACAGCCATAAAAAAGAATGAAATCATGTCCTTTACAGAAATGTGGATGGAGCTGGAGGCTGTAATCCTAAGCCAATTAATGCAGCATCAGAAAACCAAATGCTGTATATTCTTACTTATATGCGGGAGCTAAGCACTGAACACATATAGGCATCAATATGGGAAAAACAGACTCTGGACTACGTGAGGGTCGAGGGAGAGGGATGGGTTAAAAAACTACCTATTGAGGACCATCTCTACAGCCTGCCCCGTCCGTCTCTCTCCGAGTCGCTCCTCCTGCTGCTCTCCTGCTCCTGGCAGGCCTTGTGCCCACCGGGTTACCTGCCCTCAAGCCTCCGCCCAGAGAAGCACAGCTGCAGGGGCGCGTCCTGTCACTCCGCCCCGCCAGCTACCCTCCCCTGAGCCCGGGTGCCCGGCTTAGGCCGCTCCGTGTGAGGAGACCTGGGACCCGGCACCCTCCGGGTCCTACCCAGTGCTTCTGCCCTGGCGTGCGACACCCTCCTTTGCCCTGTGCGGGGCCTGGAGGGGCCCCTTCAGATCGCAGCCGTCACCACAGCTGCTGCCGCCCTCGGAAGAGCATGACATAGGGGTGGCTTTCCCAGCTGGCTGCCACGCAGGAGCTCTAGATGCTTAGCCCTCTCTGTGGAGAGATCTAAAATCAAGGCATGACTTAACAACTTACCTTGTAAGAGAAAAGCTCAACTCAAAGGCAGATTGCTAGTCCGGACTTTATTACAGGCAGGACTGCGATGATGTTTATAGCACTGAAGTGAGTTCCAGGCTAAGTACAGAAAGTGGCTTCTCTGCTTTTCCTCCCCAGCAGAAGTCTATACACCTTGCAGACTTGAATCACTGAAGATGTAAGCCAGCTGTTACTCTTAATATTGGGAGACCCCTGTAGACAGCATGAAGACTGTCCGTTATCAGAGTCTTTCGTGAGCACGAAGGAGTCAAGATTAAAGAATGTGTTTGTTTACCCTGGACTGCATTACTATGGAAAATGAACCAAGGCCTGGGTTTGGGTATGGAAGTCTGTCCTGCCTGTTTCTGTAATCTGGTGCTCTGCATCCAGGTCTTGGCCCTTTATGGACACTACTGTATGTTACTCTGATGATTCTCTGCTTTTCTGTGAGTTCAGACGTGGCACCTTATTTCATTTTTGAGTAACTCTCTGCCGTCTAGAAACTTAGTGGGCCTGTAGAACTATATTGTTCCGCTAAACCTGTGACCACTCATATCTCATGGTTACATAATGGAAAAAAATAGGATAGAAACATGGAATATATTAAGAATCATCAGGGGACTTTGACAATTTTTTTCTCTTAAAGCCTCCCTTTTGGGTTACTACCAATGCATTTCCAATAGGTTGATGTTGTTGTAAGTGGCCCTGTAACAGTATCCATAGCAGTTCTTGGTGATTTTGGTTCATCCACAAAGCATGTTATTACAGCAGAAGAAAAAAGTGCTGGTTTCATTGGCTGCAGGGTACCAGAGAGTAACCCCAAAGTTGAGGTGTGTGCTAAAATCCAGGGGAAGTGGCTGAAACATTCCACAAAGAATTACTTAATCCTTCCATCAGGACAACTTTACATTTTGAATGTATCCTTACAGGACAAGGGATCATACAAATATGTGGCTTATAATCCTGTCATACATGAATTAAAAGTTGAACCCATTGGCCAAAAGCTCCTTATAAGTCACCTTTCTTCAGATGATTTTGACATTCTTCTTCCTGCTTGTTCACAGGTATTAGTTGTTTTTTCACGTATTCCTCTAACCTTGGAGTGTGTGGTTAGTGGGGTCCTGGATCCTCAAGTGTATTGGCTAAAGGACAGGGAATATTGCTCCAGGAAGCAACTGGAAGAAGGTTATATTCTCATGTTGCGACAGATAGCATTGACCCAGTAGACTCTGGAAACTATTCCCGCATGGTGGGAAACAAGACTGGAGATGTAAAGTATGTGACATACATGGTTAATGTGCTTGAATATGCTTCCATTTATAAAGGACTACAGGATCAGTCTCTGGGTGCCACAGCACATTTTACCTGTCATATTCATGGAAACCCAGCTGCCAACCATACTTGGTTTTATATTGCACAGCCTATTCATCCTTCCCCATGACATCTAACTGCAGGAAATTGACTGAAAGTCAGTGGGGTTATCATGGAAGATACTGGGCTGTATCAGTGTTTAACAGATAATGGGACTGGATTTATGCAGTCTACTGGAAGACTTGAAATTGGAAAAAGACAATGGATTCAAGCCAGTTATAATCATGGCACCAATAAGTGCAAAGGTGGTATGTGGAGTCTTTGTCACTGTGTCCTGCAATGCCACTGGGCTGCCAGTGCCAGTCTTTCCTTGGTTATGACAGCTATGGATTAATAGCCAGCCATCTGTCTTAAGTCCTTAGATCTAAGTCCCCAAAGTCACACTTATCAAGACCTGGAATCTTGGACCTGAAGCCTGTCTACTTCATCATGTCCCAAGTTGGCTCTAGCTGTCTCCATATTCAGGATGTGACTCAGAAACATGTGGGGAAACACATATAGGAAGCTGCAGATGGACACAGTACCATGCAGGGAGAAGAATCTCTCATGGTTGTTCCTTTTGAAACAAATACAAAAGTGGAAACAGTCACACTTTCTGCTGCTACTCAGAATGATGAAAGAAATAAAAGAGATGGTTCAGAAACTGGATTGAGCTCATGTCCAGTTAAGGTACATCCCAGTGCAGTGGAATCAGCATCAGAAAAAAATGTTAATGGCATTGCTGTTCCTGACGCCCCCATCATACTGATCTCTTGACAGACCCACACACCAGATACGTACAACCTGGTGTGGAGGGCAGGCAGGAATGGTGGGCTATCCATTAATGTGTATTTTATGAAATATCAAAAGATGAACAATGGGATTGGTTTGGTAGGAATTGGGCATACGGTTCGAGTCCCAGGTAGTGAAAATGAGCTCCATTTAGCTGAACTAGGGCCGTCTAGTCTTTACAAAGTCTTGATAGTAGCAAGAAGTGGAGCAGGTGAAGGATAAACTGCCATGCTTACCTTCTGAAACAGCAAAGAAAAAAGAGCATTGACAAAAAACACCCAGGCATCCTGTCCACCCATGGGCATCCATAAGTATCCTGTTGTTTCAGAAGCTGCAAATAATTTTGGAGTGGTACTTACAGATTCTTGAAGGCACAGCGAAGTTCCAGAGGCACCAAATGGCCCTACTATCTCCAATGCATCAGAGACATTGGTCTATGTCACTCAGATTCTTCTGGAAAATTGGGTTTCTCCAATCGCTGCTTTCAAAGTTGAATATGAAAGGATGAGGACCAGTGATTGGCTGGTGGCAGCTGAAGATATCCTTGCTTCCAAAATTTCCATTGAAGTTCATAGCTTAGAACTGGGTTCAACATACAAATTGAAAGTCATTGCTATCAGTCATTAGGAAGGGAGTTTTAAGAGTGCAGAATCTTGTCCTTATCAGGTGGCTGACTTCCCCAGTCATTTTTTCAGCCATCCAATAATGGAACTCACATTGCCTACACAGAGGCTGTCAGTGTTGCCCAGATAGTGCTAAAGTGGACATACATTCCATGAAGTAGCAATAACACTTCCATTCTTTTATATCTATTACTGACCATCAGATAGTGACAATGACAGTGATTACAAGAGGGATGTAGTAGAAGGTTCAAAGGAGCGGCACATGATTGGCCATCTGCTGCCAGAAACTTCCTATGGCATTAAAATGCAGTGCTTCAGTGAAGGAGAAGAAAGTGAGTTTATCAATGTGGTGATCTGCGAGAGTAAAGTAAAACGTGTTCCTGGAGCTTCTGAGTATCCTAAAGGCTTGAGTATCCCTCTGAATTCTTCAGGAAGTGAAGGAAATGTGAGGCCAGCAACCAGCCCTGCCAGAAGCAGTGACATGTTATATCTGATCCTTGGCTGTATGCTGGGTGTCATGGTCCTTATTTTTGTGGCTTTTTATTGCAATGTGCCTGTGGAAGAATCACCCGCAGAATATCATAGAGAAATATGACCCACTGGGTTATCTCTACCAGGGATCAGATATTAATGGGCAGATGGTGGAATACACCACTCTCTCAGGAGCAAATGAGATAAATGGAAATGTTCATGGAGGCTTCCTGAGCCATGGCAGTCTCAGCAGTGTCTCTTCCCACCTTCACCATAAGGTCTCCAATGGAGTCAATGCAACTGTGAATGGGAGCTTAAATGGAGGACTTTACTCTGGGCACACTAACTCTCTAACCAGGACATGTGAATTTTGAACAGCCTCATCATCTACTGAACGGTGGTGGAATGTACATAGCGGTGCCTCAGATTGACCCTCTGGAATGTGTTAACTGTCAAAATTGTTGAAACAACAATAGCTGTTTCATCAAAACCAACGGCACTTTCAGCAGTAGCCCTTTTCCTGTGGTCTCTAGGGTGGCACTTTGTCCTCAGTATGGTGTGGGAATCAGGCCCTCAGTCAAATGAAGATGCCCATATGCCTGGCTTCTGCATCCCCGATTGTGGCCAGTTGCCTCACGAGAAAATCAAGAACAATGTGGAACCAATCTCTACTCAGCATACTTGCTGTCAGGATAATAGAAACAATGTCAGCTCTAATACACAGAAGATCCAGAAGAGTTCAGCAGAGGAGACAGCTGTGTCTCTTCAGAAATGGACAGCAACATTTTACATTGGAATCCTCTTATTTTTGCCACCTATCTCAGAGGACTGTGCTGAAAAGACAACATGGCCTCCGCCTGGTGTTCCTTTAGACAGCCCCTCAGAGGTCCTCCAGCAGCCCCAGGAAACTGGAGGATGTGCAAAAAACCAGTCACGTTCTGACTTCAAGTCTGTAACCAACTGCACAAAACAGGCCTGTGAATGAACTATGTGAAGGACTTTAATTCCAATTAGAGAAAATCATTATTTATTTCTTTGTAGTATAATGTCATATGAATGCATCTTGAAATGTGTGCCCTTTTATATTATTTATGCCTTAAAAGTTTTCTTACCCATTCCTTTCTTCCTCTCAGAAAGAAACAACCTTGTTTTGCATAGCTTTCAATCACCTGGAGGGCAGAGGGATCATTCCATGTTTTCTAACAACCTTAGTGGCAGTAAGAACTCCTCATGCAAATGATTCCATCTCTTGGCTGCTTCAGCTCAGAGGAAATGCAGGGGCCAACTGAAGGTTGCCACCAGTCAGGTTTTCAGATGGAAAATTGTCTTTTAATAGCATATTATCAGACTTTCTGAGAACACTTTGAAGTCAACCACGGTTTTGACCCAGTGTTTATAATAGCAGACCTGGCTGATGAATTTTATAAGAGTGCCTTCCACCAAAGTGGTAATGTGACTGGATGACTTTCTCTCTATCTGCAGGTGGGCACAATTGATGTTCAGTCTTCTAGTCACTAGTCATAAGCAGTGTCATGGACATGGACATGGTGGAGTGTAAGATGTAGTTGAATGATTGCAGTATGCGGAAAAGGAACCAAGGCCAGAGAGACAAATAATGCCTTAATGTCCCACTGCTTTAAAATTACATTAATTTATAAAATGGCCAGTATGGGGCTCTTTTTTACTGTTTCTAAGAGTAGCAACAAAATAAGATTTTAAGTGGTGGCTTGAAAAGAAAGATACAGATTTTCAGAAGAAAGAAAGGGAAGGGCTGTGGGAAGTTTGTCTTGGAGGGAGCTCTTCGGTCTGTTCCATGAGCCTAGGAGCATGCTCCTGGTGTCACACTGCCAGAAACCAGTCATCCTTTCACTTCCCATGGGGGCAACAGCCTGAAGGTGTGAGTGTCAGAATATACCTACTTTGGAAGAAAAGCGTTTTTTTTTTCTTCTGAAGTTTCCTGCCATTTTTTTCAGAATGTCATCCTTGTAAATAGGCACCTAAAGCATTGGTCGGCAGAGCTCCTGACCACTGCTGCCTCTGCATGACAAGGACATTTGCAGCTGCCTTTGGAAGGCTCTTCTCCACATTAATAAATAACAATAATATGTTTTTTAAAAACTACCTATTGGGTACTATGCTGACTACCAAGGTGACAGGATCTGTATTCAAACATCAGCATCATGCAATACTCCCATGTAACAAATATGCACATGTACCCCCTGCATCTAAAATAAAAGTTGAAATTAAAAAATATATATTGTATAAAATTATCCGCAAGTCACTCATGCAGAAAGCACCTTGGTTTATACTTCACTAGAATATATATATATATATATATATATATATATATATATACACACATATATATATATTTATATATATATATATATATACACATATATATATATTTACTTCATGGGTAAAATAATAGTGCTTGGAAAATTAGCTTACTAATTAAAAAATATACACAAAGGACTACTTTGAAATATATATATACACACACACATACATATACACATATATACACACACATATATTATATATATACACACACACATATATACATATATATATATACACACACACACACATACATGTGTGTATATATATATATAACCTTCATGTGAGAGTAGCTATGCTTTTGGCTTCTGAGGTGAACATATTCATGATGATAAATATTTACCATAAATTCAGTTAAACATTAAACTCAGCAATATCCATATCTATTTATCTCTATTTCTACCTAAATCTGTATTTCAAAAGTTGTGTCTAAACCTCCTAGTTAGATTTTTATCCTTTGTCATTCCATGTGTGTGGCTTGGAGACAGCTTTCACTGGTCAGGAAGTTTACAGTTACATCCCGCATTCAGTGGACTAACAGCTCAGAGGTCCTCTCTCTGGTTACTGCTAAGACAGTACATTGTCAGGCTTCCAGATCACCGGAGATGAATGTGATTTTGTTTTTAAGTCTGGCTTCTAGGAGCCACTCCCTGGAATAGAATAATTTATTGTTCACCCAGTGTTCACTCAGAATTTGTGCTTTAGCTCTATAGCCAGGAGGGCTAAAGGCTCTTTGCTGATGAATCAGTGGTTAGCTTGGGGAGTGCTTACAAATTTGTCCACATTCCACCTTGATTGCTCTTGAGCAGGTGTAGTCTAGCACAGATACATAGCCTTCCAGATCTCCAGAAATTAGTGATCCTAAAACACCTTTTCTTGGCTTTCTCCTTGCCTGGTTTTCTTTGGTAAACTTCGGGCTGTCTGCCAGAAGTTTATTTGTTGCTACAAAGCATGCTAAAGATTCCAAGCTCCTCTTTAATGTTCCTAACCAAGATCTCCATTGTTTTTGACAATGCCCTTGGGAATGTACCTTTTCATGACTGATTCAAAATCAATCATTACTGTGAGGCATTGAGCAAATCTCTCAGTTTTTCTGGCCTGTCAGTCCTCCTAGATTAATCTCTACATCACTGCAAAGGAGTTGACAGTGGCTTCTCTAGCACTCACACATGCCCTACAAGTCTGCCCTGGGGTAGGTAGGGGGATGGTGTCCCCCGGTGTTTTGTCTTATCCCTTGAGGGACGGAAGATACAGCCAGCGGGAAACTTGGGCATAGCAACCCTAGACCTCCTGTTCCAGGGTGGAGATTCTACCCTATCAGTGGAGGTTGTATGTGCATTTTCTAATCCAGTCCTCACAATTATAAGAGAAACATATTTCTCTCATAAACTTATAAGAACTTCCAATTAAACTGAAGCTTAAATTATTGGCCATATTTAGGCCAAGCATGGTGGCTTATGCCTATAATTCCAGAACTTTGAGAGGCTGAGGTGGGAGGACCACTTTTTCTTATAATTGTGAGGGCAGAATGAGATAATGAACTTAAAGTTTGATTATCCACTGCCTGTACCTAGTATTCCTTCTATTAATGCCAGTGATTTTTTATAAATGAATTTTTATATTTTCATGAATTATTCTTAAACTTTAAGAACTAGTCTTATGAAGGTGCAATCATAAAGTAATTCATATTCAAGAACACATTTTAAGACACAGATTATTTTTATAATGAAAGAGAGTGAAACACAAATAATTTAAACTTCAGTTTAATTGGCTGAATTTAGGCCTAGCATGGTGGCTTGTGCCTATAGTCCCAGCAATTTTAGAGGTTAAGGTAGGAGGATCTCTTGAGCCCAGGAGTTTGAGACAAGCCTGGGCAACAGAGTGAGACCCTGTTTCTCAAAAAAAAAAAAAAAAAAAAATTACTCAGGC
Source organism: Homo sapiens (assembly GCF_000001405.40). NCBI lineage: Eukaryota > Metazoa > Chordata > Mammalia > Primates > Hominidae > Homo > Homo sapiens. The sequence continues at coordinate 49,094,801 of NC_000011.10, read as the reverse complement.
ATGATGGTGCAGCCTGTAGCCAGCTATATGGGAGACTGAGGTTGGAGGATTGCTTGATCTGGGTTGGTTGAGGCTGCAGTGAGCCGTGATCTCACCATTGCACTCCAACCTGGGAGACAGAGTGAGAGACTATCTCAAAAAAACTAAACAAAACAATAACAAAAAACTGGCCGTATTCATCCACTCTTCCTTATTGCTCTAATAGTTGTATTCTAATACACAATGAGATAATATACAAGATGAGGATGGTTAAAAGAGTATAATACAATTAAAATATAAATGATTATAGAATTGTATGTTTGCATTACTCCTACCATTGAAATAACCCATTATGCAACCCATCTGTCATTAAACTTTTGAATTAGGCCTACTGCTTATAGATGGAGTCAGTCTTTTTTAGACTTTGCTGTCAGCAATCTTCATTAAAGGAGGCATTATTGGATTGCTTTAAATAAATTAAAAAACTACATATCAAAAACTTTGGATATGTTTGTTGTGTGCCATATTGCCAGTAATTAAATTAAATACCAGAAAATACACCATTATATATGATATTTGATATACAGTTGGACCTCCATATGATAGGGTTCTGCATCCATGTATTCAACTCACCATGGATTAAAAATATTCAGGAAAAAAATATCAGATGGTTTCATTTGCACTCAACATGTGCAGATTTTTTTTGCTTGTCATTATTCCCTAAATAATTCAGTGTAACAACTACTTACATAGCATTTACATTGCATTAAGTATTTTAAGTAATCTAGAGATAATTAAAGTATACTGGAGTATGTGCTTAGGCTACATGCAAATACCTCACCATCTTATGTAAGGACATCTGAGGATTATTAGCATCCAAGGATTTTGATACCTGTGGGGAGTCCTGGAATCAATTCCCAGTCGATACTTAAGGAAAGGCTTCATACAAAATTAACACGATCAAAATATAGGTATTTCTGATAATAAGGATATTTTAATGCACATGTATTTTAAAACTTTCTAAGAACTAAATAAATTTGGAATTTTATTAAAATGCAATGAGGCTTCTGAGTATTCTGTATTTTCTGAAGCAAAAAGTGAGTTTTATTTTCTATTCTGATAATGACATGTTCCCAGGTAACTGTGTCTGTAGGATGCCATTGGTGAAATTACTAAAATCTTATAGATTTTGAGTCTTTTTATTTGTATCATTGTCATTCCGTTAAGATCTGTGTTCATCAATAGTTTGTGACTGAGCTAAAGAAAATTTGCTGAGCCTATCAATTTGATAAGCAGTCCAATTTACAACTTTATTAAATAATATTTCTCAGTATCCCTATTGATTTTGGTTATATTCAGTAGCCAAAATCAACAGAAATAGAGGGGTAAATTTGGTAGCCTTTTAAACAGTTGTATCACATGTTTTTATCAATTATTTTGTGCATTTATTCTTTTATTCAAACAATTATTGAATGTTATATATTAAGCATTGTGTAATTTCTTGGAATATACCTGTGTGTAGTACAAACACCATCCTTCTCTTGTAATTTGAAAACCAGAAAAGAAGCCCAATATTACATAGTGAGTTTTACAAAGAAAGGTATAAGATTTTCTGAGTCTATACAACAAATAACCTAATCTAGTCCAGGAGCTAAAGAAATAATTCCCTGAAGAAATGTTGAAACTTACACTTGATGAATTGGGACTTAGCAGGTGTCTAACAGAGAAAGGAAAATTCCAGGTCAGGGGGAAGAAACCTGCACTCTTGCATTAGCCCATCAGTTTGGATAAACATACTCAGGTATTTATTTACCTGGACTGGCTTAGAGATCAAGGGAAAAGAAAAGATATAGCATAAAAGGAAAGACATGCACAGTATTCTAAGAGAGTATTTTTATTTAAAGAAAATCAAAACAAATGTTACCTCTACACTTTTAAAAATGGTACAGAAAATGTTTCATAGAAATAGATAAAGAAAATCAAGTAGTCAGTATGTTAGCATTCTCAGAAGCTGGTGTTTCTGACACCTTTAGTCAGGTTACTCACCTATCTCTGATTCCGTGAGTCCAAAGCAAAAGAAAGGTGTAAGAGTGTAAGGGAAAGAACAGGCTACAAATGAGAAAATTGTTGGCCATATAAACAAAGCTTATCATGCCACATTCATAATGTAGAAACACCGCCATCTGGCCTAGAGGCCTTTCTGTATACTGAGGTAATAGTGGGGAAGAGGTCTTGAGATGACACCAGTAGCACTCTTTGACACAAAAAAGTAGAAAAATTTTCTTGGTGTTAACCAGTATGTCATTTCTCATGTCCAAGAAATCTTGCAAAATCCAACAGCCCAGTTCCAACACTCTCCAACATCCTCCTCCCAGTAATATCTTCCAAAAGTGAATGGTAGGGCTCGCCATCAAGAAAACACTTAGATTTTCTTGAACTCGGGGCAGGTTGAGATCATCAGAATCAAAGAGCAGTTGTCTCAGATCTTCAAACAAGGGGAATGTGCCAACTGGTTATTTTATTATCTCAGGAAATATGCACTGCAGGAATAAGAAAACAGTCACATGAAAATATAGTGTTATAAACTTCTAATGGACGTGGGCTTTGCATAGTGTCTATGTATTTCAGGTTATCACTGGAAATATGGGTCAGGACAGCGGGCACACTAGAGAAGTTTACTGATGTTCAAGGGTTACTCCATATTCATAACAAGCAAATCCTGAACCAGAAAAATGGGGAAAAATTACAAATTTTCTTGGAATATATAGAGAACAGAAATTATTGCTAAGCTCAGCTACGTTCCCTAGAACATTTAAATTTGTGGAGTTACTAATAATTCAAAGTCAGTGACAAAAGTAGCTTCCCCTTATTCTCAGAAAATTAGTAACAATAATTAATAATAGTAATAATTCTTATTTTAAATAACCACTTTGTCTCAGATTTATGTATTTTTCACTAAAGCATGTATAGGTGTAATAAAGTAAAAGAAAATACACATATGCTTTTTAAAGTTTTCTTTGTGAGAATTCTCTGCCAGAGTATCTCTTGAGAAAGGGATAAATCTAGTAAAATAAGTTGCCAGCTTACTTTGTGGCTGTTGTTCATAAGTATTCCTCTAATATTCTTAATATAATTAATGATTATACAAAGTATTTTTGTGTAATCTTATACACCACTGTAATGCTCAGTGTCAATAACCACAAGCTAGGGCTTGACAAGCTTAGCTGAGGCAGGCATCCTGCTTCCTAAGACCCAGCTTCCCTAAGTACACCCCATAGCCTTTACATTTGAAGTTGGAATCCACCATCTGCTACATACAAAAGCCACAAATCCTTGAGGATCTGCTTTTTTGCTTATTTACAGCCTGCTTCCAGCTTACACTGTCAGAAACACTTACATTTCCCCTATAAGTCCTGGCATAATTTGCGGCCATTATGCCAATTTGTTTATACACTTTGAAAATTAAAATTGATAATGGTAATTTTCTCTATGTGATTTCTCTATAGTTGCTTGAAAATAATAGCCCTGCCTAACAAACAAAACCTTTCTACCGTTTAAGAAGGGGAAGACTAAATATACCATGAAGGAGGGTACATTATCATAATAAATTATGTTCCCACTTCAGTATTAGACTGATTACTGTCACAGTTATCAAACCTTGAATATAGGGACAAACTTACCTTTTAACACATTTCCAAAATTATGTAAAGAAGAAGAGAGAAAGTCTTAACATTCATCACAAAATTCATAGTGAAGACTTAATTTATTAGATTCCTAAGGATCGGTGAGCCCAAAGTTTATAGCAATTGGTATCCAGGAAATGGCCATTGAGGAAATAATATTGCGTGAATTCCCAAATTTCTAAATATCTAAACATATTTAAATACAAATTCAGAAAGCTTCAAACAAACTTCTTTACTGCAGTTTTTCAGCAATTGAATGAATTTTAGAAGGATTTTTTTTTTCTTGAGTGGTTTCTACTGTTTTTGTTTGTTTTTTGCTCCTGGATCAAGAAAAACTGACTTTGTCTCTTTTATTACTAGACAAGCAACTCACTTTTATAGCTTCATGAAAGCATCATTCCAAACACAACACAGAAGGCAAAGAGAATGAGATCATTTTTTCCCAGTGGACTCTCTTTTTCTCAGTCCTGATCTGGAGCAGCTCCAGGTCTGGTTTATGGTACATTTTCTTCAGTTTCTTATACATTCCTCCTACATCTTTCCCCCTTCATTTCATTCTGTCTTTACTGTCTTTACTTCTCTTTGCTTTCCTATTCCAGTCTCTCCAAGTGACATTCCTCTTCCTCATAAAGCAAATGATAAACTCTCCAATACTCAGCATGGATCATCTTCCTCCATAGATTCGAATAACCCTGAAGTAATAATGAAATCATTGGAACACATAGTCTACTTTTATTCTTATGTTTTATCTATTGTTTTATCTTAAGATATTTAGCAATTTGTTGCAATGAATGAACCAAAAATTATGGACTGGTTTCTCTTTTCTTTCTTCTTTTTCTTCCCTTCTTTTCTATGTGTGTATGTATATATGTATTTGCACCAGAAGTCAAAACCTGTCCTCTAATTATTTTCCCTCAAATATCTACATTTTATTTAAAACTAGTAATTTATGATTTGATAATTATCTTATAATGCACACAAGCCTCATTATTAAATCTGTTTAGTTTATTTATTCTTAAATATTTTACCTGTATGCTGATTCTTTATTCTCACAAACAATAGCAAATATTACTTCATAAAATGAGATAAGACATTTCTAAAATTTTTACTGTTACCAGTTCAAAAACTACATGCTAACAAGAGCCTGACCCCATTAACAAGAGCCTGACCCCATTAGTGCAACTTCCATCTTCTTTTCCAAGGCTTTGCACTGCACGTATAAGCTGACATCCATGCTGTTCTCACAGACATTATTCAACAATCACCTTCCAATATTAATTTCCTGTCTCTCATTTTCTTTTTCTTGCTTTATCTTTGTTATTTTCTCTCAGTTTTAAAACCTACCTTATTTACTCCCATTGTTTTGAAATAAAACTAAGTAGCTACATTGACCCAATATCTTCACTTGATTTTTCTGCTATCTCTTTTGTCCATAACAAAGCATATTTATTCACCACGAGTATGTTCTCTGTACTCATTTGTGAAACTTTCCATCTCTTTTCAAGTCAATGAAATCTTTCATTCCCAACAGTTTACAGAAACCATGTTCTTCATCTCACCACCAACATCCTTTCAACTACATTCTTTATCTGACCACGAACTTCCTTTGCTAAACACACATATTTTTATTCCTATTATTTCTAGTCCTTTCTTCCATAAAACTCATATAAATAAAGTTGGTTTCAGAAAATTATTTTAAAAAATAAAATAAAACTTTCTCTCCTATTTTTCTTCTATCGACTCATATTTAACAGTTTTTCTTTCCTAGCCTGGCCCATTAATGCAGATATTACACAAGGTGTTTCATTTTAACCCGACCCCTCCACTGCCTCCTTGGCACTTTCCTAATTACCCGAAATCTCCAGCTTTGGGGACAACTGGATTCCCTTTCATTACCCTGGATGGAGGCTGGTTTGGGTGGCCTCACAAAGCCCCAGCTGCCTTTACATATATTGGTAGTGATTCAATTGTCTTTCTGGAAAATACTAATTTCAGTTCACTAATTTTAACCCATCCACTTTCTCTTGCAGATACAAAGAGAATGTGCAGGGAGAAAGCAGAGTTTTCTTTAATCCTGGAGCTGTGGATGATGGACAGAGAAACTGGCTGCTTTCTCTCTGCAAACTCTCTGAAAAAGCCCCAGTCCCTCCTCCCTGCAGTCCCTGCAGCCCCTCTCTTTACCCTCCCAAAACCTTTAGTGCTTGTGATTTATCCAGCTCATGTAGGTACTATTCACAGTAACCAAAATCTCCCACCATTATTAACACAAAAGGAAAAGAGGATAAATCCATTCCCCATCTCTACCCCTCTCAGAGCAAGACAGCCACCCCAAACATTCCTTAATCTCCAGAATTTTCCCACTAGTGATAATGAATAGTTAGTTAAGATCAACCCTTTGGGTGCATATTCCTAACCTCATTTCCCAAGTGTAGCTGACTGATTTGAAACATTTTCTAAAGTCAAAAACTTGCACTTGAATTTGCAGATAATTTGCTGGAGATACCTCGTGGTTCCCAGTACCATATCTGAGAGTAAATCACGCAGTAAAGTAATTAGCCATTGTGAAAGATGGGGGTGGTAGCTGCTTGTTATTAGGGATTCTATAAATTTGAGATCTCTCTCTCATATATGCATGTATAATGTACTCTATATATATAATAATGGAAGTAAACTACATATTAAGCAACATATAATGCATATATTCATGTACATGTATAATATACAGATATATTATACATAACTAAATACATAGATATATCGATATGTAGATAGATACCTACCTCTGCCTCTTCGTATTTCTCATTTTTTTTCTCACTGTGTCATCACTCTGTTGCTCAGGCTGAAGTTCAGTGCCGCTATCTCGATCACTGCAAATTCTGCCTCCCACGTTCAAGCTATTCTCATGCCTCCACCTCCTGACTAGCTGAGAGTACAGGCATGTGTCAACACACCCTGCTAATTTTTGTATTTTTAGTAGATAGGGGGTTTCACCTTGTTGGCCAGGCTGGTCTCCAACTTCTTGCCTCAAGTGATCTGTCTGCCTAGGCCACCCAAAGTGCTGGGATTATAGGTGTGAGCCACCACGCTGGGCTTATAATACATTCTTGGGCGAGGTATTATGGGACAAGGACAGGCAGAAAGGCTTTTAGGTGGGGGTTCAGGAGGGATATTGCAGGGACCAAAAGGGGTGCTTGGAGGAGGAGAGGATTAGGACATACTCCAGAAATTGACCTTCAGGAATAACTTGAGGTGGCCAGGCACAGTGATGGAGCTGGATCCAGTGAGGTGGGGCTGAGGTTCTGCTGGGAAGGAAACAGAGAGGACTGCCCAGAAGCACTTCTCTCAAGGTTGCAGCTGCAGAATATAAGCTCACTGTAGCCCTGGCACTAAGGTTCTTTTAAAAACGCTAGACGTTACATCATGAACAGTCATATCAAGGTATACTATTTTGGGAAAGGCACTTTCTTCCCTCTGCACTCTCCTTAAATAAGAAACAAACAACAACAAAAGCATGCCGTATTGATGCCATTTGTATGGAATTAAACTTGAACTTTTATAAGGTAAAGAACGGTCAAGATAGCTTTCCTAGCATCCTGAATCTAGAGCTCTCCTGTTGATTTCATAAGATATTCAATAACAAGACCTTTCACTTTTTGCTCTGTCCTGGTTCTGCTTCTGTCCGCACTTACTTTTTAGAGGCCTTCTCTTTTTTTGGCCCTATTGTTTAATATGTAGCCTTGTTTAATATGTAGTTTACTTCCAGTAAATTCTTCTCAATATGGAACTTGATCCTGGAAGAGAATTTGGTCTGGTTATTTTAAGAGTTGTAGAAGCCATATGGTCTCAGCCTCTTTTTTATCTCATCCTGGACTCTTGCTTATTGATGTGGGCAAACTCCCACCCTACTTAGTTTCTGTAGCTGTTTTTTAATTGCCTTGCACACTTTCTAATGAATCCTTGTTGCTGACTTGAGGGTTCTCAAATCCATAATATATTGTGTTCACCCTCTCTGCTTCATCTTGAAAGGATTCTGATTCCTCATGGATATTGCAGGTCTTCCTGATTTGTCTGTAACTATTTACATTGGGGATTTTTTGTAGGGCACATTGTTACCCAGTGTTGTTGTAAATATTGTTCATGAATTTTAATTTTGTTAACCTAGTTTTTCTCTGTTTTTCTTTAGAGGTTTGGAAACAGTCTGAAAGCACACTGTACCTCTCTGTATTTTCAGAATTTTAAGGTGAAATTTTTAAAAATGTGTAAACAAGGAATGCCTCTAAAATGGATCTCAGTGTGTTTAGCAGTTTCCATGAGCTGTGTGTAACAGAAGACTGGAACAAAGAATTGTAGAAGTAGATTCTCCACAGGCATCATGGCCTTCTTCACTTTGAATGTTTGGGTATGCTGTTTCCTCTGTCTGGACATCACTTCCACTTCCAATACTTCCTTTTTGAATTAATACTTGTTTTATCAAGGACAAATTTTGATTTAATTTCCTTTCAGAAACATTTTTACATTTTAAAAATTGTACTGCACTTTCTATCAATTGCAATTGCATTCAATGCTCTCTCATTATGTACAAATATATACTGTATATATATATATATATATATATATATATGTATACACACAAATACACACACACATACATACACACATATACAGACACAGTCCACAACACTATTTTAAAACATTTCTGGTATACTTGGGTCAAATTTGGGACCAAATTCTAGCAAGGTAGTAGGTCTTTATGTGCATTGCAAATAAATATCATTAATTGCATTTTAATTTATTTAATGTAATATATATTGTTAAGTAATATGCATTACTTAAAGGTTTTCATTGGAATTAAGTAAAGGAGAAATATGGATGATGAAAGAAATAAAGAAGAAAAAAAGGTGACAGCCTAACATTTTCTATAAATCTACTGTGAGTTAGGTACTTTATAAGCATTAAGTCTAACATTTACCTATATCTAATTTCATTGTAATTTTTTTGTTTTGTTTTGTTTTGTGAGATGGAGTCTTGCTCTGTCACTTAGGCTGGAGTGCACTGGTGTAATCAGGGCTCACTGCAACCTCTGCCTCCCAGGTTCAAACAATTACCCTGCCTCAGTCTCTTGAGTAGCTGGGATTACAGGCATGTGCCACTACATCTGGATAATTTTTGTATTTTTAGTAGAGATGGGGTTTCTCCATGTTGGCCAGGCTGGTCTTGAACTCCTGACCTCAAGTGATCTGGCCAACTCAGCCTCCCAAAATGCTGGGATTATAGGCATGAGGCACCACACCTGGCCTAATCTAACCATAATTTTATTTCCAGTTCATGAATGTGTAGATGAGGTAACAGAGAAGCAAAGAGATCAGTATTTTAACCAATGATATTTTACTAAAATAGCAAACTCATAAGTTTAGTTTATATTTGTCAGTATTTGTGGTTTTTAAGCCAAATAATACAATCTTTAACTCTGAGTGTCATGAAGTCAAGAATTGTACTTTTAATCTCTGTATCCCACACAAGGAGGGCAAGTCTTAAAAAGAGTAGGTGCTGAATAAACTTAAAAACACTTCATTTAAAATCACTACTAAAGCCCCAACTGAATTTGTACATCTCACCATCTAGCCTGGGCTATGGGCCTTACTACTAGTCAGTGGCAAATGTGACTTACAGTATCTTCTGAATTGGAAATAAAAAGAATCAGATCTTTAAAGTTAATTTTGCAAACTTGATGTTAAGAGAAACAGAGGACATAATATGCAAACACATTTTCTAAATAAATTCAACCCATTGGCTGGGCGCGGTGGCTCACGCCTGTAATCCCAGCACTTTGGGAGGCCGAGACGGGTGGATCACAAGGTCAGGAGATCGAGACCATCCTCGCTAACATGGTGAAACCCCGTCTCTACTAAAAATACAAAAAAAAATTAGCCGGGCGTGGTGGCGGGCGCCTGTAGTCCCAGCTACTCGGGAGGCTGAGGCAGGAGAATGGCGTGAACCCGGGAGGTGGAGCTTGCAGTGAGTGGAGATCTCTCCACTGCACTCTAGCCTGGGCAACAGAGCGAGACTCTGTCTCAAAAAAAAAAAAAAAATTCAACCCATCAGCCATCAAGAATTCATATAAAAATACCTAAATCTCCAGAATCTGTAAGAAAATGGAAGTATGATGGTAAATTGTATGTGTCAGCTTGAACTGGTCTCTGTAAAGTAGGCTTCCCTCCCCAATATAGGACGTGCATTATCCAACCGATTTAAGGCCTGCATAGAACAAAGGGCAGATGATAGAGGAGTTTGACCCTTCTTTTCCTGTCTCACTGTTTAAGTAGTATATCTCATCTTATCTTCCCCTACGCTTGAATTAGGGTTTACACCACTGGCTGCCCTGCTTCCCAGGCCTTCAGACTCAGATTGAATTACACCTCTGGCTTTCTTAAGTGTCCAGCTTGCAGATTGCAGATCATGGTATTTTTTGCCTCCACAATTTTGTGAGCCAATTCTTCATAATAAAATTAGTCTCTTTGTGTCTCTCCTCTCCGTATTATTCTATCACTCTCTCTGTCACTTTGTTTCTCTATGTTGGTGGTTCTGTTTCTCTGCAGGATGATGACTAACACAGTAAGAAAAAATTACATAAATATATGATAAAATAAATTTGTTAAAAATCGATATGCATTAAAAATTAAAAGCAAATAATAAATGTAAATAGCAATTTTCTTATTTTTAATAATTTATTTCAAATGTACACATCAGCATAATTTTCATGATTTTAAATTCTGTAAGCATTAGGTTAAAAGTCAGAAGCAAGCCAAGAACAGATTATTCTTATTATTTAACATTATTCTGGATATTTTAATCCAACACATTTAGAAATTAGAGGTATAAAAATGGTAAACATTGTCATTATTCTCTGAAACTTATTATTTATTTAGAAAAAACTTATAAGTAAAATTTTCCTAAGATATCTAGGGACAAAATAAACACTATTCAATGGTTTTTATACAAAAATAATACAACTAGTTCTGTGATGCTAATATTCATGAGAACAAAATATGAAAATAGCCAGAAATGTTTAATAGAATAAAGGTATACTGAGAAGGCACTAACTTCAGGTAGATTTTCAAACATATTAGTAAACCAAAAAATTAAAACAATGTGACACTGGTGCATGAATTCTTAGATAGAGCAGATAGTGAAACAGGATAGTGTACTCATCTATATCTGTCTTTCTCTATATCTTTGTATCAATCCTGAATGCTAAAGGTGAGATTCACTTGCATCTGAAGCAGCAGGAAAAATTTGGAGCTTCAAGAATAAATGCAGATATAACTTAGAGAAGCTGCACCCAATGTCACAAATGATTCTGTGGAGGAGCTCTTTCAGATTAAATCAGTAACTTTTTATTTTGTATTTTCATTTTTCTTTTGAAATAAGCAAGAAAAGTCTAATCGAGAACTAAGAGTCAGATATACATGTAGAAATATTACTCCCTACTCTCTGGCATGGGAATGGCCAACTCCTTACTTCAGGGAGGGAAGGAGAGAGATATCAAGAGTGGGACAATTCTCTTAAGACACCTACCCCACCTTTCATCAAATAAATATCCCCGACCCTAGATTTAGTGCAGGAGTCCTTAAAAACATTTCCACAGGGAAGTTCGGGTCCCAGGCTTATGGGTATCCCCCTACCACCTTTGGCAGGACAAAAATGAGTAAAGCAAAGCTTCTTGCTTCAGAAATATTCAGTCTAATACAGTGTGTACCCCATAATGTAATCATCTCTTCATTTCAGAAGCCTTAATTGCATAAAGTTCCTTGGGAAAGGGATGATATTTGTTTGTTTGTTTTTTTAAGGATAAGGCCAGTATTGGCTCAAACTTGTATTTATTCTTCCCAAAGAGTTCCTCCCAGGTTCGTAATCTTGATGTAGGAGAGTGCTGCACCAAGTTGCTTCTTTCTTCCCAACCTGTCCTACTTTGCGGGGGGAAGGAAGAAAAGAAAAAAAACAAAAAAAAAAAAAACAAGGAAGCTGCACTAGAGCCACTGCCCTCAGACATCAACTTCCATTTCTTCTCCACTGCTGCAGTCTGAAGAGTTACTGCTTTCTTCCTCTTCTCCATCTTTCTTCCTGTTCTCTTCTGGTTCCATGGAGACATGACAGTTTACCCAAATAGTCTGTGATGAATCTGTTCCTGCAGCCTGGAGCCCTTGCCCCTCCCCAAACCCTTCTTGCAGACCCTTTGTTGATGAGGACTGCGGATCTGCTTGTTTCAACCTGGGGTCCGGGCCTCCTGTCATGGCCATATTCTTACCCTTAGCATAGGTCGATTCTTTGTATGCAGCATAATTTTCAGGTGACAAAGTCTTGAGCCAGAGATCCAATTTCACCTTGTATTGCTTCTGCAGCTCCTCAGCCTGGCTCTTAAAATGATCCTTCTGGCTCTGCGGGATGCGTTGCCAGCGTCTGCCAATCTCTACCATGCGCTCCCTCACTGACAAATGTTGCAGCTCTTTACTTGACCAGGAATCTTGGTGAAACTTGTGGTATCCATTCATGGGGGGTTTCTGAGGCTCTCCATGAAATTTTACCTTCTTGAAAAATCGATCCGTTTTTGGAAGAGACCTCACTTCTTCAATATTTTTCTGAACCTTCTTTTGCACTTTGTTTTGAGTCCTCTTGGAGACACCAGATTTCTTGGCCTTCTGGACTAAATCAGGGTGTTCTTCACTGAATCGAGCAAGTTTTTCCTCAAATTCTTGCTTTGCCTTCTGGAAATCCTGAATATATTTCTGTTTCATCTGCTCTGGGAGTTCCTTGTATTTCTTTGACAGGATTTTGGTCAGTTCCTGGCTTCTCATCCCAGGGTACATTTGGGAGTACTGGAGCCAACTCTCCACGAAGAAGCGATTATAAGCAGTAAGGGGCCTCTTTGGAAAGTCTGGACGGTTCCTGCTTTTTTGGCTTTTGTTCATCTTTTTAACACATTTCTTAGCTTCCAGGACTAATTCTTTCAAAGTACCGAATTTTCTCAAGTTGCAAGAAATCTCTAACCATCTGAGTCTGTACATTTCACCAGAAAAGTTTTTAAAAGCTACTTTTCCCCAGTCCATGTGTGACTGAGTTGAGTTAAACGTGCTGTTGTCATCAGATGGGAGATTATTCTCCATGCATTCCAGTAACCTCAAGATGTCTGTGTTGGACCAATGGCCTTGGCTTCTAGGCAAAGCCATTTTGATGTCTTTGGCTTACTTATAAGATCCCGGTTATGTAGACACCAGAGCAAGAACACAGAGTTATTTACTTTTAAGACTCAGTGGATGATTTATTTCTGGAAGTATTGCAGTATGTGTGATTCTGTATTTCTGAGGAGAAAGAAAGTTACTCGCCTTCATTTGGATTAATGAAGCAAATTACATCCTATTTGCCATATGTCCCTTGCATAATTCATTTGACCCTTAACCATAAATAAACATTGCCTGTTTCTGAATTAAATTTATGTTTGCCTTTCATATGCTACATGCGCAATATTCAGTATCTCCACACCCCACCCCAGCCTGCTTTCTGCCAGATCTCACATGAACCTATCTTAAATTGAGTTGCATAACACAAACACCAGACCACTCATCACTTAAGAAGCTTAATATAACAGAAATGCCCTGAAGACAGAGTCAGAAGTTAAAGTGGAAGGAGAAATGCCTAAACAGGAAAGACTGTTCATTCTACAGTGCCCTGAGTATGGCTGTTTTCTAAGCACAGCCCAAATAGCCATAGTTAAAGGTGCAGATGAGAAGTTAAAGATACAATAAGACAAGCCCAAGAGCTCCTCCAGACATGCATCCAACTGTTACCTTTTTATAAGGGAATGTGAACCTGTGATAAAAGACTGAATTATAGCTTCTCCAGGACCTGTGCATGGGAATTAATGCTTTCTTTCTTTCTTTCTTTCTTTTTTAATTGAGACGGAGTTTCCCTCTTGTCGCCCAGATTGGAGTGCAGTGGGGCAATCTCCGCTCACTGCAACCTCTGCTTTTTGGCTTCAAGTGATTTTCCTGCCTCAGCCTCCCAAGCAGCTGAGATTACAGGCATATGCCACCACGCCTGGCTAATTTTTTTGTATTTTTTAGTAGAGATGGGCCTTCACCATGTTGGCCAGGCTGGTCTCGAATTCCCAACTTCAGGTGATCCACCTGCCTCGGCTTCCCAGAGCGCTAGGATTACAGGTGTGAGCCACCACTCCTGGGCAGGGAATGAATGCTTTCTAAGAACCATACTGCTTCTCCTTTTAAATATCAAGGATTTAATGACAATTATAAAACACTTCAGTTTTATTTGGTTAATTGTTCATCATATTTAAGCCTCAGTGAAAGTTTGGCTTCCTCCAGAAACTCTCTCCAGAATACCTGCCATTTTTCATTACAGAGCTTGAAAACATGGCAGATCTGATGACTACTCCTTTTTCTTTTTCTTTTTTTTTTTTTTTTAGCAATTTTTTCTTGCCTGAAGTAATTCTTCTGGTAAGTGATTTCTGGATTCACTCTCGAAATTCTCATAACTCTTTCACTAGTCTTTTTAGGATAATCTTCTATTCTAAGACTAAGCCTCACATAAGTAAAATTGTGTACAAATACATGCAACATTAAATAAAACCGAATCTTAAATGGAGGGTGAATAAGGAGTGTAACAATGGGCCTTCAGGGGGAAAATATGCATTAGAAGGGAAAGAGAACAGAGTTAAGATACTGGTGGAAGTTTAAATTCTGAGAATGAGTTATGAATATCTGAGAATAATATTTTTGAGAACTATTTTTAATTCTCAGTAGAGTATAGAAGGATGTAGCCTTTGAATGACATTAAAAATTCACTAGAAGTGTAAACAATAATAGTCATAATATCACGTAAGTCACAAATGTCTCAAAACATAGATTAAAATGTTCTGAAATATTGGAATATAATTAAAGCCCAAATTTGAGATAGAAGAGAAAATAAATAATAGCTTATATATCAAATTTATTATGTGAAAAAGACTTTTGGGAAGTTGTTCCATAATAAATGAAGATATAAATAACAATAATTAAAATTTACCAAAAAAAGCATTAAAATAACTGTGAAAAACTTAAAAGAATGTAAAATTGAAAGTTATTAAATTTTTAATCTCAAAAATCATAAAAAAGTCATTTCATCAATGTCCTATGAAAATAAAATAAACTTAGTAATGTAACAAATAAAAAGAGTAATTAAGAAAAAAGTAACTTTCACAAATGAAATTTTAAAAAAAAGAAAAAATAATGGATTCCATACTTTGTGTTTAAGATCAGAACATAGTCTCAAATGGTTCAGAAATAAAAAAATCAAACTTCCAAATATATTGTGGTGATTATAAATAATAAAAATAAATAAATATAAGATGTATTCTAACTCAGAAAAAAGGGAAGTCACATAGAATTGACATTAGAAAAGAGGTGTGAAATATTCAGAATCTGAATTTAGGAAAAAAGAAGTACCATCTTCCCAATTGTAAAAGTTAGGGTGATGCGTGTAAAGCAGTGGAAATAAAAATACAGTTGTGTTTTTGTTGTTATGTGGCTGTTTTGTGAGCCAGGCAGGCATTTTTTTCAAATTGCCAGTTAAAGAGTGGCCCCCTGAAATACATGTCTAAGTCCTAACCCCTGAAACCCGTGAATATGGGCTTTCAAAAATAGGATCTTTGCAGATGTAACTACCTTGGTAATCTCCCAACGAGATTAGTCTGGGTTTAGGGTGGGACCTAAGTCCAATGACTGGTATCCTTATAGAAGAAATAAAAGGAAGATCTGAGACACATAGACAGCCATGTGGAGACAGAGGCAGAGACGGAGCTCACTAGAGCTATGCTGCCACAAGCCAATGAAAGCCAAGGATTCCCATCACCCACCAGAAGCTAGCAGAGAGGCAGGAGGTGGATTTCCCCTCAGAATTTCCAAAGGGAACCACTCTATCAACATGTTGATTTTAAATGTTAGGCATTCAGAAATGTGAGAGAGCAAATTATTGTTTTATCTGTGATAGTTTATTACAGCAGCCCCAGGAACCTAATATGCAAATGTTTTACATTTATTATTAATATCTTATTTCTCTCCTTAAAACTCTGTGAGCTCATTTTATGCTTGCTGTTCCATTACATATATGATGAAACTGTGACCAGGCATGGTGACTCATGCCTGTAATCCCAGCACTTTTGGAGCCTAAGATGGGAGGGTCGTTTGAACTCAGGAGTTTGAAACAAGCCTGGGCAACAAAGTGAGAGACCCCAGTCAAAAAAAACAAAAAACAAAAACAAAAAAAACAAGAAAGACAGACAGAAAGAAAGAAAAAGAAAGAAAGAAAAGAAAAAGAAAGAAAGAAAAAGAAAAGAAAAAGAAAGAAAAGAAAGAGAAAGAAAAAAGAAAGAAAGAAAGAAAAAGAAAGAAGGAAAGGATGGGGGAGGGAAGGAAGGAAAGAAGGAAGAAAGGAAGGAAGGAAGAAAGAAGGAAAGAAAAAGAAGGAAAGAAAGAAAGACAGAAAGAAAGAAAAGAAGGAAAGAAGGAAGGAAAGAAAGAAACTGGGAAAACTAAGAATTTATACAGGGCTAGGCACAATGGCTCTTGCCTGTAATTTCAACATTTTTGGAGGCTGAAGCAGGAAGATTGCTTGAGTTCAGGAGTTCCAGACCAGCCTGGGCAACATGGAGAGACCCCATGTCTACAAAAACATAAATTTAGCCAGGCCCACACTTGTAGTGCCGGTAGTCCCAACTACTCTGGAGGCTGAGGTGAGAGGATGGCTTGAGCACAGGAGGTCAAGACTTCAGTGAGCCTTGATTGTATCACTGCACTTCAGACTAGGCAACAGAGTGAGACTCTGTCCCAAAAAAATTGACCTTGTCAATGTTGTGTGATTTTCCCTTTTCTGTGTTATAATCCATCTAATTTTTATTTTTCATTTTTTATCATAATCACTTACGAAATGCTTAGAAGTTTAAGACATCATTTTATTCCTGAACCATTTGAGAGTAAGTTTTGATCTTAAGCAAAATGTATGAGCTCCTGTGACTTTATGAAGCTGCATGAATTGTTAATTTTTTAAATTTTTGTAACATAAAAGATAAATATTTGGCCAGGCACAGAGCCTCACACCTGTAATCCCAGCACTTTGGGAGGCTGAGGCAGGCAGATCACGAGGTCAAGAAATCAAGACCATCCTGGCTGACATGGTGAAACCCCATCTCTACTAAAATACAAAAGTTAGCTGGGCATGGTGGTGAACCCCTGTAGTCCCAGCTACTTGTGAGGCTGAGACAGGAGAATCGCTTGAACCTGGGAGGCGGAGGTTGCAGTAAGCCGAGATCATGCTACTGCACTCCAGCCTGGTGACAGAGTGAGACTGCATCTCAAAAAAGGAAAATAAAAATAAAATAAAATAAAATAAACTTTTATATAGTAGCTTCACAAAGTCACACATATGATATTTATTATCAAATTATATTAAATATAATAAAAATATCAAAAAATAACAAGCAGCTTTAAAAAGAGGATTCAAACAACAAAATAGATTTTGTAAAATAAAAATACCATTACAGAAATAAAAACTTCAGTGGAATATTAGGAAAATAAAAAAGTGCCTTTGAGCACTTTAAAAACTTTGCAGATGACCAAGGCTGCATTCAACCTGAAGTTAGAGACAACACAGAACTTTTCATATTCTACAATAAAGGTTTCCAATTAAATTCTAGATATCATGCTATAGATAAAACTGTATAATATCTAGGACTTTCCCTCCAGAAGTTCACAATTTGTATAAACAAGGAACAAAAAATTAAAGGAAATACTCACCTGAATATTCTATAACTGGTCTGAACAGTGCTTGCAGGAAAGTTCATGCATTTGGCTCGGGAGTTCTGTGTCCTCTGGGCTTTCTGGACAACAGATGTTATTTTCTGAGGTTTCCACAGTCTAGCAAATTCCAAATGCCTCTAAAATAATAAGACTTGCTTTTTGGATGCCAGTATATTATAGGATTCTTAAAGCCCCTCCCTGATTAGGTTTCTGCAGTACAAAGTATCAATAAAAGGATTTACCTTTCAACCGTTGATTAAATTAACTCCATTTGTAATCTCTGTAAATAACCCTCTACAAACACCCTCTAGTGCTGGTTTATATTGTCATTGATTTTTAAATAACACACACGTGGAAAATTCATGTTTGATTTTTCTGGGGCAACAAGTCTACTTTCATTTCTGTTCCCACATCTGACAGTGTTTTTATATGATATTTGAATATACACCATTCCATTCTTTGATAATTTCTGCCCTTTCTTCACTGAAATCTAAGATCTGTTACCATCTCACCTTCCTCCTGGACATGTAATTCCCTTCAGTACTGATCAATTCCTACCAGCCTTTAGACTTGGAGATCAAAATGCTAATGATGATGGTGGCTGGTTTTGGAAAAAGAGAAGCAGGAGCTTGATGTCTGGCATCTCTGGCTGATTTAATTTTAAATTTAGGGAAATGAAATAGGTACTGCCTCCCAAAAAAATTCAGATAATTTTGTTTTTGATCAAATTCAAACTAATCAAAAAGATACCTTTATTTAAATGACAACTTATTTGAACAAATTTTAAAATTGTTATTTTTAATCAATATATAAAAATTGCACATATTTTTATAACGTACAATATAGTATTTTGATACATGTATAAATTGTGCATTGATCAAATTAGGGTTTGACAATATGAGGTTTCAGAATTTATAAAACAGGTTTCTGCCTTTTAAACATTTTATATCTAAAGTTGCCAACTAGTAATTAACTGAACGTATGAAATAACAAGATATTATTTGAAAAAGCCTAAATTAATAAAATGTTTAAATACATTTTTAGCTTTAAAATACAATAAATATAACTTATTTTGAAAAAATTTTTCAAAATTATAGACAAAGACGGATATAGACAAAAACATGTACAGAAAAATATCAGAAGGATTAAACTCCTTGGAGATTTTAATGGTAAAAACTTGCTGATATTATTTTTAAAAATTACCATTTTTTTCTTTATATTTTATGGTTGTTAATGAGAATAAACTTCTATTGAAAAAGAAAACTTTACTCCTGTAAGAATATACTCTCAGACATGTATCTCTTATATTACTCACATAAATAATTATTTAGACATTGTAGTTACAATTAGTTTTATATGGTGGGATTTAGGAATATCTATAATAATAAGCCCTGTGGATAATTCTGACACATGCTAGAGTTTGAGGATATAAGCTCAAACTGTCACCCACGTCGTGACTTAAAACTTGTCTTCTACTCTACACCACAACACACATATATATGTGCACAAGCAAATATATGCAAATAAAACATTGTGGTGAAATAAAATACCTTTTTTGTTTGTTTGTTTTGAGAAAAGCTCTAGTTCTGTTGCCCAGAATGGGATGCAGTGGAACAGTCATGGCTCACTGCAGCTTCAAACTCCAAGGTTCAAGTGATCCTCCCACCTCAGCCTCCCAAGTAGCTGCAACCACAGACGTGTGCCACCATGCTGCTAATTTTTTGAAAAATTATTTTTATAGAAATAGAGTATCTGGGGCCGGACCCAGTGGCTCATGCCTGTAATCCCAGCACTTTGGGAGGCTGAGGCGGGCGGATCACTCGAGGCCTGGAGTTTGAGACCAACCTGGGCAACATGGTGAAACACCATCTCTACTAAAAATATGGAAAAAAAAAAAGTAACTGGGCATCTTAGCGCGTGCCTTTAATTCCAGCTTCTCGAAAGGCTGAGGCATGAGAATTGCTTGAACCCTGGAGGCAGAGGTTGAAGTGAGCCCAGATCGCGCCATTGCACTCCAGCCTCGGCGACAGAGCAAGACTCCGTCTCAAAAAAAAGAAAAAAAAGAAAAAAGAAAAAGAAAAGAAAAAGCTTATCTCAATGTTGTCCAGGCTCATCTTGAACTCCTGGATTCAAGCATTCCTCCTGCCCAGGCTCCCAAAGTGCTGAGATTAAAGGCATAAGGCCCTATGCCTGGCCTTGAAAGGAATTTTTATTCAATCTCATCCAGATGTTTTTGCTTTATTCTGGCGCTAGTCGTAAGAAAATTAAGAAGTCCTAAGAAAACTCTTCCCAACAGGTTAAAGATGCATTAGTTAGTTATTATGGCAATATACCCTGCATAAGTAATTTTGGTGATAAGCTTCTGTCTCATCATTTCTAGAAAAATATTTTATTTCTGTCATAACCTCTAATGCTTAGTAAAAAGGCCCTTACTTTGTGTGTTGAACTTCTTCTTGCAAATTAGACACTCAGTATTAGCTAGTATTTCATTGTTGAGGACCAGCCCTGTGCCCTGTATACATGAGAATTTTGTTTTCAGGGCTGCTACTTATCGTGGTAGCTGATGTCTGTGGTCTTTCTCTGTTCCTTGCTTCACTTCACTCCACAGTATCTCACACAGGACAAAAAGCAGAGCAGATATCTTCAGATCCTCTGATGTTAATTGAGGCGACTTTGCTTTTCAAGAAATACAAAATGTGGTTCAAAAGCATCCATCCAGATTGTATACAGAGTCTAGGGACCTCTCCAATATGACCTCATGCTTTAACAGAATCAGTTCAGGTTCTGGATATTTTTACAAACTCAAGTTAGCTTTAACTGCTCCAGTTCTCATAAATTCAGATACAAAATCATTCACTTTCTTTGATTTCAACAATAAGAATCACAAAACAAGATCTTGCATACAAGTACACCTCACTAAATTGGGGGGGGTTGGTAAATAAATTAAATTAAATGTGATTATTATCTATTGCTATTCATATCTTTCCCCCTAACCATTTCCGATCTTGGTGCCCATCTCTCATCAGATGGTGCTTGGCCCTTCTTTGTGCAAATGCCTCTTCCTCTATTTCCACAAAGTCAAAATGCTGCTTCCTGTATGTAGGAATACTATCAACTTGTTGTTACTGTTGTCATTATTTCATAGTCACCTACTTAAATGTACAGCTCCTAAACTAAATATGCCAAGGAATTTTACTCAATGAAGACAATTCCATGTGGAATTTTAGTTGTGTTTCTTTTTCCACACCTCAGAAAACTGTGGCTTAGAGAAAATGGGAACACATTAGACACATTAGATATTTTTTTTTTTTTTTTTTGAGATGGAGTCTCACTCTGTTGCCCAGGCTGGAGTGCACTGACGCAACCTCAGCTCACTGCAACCTCTGCCTCCCGGATTCAAGTGATTCTCCTGCCTCAGCCTCCCGAGTAGCTGGGATTACAGGCTAATTTTTGTGTTTTTAGTAGAGACCCGGTTTCACTGTGTTGGCCAGGCTGGTCTTACTGCTGACCTCAGGTGATCCACCGCTCTCAACCTCTCAAAGTGCTGGGATTACAGGCGTGAGCCACCACGCCCGGCCTAGATAAGTATTTTTGAGGGATTAGATGGTAATACCTGAAATATTTGGCTAGAGATGTTCTTTATACTGTTTTTACTTCTATCTCTCTGTCTGTTACTTGTATCCTATACTAACAATCAAGAATCCTTTTGATGGAAATTATTTTAATCTCTTAGCTGTTGCCTCTTTCTGCCTATAGAACATCTTGCACAGCACTACCTGACCAGTTTTTATAACTCAGCATTCAAGTGAAGCTCCTATCATAGTCTAAACTCTTCCTTATGGTATCCTTGCTTTTCAATACTAATCTGAGATACTCCTGCTGCTTTTCTTCAGAACAAATAACTCTTATTAGCTTTATTTTGCCACACACAATTTTTTTCTTTTCTTTCTTTTTCTTTTTTTTTTTTTTTTTTGAGACGTAGTCTTGCTCTGTCACCCAGGCTGGAGTGCAGTGACGCGATCTCAGCTCACTGCAACCTCTGCCTCCCGGGTTCAAGCAATTCTCCTGCCTCAGCCTCCTGAGTGGCTGGGATTACAGGCATGCACCATGCCCAGCTAATTTTTGTATTTTTAGTAGAGACGGGCTTTCATCATCTTGGTCAGGCTGGTCTCAAACTCCTGACCTCATGAATCGCCCACCTCGGCCTCCCAAAGTGCTGGGATTACAGGCATGAAGGACCATGTCTGGCATTCTTTTTTTTTTTTTAAGATGGATTCTCACTCTGTCACCCAGGGTGAAGTGCAGTAGCACAATCTCAGCTCACTGCAGCCTGCACCTTCTGGGTTCAAGCAAGTCTCCTGCCTCAGTGTCTCAACTAGCTGGGATTACAGGTGCCCACCACCATGTCTGGATAATTTTTGTAATTTTGGTAGAAACAGGCTTTCACCATGTTGGCCAGGCTTGTCTTAAACTCCTGACCCCAAGTTATCTGCCCGCCTCAGCCTCCCAACATGTAATTTTCTTTTTTTAACTACATGGGTAAACACAGCTTCTTTTCTTCCTGGTCTCAAGTTCCTCAATGTTACCTTTATGCTATCGCTTTCCCACAATTTCATCACAGACCATGATCTCTTCTCATTTTGTATACTCTTCCTTTTACAATTTCATCTAATCTCTCTGGTTTGAACTACACACATGCTATGTCTCCACATCAGTTTTTAACTTTTAATTTTATTTCTGTGAAGAATTTAACTTCTGTCCCACAAAATGTGACAAGGCAAATGGATCAATAACCTCTTCAGGAGGTGAGGAGTCCTAGATTTCTGATATAACTGGAAAGGCTCCCAGTAGTTTCACCTTAATTTTATTTCTCAATTTTAGGAATGTCCCAGATGATAATAATTCTAATAGAAGTTATCAAAACAGAAGAATGTAACAAGTTTTTGGTTTAATGGCTAAGAAAATTTACCAAACTAATACGCACTTTCCCTTCGTCCAAAATTAAAGTAATATCTTAAATGTCTACAGTAGCTAATACCAACTGTATGTACAAGTAAATCTAAGCTAAATACGATCAGCTATAAAATTTTCTTTGAATAAGTGACAAACAAAATTGGTAACAAGATAATATTGAGAGTGTAATACCTGTTGCTTATAGAAATTTTTAGTGTCAATAGAGAAAGCTCAGAAACTTTTGGTGAAAATAAAAAGGAGAATTGAGTTGAAAGCCCAGAAGGCAAAATTCTGTAATCTGAGATCAGTTGGAGAGACACAAATCATCAGAAGGTGATAGACTTTTCCTGTTCCCTAGGAAAGTGCTGCAAATAAGTGTGTGGGAGGAGAAGAGAGAAAGTTAAATAAGGAGTCTAGGTAGTACAGACAGAAAGAATAAGGAAGCATTGCTAATAAGCATTTTCATAATTTGTATGATCACCTTGAGTTAGTGATCAATTTAAGAGATTAAAAGACACATAAGATCCTTCTTGCCATATGACCCTTAATTAGCCAGTTGCTGAATGGGGAAACACTGGACACTTCGACAGTGGTGAAAAGCAGAGTTTACTTATTCCTGAATACCCATTCCCGGTTCTAACTAAAAGCAACTCTAGTAAAGGATCACCTGATTTTCATTGAACACAAGCTCTTGGGCATTTCTTCTGCTGTGCTGTCATTTAATTTTCTTTTTCTTCTAAATCAAAGAAAAAAAGTAAAAGAAAGAAAGAAAAGGCCAGACACCGGTGGCATGTGCCTCTAATCCCAGTGCTTTGGGCAGTTGAGGAGGGTGGGTTGCTTGAGGTCAGGAATTTGAGACCAAAAAAAGAAAAGACCAGACACAGTGGCACATGCCTCTAATCCTAGTGCTTTGGGCAGTTTAGGCGGGAGAGTTGCTTGAGGTCAGGAGTTCGAGACCACCATGGGCAACATAGCGAGACCTTGTCTCTAGCAAAAGAAATAAAAATAAAATAAAGGAAATAAAAATAAATATTTTAGTGTGTATTCAGCATTTCCGGATACATCTTGCAGTTCAGTGTGCTGTATACCTAAGCTTGAAGCAATAGGATAGGAACAGAAGTACTGAGGAAAACACCAGGTCATTTCCTTACATTCAGGTCCTCTTGCTCAGGATGTTTTTTCAGCTTTCTCACTGAACAGGAGATGGCAACAGATTGCACTTTCTTGCACGTAGAGAGGAAATCCAGTTGATGAAAGTGTCAATCTTCGTTTTGATTACCTCCTCTATTTGAATAAGTACGTGAGAAAAACATAGTCTCCCATTTATTTAAAATTGGAATCTTGCTGCTCAACATTACCAGAGCCTGCAATCTGTGGGATCAGTCGAATATGGGTATTCAGCATGATGTGTCAGAAGAAAATTGCTTCTCGCATGATTGAATGCCTAAGGAGTAACTTTATATATGCCTCATATTTGAGTAAAGAAGAAATTGCTTTCTCAGATCCCACTCCTGATGGAAAACTGTTTGCAACAGAGTACTGTGGCACTGGTCAGTTTCTGGTGTATAATTTTATAAATTGACAGAATAGCATGTAAAACAAATTCTTGCCTACACAACTAGAAGACATCTATTGAAGAAAATGGATTGGTTGCTGACTTTAACCAGGAACTAGGGCCATTTTTGTTACAATGAACTCAAGACTAGCAACAACCATATATTTGTTCCATTTTCATAAAATTGGAAATAATGCAGTAATAGCTTATTGTTTTGTTTTTAAAGAAGATATTTTATTAACTTTTGCAGAAATTTATGATTGATGTATTTTATCTATAGTTATTTAGACACGTTTACATGCAGCAGATAATTGTTCATAGCGGACTGAAAACTAATGCAAGGACTATGCTCTCAGCAATGAGGATATTGTGAAGTTCTCAAAATGGAAATATACCAGTGTAGCTTGGTACTGTATTTTTTATATTGATCTGCTGATACCAGTTATAGGCGTAAAGATTGTATTTTCACTGAGTGGAAATGAGTTTTTTTAGTTATTGTTCAAGGAGGGTGCAACATTAAGTGTTTTGGAATTCGAAGCTATTTTTTTTTTTTTTTTTTTGAGATGGAGTCTCGCTGTGTCACCAGACTGGAGTGCAGTGGCACGATCTCAGCTCACTGCAGCCTCTGCCTCCCAGGTTCACACGTTTTTCCTGCCTCAGCCTCCTGAGTTGCTGGGACTCTAGGTTAACAATGAGAATTCACAATCCGTGTGAATGGGAAGTATAAACACATTTTAAAGTAGACAGTCTGCTCATCTGTTTATTTTTCCCTGGGTGATGCTGTTTGCTTTATTAAACAGCTACAGAATTCAATGTGGGTTAAACCCTTTTGGTTCCTGCTCAGACATTGCTAGCAACTTCTCAGAGAAGCAATAGGTTGTACCATTTAGCTTATATCTGTAGATGGATATTCTATCTAGGTTTTTA
Source organism: Homo sapiens (assembly GCF_000001405.40). Lineage (NCBI taxonomy): Eukaryota > Metazoa > Chordata > Mammalia > Primates > Hominidae > Homo > Homo sapiens. The sequence continues at coordinate 49,069,860 of NC_000011.10, read as the reverse complement.
TGTGTGTTCTAATGTTCACACAATGATAAAATCGCCTAGTAATGCATTTCTCAGAATGTGTTTTTGTTGCCATAGGATGCATGACTGTTAAATTCCTATTCTGGCCCAAAGATTCAGTGAAAACTTCTGTGTAAAATAAATTTTTCCGCCTAAAGTGGTGAGGTGTAGAATTTACTGTATTAATGGGAGAGAGCTCTCACACTTACAAGTGTATTGTACGAAATCCTGTCTGTCCATTATGTGCAAATTTTGTTCCTGCATGGGATCATTAAGTGGGAATCACACACCCACATATTTCCAGAATTCCATCCAATAAATTCACAAACACTTGAAAATCACAATACATATTTTAGGTAATGGGCCATAAGAGATTATTTTAATTGTAAGAAAATGTACAAAAATGTTTTGCATTTTACATATCTTCTATTTAATACCAATAAAATGAAGTGACACTAAAGTAGAAAAAAGCCTGAACAGTATGATTTCTTTGCATCAACAGTGAGGGGCTCCCTTGTATATGGAGTTCCCGAACAGTCAGGTTTCTTAATCCTGGTCATCTGTGGCCAGTATAAAAGAAAGGCCTGACAGGAAAATTTAAGGAGCCAGTCGGGTAACTCCATATGAGGGAACTCTTTGTGACATTCAAAAAACTCACACTTCCACTTTCAAAATCAAGAAACACACCAACCCGGCCCAGAGGTTTCTCTACATAGTCAGGAAACATTGGGGAGGTGGTCAAGAGACTGAAATGATTATCCACCTTAACACATAAAAGAAGAAATATGTCCTTAGATTTAACCATTGTACTATTCTTCCTTATCCAGGAGTCCTTACAGACTCCCAGAGCCCAGTCCCAAGAGTTGTCCACATCCAGCTCCCAGTAGTGTTTGCCAGAGGAGAAGACCCAGGCTCCCCATGCAGCAAAATTGTCAGATCTGTCAGAATTCAAAGATCCACATCTAAACATCAAACTTCTCACATCCTCAAACAGCCTGATATTGTAATTGGTTACTTCCCAAGTGAAGGAAGTTTCCACTGTAGAAAAAAGAGAATGTTCCAGTGAAAAGCAGTTTATAAATTCTTATGTTCAGATAAGAAAGAGATTCTCACTAGAAAACACAGGTCAAGATTAGAAAGAAACTTCTGCCTGGAAAAATGTTGGAATCAAAGGGTGTTAGGATACCTGCACAAGTAAATGGCTCAACTTCAATGATCACAATTTCTATAAACTCAAAAAGTATAAAGGGGAGGAAGGTCATGTCTATGTCTAGTTAGCGACCTTTCACAACAACTGAAAAATGGGAAGCTCTTGCACTGCAGCCAAGTCCACAGCAATAAAATTAACCTCCATTGCCTCTTCTCTGTCAGGGCAGAGCAGGAGGCTGGGGACAGGAGATGAGGTGGGGAGCCATTCTTAGACCCAAATAAAAAAGTTATCACTTTCCAGAAATATTATATAATCTGCCACTTAAACTAGCAAATTCATACTTAAAGAGAAAATCTGAATCTGCCTTCTGAAAAGTGCAGATTCCTTGCAAGAATTATCTGACTTTCGTGCCAGATTCAGGCACAGACTTCTTTTATTTGCTGGATTTATCATGATCTATCCTGGAGTTCTATCTAAGGCCTCATCAACCACCAAATCACGTTCCTATTGTTCACAGATTCTCAGTGTTTGTGTTGTTATATAAGTTACTCATGTATGCTTTAATTGATTAAAACGCACATGATTAAAATTATAAATGCTATGAAACTTCACCTGAAATGTATTTAAAAAAACACTGTCACTGAAATCAGTCATTAACTACACTGAATTTGAAATTGAAATGTCCTGAATTAATTCAGTTCTGTATACTTCATGTAATAATTGTATACATGAAATTGTATCACAGTTGAACCATACATGAATGGTTCTACATCTAAAGAGCCCCTCTGCATGTTTTACTTTTCCAAGAAATTTGTTATATGGCTGATTCCACCATCTTTTATTTAGTTTTGTCTGTTTGATAATAGTGAAACTATAAATATAAATACCTATTCACAGACTATTCTCTTCTTCTAGATGAAAAATCATTACACTGGGAAGGCTGCCCATAGAAAACCATAATTGAAGGCATTGCATGTTGATTCCACCAAGAGGGCCACACTCACCTCGGAAGTGGTTGAGCCTGTCCACCGGTCCTGTGATGGGCCCTATAGTGAGCTCTGGATTCACAGGCTGGGGCATGTGCAGCAGCACGGATTCACTCCTGCAAGGAAGCAGGTTGAGTTGGTTAAGTTTCTGATGTCTGTGTTTAAGAAATAGATTCCAAAGAAAATGCTTCATTCAAACCCACTTCTGATATTGTAATGTACCTCCACAATCCTAGGATGGGTTTGTGGCCCTTAGGGAATCTTTCTAACTCTTCACTCCATTTCTAACCTACTGTCACTGAAAGATAAATGCCTCTCTCCTTATCTGCCACCAAATAGTTGATCTCTAATTATGATTCTGAATCCTAAAAAGAGGCAATTATATTCTAGCAACTTCTGCATTGAACTCTTCAAAACATAACCCCCTGAGTCAGTTGGAAAAGTAAGAAAAGTTTAATGTCTGATAAAAGGCATAGGTAACATTCAACATACCACACAAACACATAAGTACACACACATACACACACAATCACACTGACACATTATGGTGTTAGTAAATTATGTTTTCCCTTTGTTGGAAACAACTTGATGTTTTTCATAGCATGCCTTGTGCTCCAGCTTGCATTGATGGCCAATAACATACCTTGCCACCATGTCTCCCAAATCCTGTAGAGAGAAAGAGAGAGAGAGAAAAAAAAAAAACGACTTCTTTAGAAAGTTGTTATTCTTGTTGGGTGAGTTGGCTCACACCTGTAATCCCAGCACTTTGGGAGGCCAAGGTGGGTGGATCACCTGAGGTCAGGATTTCCAGACTAGCCTGGACAACATGGCAAATCCCCAACCCTATTAAAAATACAAAAAATTTAGCCAGGTGTGGTGGTGCATGCTTTTAGTCCCAGCTACTAGGGAGGCTGAGGCAGGAGAATAGCTTGAACCAAGGAGACAGAAGTTGCAGTGAGCTGAGATTGGGCCACCGGACTTCAACCTGGTTGACAGAAGTCTCTGTCTCAAAACAAACAAACAAAGAATCAAAGAAACAAACAAGTTGTTATTCTGCCCATCTGCTCTTTAGGTTTTGAAAACTTCAGAATTACTACATACTATCACTGCAACACTTTTAAAATGTATTCTCATCTCTAACACTTATACCAGTAAGACCTATTGACAGAATCTATTTCTGACAAAGTAATGATGGCAGGGCTTCATCTGAATGCATTTATTCTACTGCTCATGGAAAGGAGTGTCATGCCATGTTAGACACATGAGAACATTCTCTGCCTAGTTACCAGTGGCTCCAGATCTTCATGCAGTTATGGAAACCCATGCTGCAGATTCTGGAGAAGCAGCTCAGACCTCGTGCAGACAAGAGTTCTTCAAGAACCACCTTGACTATGCAAAGACTATCAGGCCCAGCAACAGTCTGAGCTGGATGAGAGATGGAGCAAAGCTCCCAGGAGCAGCAGAAGCTGTAAGGGAGGGAAAAGGGAAGGAAAAAACCTTAGATTTCAGGATATCCCCTTTACATCTGTGAGAATATCAGCACCCACAAGGCCACCATTCCTTTGTCTGACTCCTCTTGGATCCAGGAGTTTTCCTGAGTTAAGCCATCCAGGGATAGGACAGGAGATGCCATTTGGCTCTAGGAGCAGAGGAGAGAAACTCAGCAGGAAGAGTGTCTCTATGGGAGGAAAATTCAGTTGAGCACGTTTGTAGGGTCACAGGGCTGGATATGGGTAGAGTCTAGTGTACATGTTTAGAAGCCACAGTTCCCCCAGATCTTCTGATTCTAACGAGTACACAGAGCCAATCAAATGAAGGAGGGGGTGGGTCAAGGGAATTCAGGGACAAGGGGAATGAGGGATGATTAGTTGCAGGAGGATGCTGTCGAGGTCAATAGGCAGACATTCTCCCCTCCTCTGATACTGAGAAACAAGTAATGAAGCTTAAAAGTGTTGCTTGTGCTCTGTGCCAAAGGCAGCAGAGCACTTGTCTCTGGTCTCCATATACACTTGACATATTTACTTTCAGTATTCTGAGTAAGATTTTGATTCATTTCACACTGAATAACACTCACCTACCATGCTTAAATTACCGTACATATTATGAGACTTTATTGACCATAAATAAATTACTCTCAACCTTGAGATCTGGCTTCAATTTTCTGTATTCTCATTCCTTCTCCTTTATATCAGAAGCTTCATAATAGACAATGGGGGCAAATATGGTGTGGAGAAATAATCAGTTTATATTTAGATATTTTTAATGTAGTTATCGCTTCCTAAAAAGCTAGGAAAAAGCTGAAATACATGAAATAGCCACGCACCTTCGTTTCTAGCCTCCTTTAGGTATCTGCCCAAATATATTCTATACTATGTCTTTTCTGACCGTTATATTAAAAATTCAATTTTGGGCCGGGTGCGGTGGCTCACGCCTGTAATCCCAGCACTTTGGGAGGCCGAGGCGGGCAGATCACGAGGTCAGGAGATCGAGACCATCCTGGCTAACACGGTGAAACCCTGTCTCTACTAATAATACAAAAAAAAATTAGCTGGGCGTGGTGGTGAGCACCTGTAGTCCCAGCTACTCGGGAGGCTGAGGCAGGAGAATGGCGTGAACCTGGGAAGCAGAGCTTGCAGTGAGCCAAGATTGCGCCACTGCACTCCAGCCTGGGTGGCAGAGCAAGACACTGTCTCAAAAACAAAAACAAAAACAAAACAAAACAAAAATCAATTTTTGTCTATTAGTCTTTATTTTCATTTCCTGCTGTATTTTTCTCTAAAGCACTTATCACAATGCGCCACTCTATCAATTTTGTTTTCTTTTCGAAACAGGGTCTTGCTCTGTCATCCAGGCTTAAGCATGGTGCAATACCAGCTCAACGCAGCGTTGACTTCCCAGGTTCAAGAAATCCTCTCACCTAAGCCAGTGTCTGAGAATACAGGGACGTGCCACAACCCCAGCTAATTTTGTTTATCTTTTCTTAGAGAAAAGAGCTCTCACTTTGTTGGTGAGGCTGGTCTTGAACTGCTAAGCACAAGTGATCCTCCTGCTTCAGAATCCTGAAGTGCTGGTATTACAGGCTAGAGCCACTGTGCCAGCTTCACTTTTTGAATGTTGTATTTTGACTTGTTGACTTGTGTTTCTCACCCTGCAACCTCATTAGCTCTTTAGGTGCAAGAAAATCTGTCTCATTTGTTCATTTCTGCATTGGCTTAGAATGTTTATTAAGACATAGTAGGCACTTGATATTTTGAAGAAAAAAGTATTGTAAGTACTATCCTTAAGGATATCACCTTTAAAGAATCAAGATGACTTATAATATAAATAATTAAGCTCATGTTATCTCTCTCTTTCACACAGAGCCAATTTCTTTCTTAGTGCTTAGGAGTGTCTTTAATATTATTTGTTTTACTTTTCCATCAGGAAATCTTTACTTCTTTCAGAATGTATATGTAATTTCATTTCATCTCTTCTCTTCACAGTATTCATTTTATGTTTGAATCAGTAAATGATCAATACAGATTCTTCAGCCTTGCATCTAGGCCCCATCTTGAACTACCCTATGCTACCTTTTCTGCTACATCTCTAAGCACTGCCTCTCTCATCATATATGTGTTAATCACATATGTGAATTATGTGGAAATCCAATAGTACAATGGTTTATCTAGTATATAGTTTCCAGCACCCCCGCCCCAATTTACCTGCCTGAAATTCCAAGAAATTTCCTATTAAATTTTTTTATGTAATGTAGTTTAATTTTATTTAGAAAATCAGAGAATATAGTTTTAAAGCTTTTGACCTATATATACTGTTGACCCTTGAATGACACTGGTTGGAACTATGTGAGTCACTTATAATTGGAGTTTCTTCTGCTTCTGACACCCCTGAGACAGCAAGACCAACCCCTCCTCTTTCTCCTCCTTCTCTGATTACTCAACATGAAAATGATGAGGATGAAAACCCTTATAATGATCCACTTCCACTAATTATATTTAGTATTCTGTTGATGAATATTAAATGTATTTTTCTTTTTATTTTCTTAATATTTTCTTTCCTTTAGCTAACTTTAGTGTAAAAATACAGTATACATATAACATATAAAATATGCGTTAATCAACTGTGAATATTATCATTAAGGCTTCTAGTCAACATTAGGCTATTGATAGCTAAGTTTTGAGGAAGACAAACTTTATACGCTGATTTCTGACTACACGGGATCTTGACACCCCAACCACCATGGTGTTCAAGGGTCAACTCTAAGTTTATTAAATATCATTCAAATAATCTGAGAATCTCTTTGTGAACATTCAAAGACTTTATCTTTCTGTGAAACCCTGTGTTTATCTCATGCACTAATTATGGCATTTCATAATGATAGTGTATTTTATCATGCTTATTGATATTTTATATCATTTCCCAGGAAATAAAATTTTTTAGCTGAATATTTTGATATTAGCAAGAAATCCTAATAAAAAGTTTGCTTCTATGTTGAAATGATTAGATGGAACCCTTTTGCTATTGTTCTGCTGCTCACAGTAGCATAACAATTGACACCTTGGTTGTGCCCATTGCTCTGTCTGGTACACTGAAGCATACGCTCTCCATGGATTTCTGATAATATTGTGAATTATATTAATCTTTTTGAAAGTAATAGTTATATATTGCTAAAGTGTCCAAGAACTGTCACAAAGTTCTATATTTTGTCATAGTATTTTCATTTCTTGAATTATTTCTTAAGAAAAAGTCTCCAATTTGGAAAAGAAAAACTGGTTTGAAAAGGACTTGAAGTCTAAAATGATAATAGCGGATCACCTGAGGTCAGGAGTTCGAGTCCAGCCTGGCCAACTTGGTGAAACCTTATCTCTACTAAAAATACCAAAATTAGCCAGTCACGGTGGCAGACACCTGTAATCCCAGCTACTCGGGAGGCTGAGGCAGGAGAATCACTTGAACCTCGGAGGCACAGGTTGCAGTGAGCTGAGATCATGCCATTGCACTCCAGCCTGGGTGACAGAGGGAGACTGCGTCTCAAAAAAGAGGTAATAATAATTATTATTATTGTGTAAATAATTATTATATACTTTTAAAAATATGAATACATAACATTGTTATAGTTATGTACATATATATGTAAAGCATCACTTTTAAAATTATTCAAAAATGTGGATGAATAAAAAATAGATTTTATTTTCATATAAAACAATCATTAGGAAATAGTCATAAAATAGACTATAAGACATACAATAGCCATAAAATAGGCTATAAGACAAACAGGCTGATACAACTAATTCTATCAACCGTTATAGATACAATTATGTGAAACACAATTGAGTTCCTTGCTATACTTTTTTAAACAAGAAAGTTACACAGCACAGATGTGTTGGTAATCCCAGTTAATGTTTTATCTTCGAACATATTCAGATAAATAATGGCTAGGCACATAAGCAACTATAATTTTAAAACAGAGTGAGAAACAAAATTTTAAAGTTAGCATGTGGCCCAGTGCAGTGGCTCACGCTTGTAATCCCAGCACTTTGGGAGGCCAAGGTGGGCAGATCAGATGAAGTCAGGAGTTCCAGACCAGCTTAAGCAATGTGGTGAAACCCTGTCTCTACTAAAAATACAAAATTAGCTGGGCTTAGTGGCAGGTGCCTGTAATCCCAGCTACTTGGGAGGCTGAGGCAGGAAAATCACTTGAACTCGAGAGGCAGAGGTTGCAGTGAGCTAAGACCGAGCCATGGCACTCCAGCCTGGGCGACAGAGCGAGATACCGTCTCAAAAGAAAAAGAAAAGTTAGCAAGTGATAATATTTAATGAAATAATTGTAGTATTTAAAATATTTCTTTTTTTTTTTTTTCTTTTGAGACAGAGTCTCGCTCTGTCACCCAGGCTGGAGTGCAGTGGTGCTATCTCGGCTCAGTGTAAACTCTGCCTCCCAGGTTCAAGTGATTCTCATGCCTCAGCCTCCCAAGTAGCTGGGATTACTAGCGCCTGCCACCGAACTCGGCTAAGTTTTTGTATTTTTAGTACAGATGGAGTTTCACTATCTTGGCCTGGCTGGTCTTGAACTCCTGACCTCGTGATCCACCCTCCTGGGCCTCCCACAATGCTGGGATTACAGGCATGAGCCACCTCGCCCAGCTACTTAAAATATTGCTTTGAATAAACTGTGTTAAGTCAACTTTCTTGCATCTCATTCCAAACTTGTCTGTTGAGCTTTGAGCCCTCAAGTCTGGGTTTCAATACTTTATAAACCTAATCAGCTAATTTACCCATTTCTGTGCAATCTAATCAATCTCAGGAAGTGGTTATGGTCTTTCGTGGGCCCAACTGCTTGGGTCTTTTCTAAGCAATCAAGTAACTGTCTTAGTGATTTTACAGAAAATCAATATAAAGTATCTTCAATTTGTAAGATATGGTTTGTGTTCCCTTGCTATTTGATTCTTTTTATGTGACTGTTTTCTGTATTGTTAGATTTTTCTTAAGTGAGAAAAGATATATTTCCATAGTTTCATGCAATGATAGAACCCATAAAATACCTAAAATATTCATTAGAATGTGGGCATGTAGTAATGGTTGTAACGTACACCAAAGTGAATGTTAAAAATGTTGAATTACTTCGAAAATTCTTGTTGCAAAGGTCTTATTTGCTGTGTCTTCAAAATTTGCAGTTTGCAGACTAGATTTGAAAGCTGTTGAAAATAGATGTAATCGGCTGGGCATGATGGCTCATGTTTGCAGCCTAGCACTTTGAGAGGCCAAGGCAGGCAGATCGCTTGAGGTCTGGAGTTAGACATCAGCCTGGCCAACATGGTGAAACCAGGTCTCTACCAAAAATACAAAAAAATTATCTTGGTGTGGTGGCGGGTGCCTGTAATACCAGCTACTCGGGAGGCCTCGGCTGGAGAGTTGCTCGAACCTGGGAGGCGGAGGTTGCAGTAAGCTGAAATCCCGCCACTGCACTCCAGCCTGAAGTCAGAGCGAGACTGCATCTCAACAACAACAACAACAACAACCACCAAAAAAAAAAAAAGATAGAAAGAAAGAAAGAAAATAGATCAATAGATCTAATCAACTGGCAAGAGCTCCCAAGAGGCTGCAACTTCTAAGTCACTAAGGGGAAAGGTGAATTGGTGGCCATGCTTCCATTAACTGCATTCCTGGATTTTCTAGTATTGAGTGGAAAACCTAATACATATCTTCACTTTTTTTGTTATTTTAGAAGATAATTAATTGCTGATTAATTCCTGTTAATTATTATGTTGAAATATTGGCTATTTCAGAATGTGAAAGTGTTCTCTCTAATCATCTGAATTGACAATGGGAAAAAACTTTCCTAAATTAAATATAATAGATATTAATTACATTTAATGTATTGAAAGGAAGAGTTTTGATATTAAAGTTAAAAGGACAAATTTAATGATTGATAATTTTAGGAGTTGACAGTCCACTCTGATTACTCAATCTTAGATAAAAGCTACTTTATTTATAATTGCCTGAGCAAACTTCATAGGTGAGTTTGGAGGCAGGGAGTATAGAATAATACCATAGATACTAAGTGTGTTTCGTATATTATCATCATGGAATCACTGAGAGAGATAGAATGACAGAGACAGGATGACATTCAGAATGTGCTTCTTCATTAATTAGCTTATATAAGTGACTCAGAAATCATCTCAGCTTTTACCCTCCACCCAGGTTTTAAGCTTGTCTAAGTAACTGAGAATGATTGAGAGCACGGATTGTTTAACAAAAATGCCATGAGGACTCTCGTCTCATTTTCTCATTTGAATCACGGTTTTTCATATCCATGTTTCATACCCGTGGATTCAACTAACCTCAGATAAAAAATATTTACAGGAAGAAAAAAGCAGCTGTACTGAACATGTACTTTTTTTTCTTTTTTTTTTTGAGACAGAATCTCATTCTGTCACCCATGCTGGAGTGCAGTGGCGCGATCTCAGCTCACTGCAACCTCCACCTCCTGGGTTCAAGTGATTCTCCTGCGTCAGCCTCCCGAATAGCTGGGACTACAGGCATGTGCCACCACGCCCTGTTAATTTTTTGTATTTTTAGTAGAAATGGGGTTTCACCATATTAGCCAGGATGGTCTTGATCTCCTGACCTCGTGATCCGCCCGCCTCGGCCTCCCGAAGTGCTGGGATTACAGGCATGAGTGACCGCACCCTGCCAAACTTGTACATATTTTTAATCTTCTTGCTGTTCCTAAACAGTATGGCATTACAAGTATTTATACAGCATTTACATTGTATTAGGCATTCAAAGTAATCTAGAGATAAAGTATTCAGGAGATGGGTTTAGGTTACATGCAAATCCCACACCATTTACTAATAAGAGACTTGAACATCTTAGGATCTTGGTTCTCAGGGAGTCCTGGACCGAACCTTCAATGGCTATTGAGGGAAAACTTTATAAATCCAGCATGTTTGCATTTACTATGTCTCAGTTTGTGCTGGAGCTAACTTATTAGACATATTGGACAGAGCTCAAGTAGAAAGGAAAATTGTCCACTGGCCTTTTTTTCCTTTTCATCGGGGCAAATAAAAATAAGAGAAAGAAATTCTTACTTTTTTTTTTTTTTAATTTCAAGAAACATGGATTCAGACACCCTGCGAGTCTTCCAGAATGAGCTCATTTGCTGCATTTGCGTGAACTACTTCATAGACCCGGTCACCACTGACTGTGTGCACAGCTTTTGCAGGCCCTGCCTCTGCCTCTGCTCAGAAGAAGGCAGAGCACCAATGCGCTGCCCTTTGTGCAGAAAAATCTCAGAGAAGCCCAACTTCAACACCAATGTGGCACTCAAAAAGCTGGCTTCCCTAGCCAGACAGACCAGACCTCAGAACATCAACAGCTCAGACAATATCTGTGTGCTCCATGAGGAGACTAAGGAGCTCTTCTGTGAGGCTGACAAGAGATTGCTCTGTGGGCCCTGCTCTGAGTCACCAGAGCACATGGCTCACAGCCACAGCCCAATAGGATGGGCTGCTGAGGAATGCAGGGTACGTGATGCCTCTAAGGCAGTTTGAATTATACAGAATATCAAATAAGAATGATGAGGGCCTGTGATAATGATGGTGATGAGAATGCAGATAGTGGAGGTGGCGATTATTCCATGTCAATCATAACACATAAATGTGTCCTTTCAATGTTGCTGACTAATTTGGCACTCTAATCATAGCTGTGTTGAGACTTCACTAAAGGAGGTTTCCTTAGAAACATTGTTCAAACATATAGGATGGAGCTGTGGAGCTGGTGGCCAGCACCAAGAACACTTTTCAAAGTCAGGTTATGTAAAACCCAGTTTCTCAGAAAATTGATGATATTATCTGAAAGGTCCCTTAAAACTCTCTATTATGTTTCTATCACTTTTCACATCCAAATTATTAGAACCATATTTGTTTAACTTGGAAAAATCTGACCACTCCACTCTAACTTAATTTATGTTTCTTTCAATTACGGCCTTTTTTTTATTGATAAAGGGATAAGATCTACTGTCTTCATCATTGCTAAGCTTCTTGCTTCTTTTGCAAGAGAAACTTATAAAGGAAATGGACTATTTATGGAAAATCAATCAAGAGACACAAAACAATCTAAATCAGGAAACTAGCAAATTTTGTTCATTAGTGGTTAAGAATGAAAATGTTTCCTTTGTTTTTATGCAAATAAACACAAAGTTGGCTTATACTTTTTAGCTAAATTCAAACTACCAGTTAAAAGATAGTGATTTCACCTCAAGAAAATGTAGTGATTTCAATTGATATAATAGGAATTGCAAACAGAGAAGCCCACACAAGCTAGCCAAATTAATTCTAGTATATTGGATAAACGGCATGATGTGTATTCTAGTTCAAATTTGAAGGTTGGCATAAACCTTTTCAGACACTGCAGATGAGACAACCTTTCACTAAGACTGGGTGTCAGGAAGACAAAAGAAATAGAATAGTATATAGAGTAAAAATATAGTAAAAGTAAAAAAATACTGCATAATATGGTGCATGGCTAAATGTTTTTTAACATTTAGGCAAATTAGACATGGAAAAATCCTGAAAGAGAGATTAATAGAGGAAATAATTGACTCAGTAAGAACTGTGAAGAAGCATTACAGTGACGGAAACCAGGAGTCTTTATATTGGTTTGATTTAAAAAGGGAGAGAGAATAGGAACATTGAAAAAGATGGACAGAAAAAGATAGCAAATATTCAAGACTCTTTGCAAGAGTGAAGCAGAAAGTTTATAAATTGCTTGATTACACCCAGCATATAATTATTTGAAGTTTTCTATTGAGAGTGAGAACATGTAATCCTTTTAACCAAACGTCTCTGCAGGACTATGTGTCATTAAGGAAGGTGATAATCACTATTCAGTATCAAAAGATGCATATATTTCTCGATGAGGAGGAGCAACGGCATCTGCAGGCACTGGAAAGAGAAGCAAAAGAGCTTTTCCAACAACTACAAGACAGTCAAGTGAGAATGACCCAACATTTAGAAGGGATGAAAGACATGTACAGAGAGCTGTGGGAGACATACCACATGCCTGACGTGGAGCTGCTCCAGGTGAGGAGGGAGGGTCCATCCTCAGAGACAGGAAGCCTTTGCTGGACAATGCTGCCAGGACATGCAAATGTCATCAGCATATGTCACTGCTCTAAGCTAAGTGACACATGCTGTGTGACTTCCACCATTACATTTTTCCAGTCATTTATTACTGCATACTTTGGTAATCTTTGGGAAATTTTTGCCATTTTAGTAGATAACATATAACAAAGTTCTCTTCAATATAATTTGGAGTACTATCCACAAGAGAGATCATCTAAGATCATTAGAACTCTAGGCCAGGGGAAGGTTAGTAATATCCATGTATATGCCCTAGTTCCTCCTCACTCTCTGATGTCCACACAGCAGTGATTTGCTGAAGACATTGAGGGGTTTCCCCTTGCCTGGGCAAGGTTTGTCAAAGCGGCTCATCAATGTCCATGTACTCTGTTTCTCATATGGTTCTCTGTTTTGTTTTAATAGTTGTCATGTGTGGTCAGACCTTTCCTTGGAAATAAGATTAGGAAATTAATGAGACTGGAAACCTAGGTATCTTTGCTTTACTCCACCGTCTCTTGCTGAGCTCATTTCGTCTTAATGCCCACTGATGAAGCTTTTCATTGTTTAGTTGAGGTTCTGTTATTAACATAGCCTTGAATGATTCCTTAGAGGGGAATAAAAAGATATACATTATTAAAACACTAAAACAGAAAGAAACAAGAGTATGAGAAAAGATGCAGAAGGAAAAATCTCTCATAATTAACATTACATTTTATTTTTTTTGCAGGATGTGGGAAATATATCGGCAAGGTGAGTTTACACTAAAAAAAATGCTATTTCTGAAAAATTTGTTCTCTTGTGAATGAAGGGGATGTATACATTTTGAGTACTAACATCATTCTCAGTGGCTATTTCTGATTTTGTTTCAAAAGAGGGCCTGAGATCTTCTTCTCTTTGGTTTGGAAAGTTTCCATCTTAAAATTTGTATGAATTAAAATATATGTAAAAACAATTTGCCATTCGGAAGTTTGTTCTCCTAATCCATCCTTCCTGTCCAGCCCTACCCCAGAGATCTTAATACAAAATTACTCTGAGGAATCATAGAGGTGTCTTCTACTCTAGAGGGGTGGGAGGTTAAAAAAAAAAAAAGACAGATCGAGGAGAGATATTCCCTAAGGATGGGCTGAGGCGGGATGTTTTGTTCCTAAAAGCATCAATGACCCGGGCTTGCTCCATCACCATACACCCAGTTCTAGGAAAGACCTCAGGAAAATGGTTGCCTCGGGACCCTCAGCAGCAGGGTTCTCAGGCTGGAATTAGACTCCTTTGTTTTGCACAAAAGATTAAAGCCTTTTGTCTCAGCGAACATTCTCTATTAGACACTGACTAGCATTAGTGACAACTGCAGCCTGAGGTCCCAAAGGTTTTTGTCTGAGTTTTCTGCTCTCTGAAATATTTCCAGAATTTCTGCATACCCTCAGGGGGTGTGATGGGCAGAGGGAGGCAATGACTTTTAATGACTTCAGAAGTTGTATAATGTCTGAGAATAACATATCTGGAGAAATTGGGTTTTTATGCAAGTAAAATTTAAAAAAATTAACATCCTTATGGCCCCTAGAGTGTGGAATAAAATGTACATCCAGTTAACCAAAACCGGCAGAATTCTGAGGAAACATCTTATATGAAAATATGATATCTTCATATGACTGTGTGATTAGCTCTGGTCCTGGAAATATAACTGAGGCCATTTTTTTTTTGCAGAACTGATTTGGCACAGATGCCAAAGCCCCAGCCAGTGAACCCAGAGCTCACTTCATGGTGCATAACTGGAGTCCTAGACATGCTCAACAACTTCAGAGGCAAGAGCCAGCTGCTTGGCAGTCCAGCCTCAAATTATTTCCTTATTGGGTCCCTTGGTTGAGGCTTCTCCCATTTACGTTTTATTAGTTTTGACATGTAGGTAATACATAGTTTTCCAAAACATGTGCATCTTCTCTACCTGCATAGTAATATTACAATGATCAAAACTCAATTTCCTGACTTACAGTTTGATGAAAATGTAAAGCAAGATACATACTTTATCTGCAGAATAAGAGGACAAAGAATATTCAGGTCATGTAGTTACGAAGACACTAGTTTTCATGGTGGCATCAGTATTTCATGTTTATTCAATTTAATTCAATCTTAAAGGCTTAGATTTGGCATAATGGTTTTTAATTATTTCTATTCTTTGTGCATTTACATACATTCTATAAGTAATTTTTATTATTTACAAAATCAGAACATTTTGATCAACAAAGAAAATGACTAAAATATCCATAATGAGGACAATTCTAATGCCATCAGAAACATCTCATAACAAGTGAAAGGTGAGGGATCTGTGAACATGGCCTAACAATGTTAGGCCCATTCTAGAGAGCAAGTCTAGGTGGCAGAGGGCAGGAACACAGAGTAGATTGAATCAGGGGCTAAACAGATAATGTAAAGCCAGAGTATTCTTTTCAGAAACTTATAAACTTTACATGTGTTAATTTCTACCAAATTTTTGATGTTTGAGACTATAACAGGCATAACTTACATTCCAATAAATACTCACATCACAGCAAATTGATGTCTACCTGTTGATTATCTTAAAGACAAATAATACAAGAAGATTTTTCTATTGAAGAAAAAAAACATTTTAGATATGTTCTGAAACAAACTATGAAGAGATAGACATTAAATCATTACTTTGCCCAGTGATATGGTCACATTTTTTCTCTATTATTTAAGAAATAATACATAATTGTATATGCTGTAGAGGTATAATAACATTTCATCTTCATGGATGCATGGGGCTGAACTCTCTTGGTTTCCTTTTTTCTGTATTTCCTTGGAAGAAGAGCAAATGAAGTGAATAATTGGGCCACAGAGCCTCTGTCCCTCATAGCACTCACTAATATAATATTTTTTCCTTGTCAGTGGATAATGCTCTGAGTACAGAAATGACTCCTTGCTATATAAGCCTTTCTGAGGATGTGAGACGTGTGATATTTGGAGATGACCATCGCAGTGCACCCATGGATCCCCAAGGAGTGGAGAGCTTTGCTGTGTGGTGTGCGCAAGCATTCACCTCCGGCAAGCATTACTGGGAAGTGGATGTGACCCACTCCTCCAACTGGATTCTGGGAGTCTGTCGAGATTCTAGGACAGCAGATACCAATATAGTTATTGATTCTGACAAAACATTTTTTTCAATTTCTTCAAAGACGAGCAATCACTATAGTCTCTCCACCAATTCTCCACCTTTAATCCAGTATGTGCAAAGGCCTCTGGGTTGGGTTGGGGTGTTTCTGGATTATGATAATGGATCTGTGAGTTTTTTTGATGTTTCTAAAGGTTCTCTTATCTATGGTTTTCCTCCTTCCTCCTTCTCTTCCCCTCTGAGGCCTTTCTTTTGCTTTGGTTGTACATGAAAAGTTGGTTTCATGATGATTTATTGTGAGCTCCCATATATGAGGCAAATAGTGTCCTAAGACCCTATGTGTGAGAGCCTGTGAGCTTATTGTAACTTCATGGAATGTAATTACTTTATGGTTATAAATGGGATAACCACCTTGAATGTGTACATTCGTTAATTAAGTTATTTTAATTAATAACTTATTGTGGAACCTTTACTAGAACATCAATAATGGCTTTTTTTGTACAAGTTTTGTTGAGGTTCATTCACTTACTGTGAAAGTCATGTTCTAATGTATTTAATTCAGAGATTGTTAGTATATCACACTTGAGCAGCCATCAGAACTCTCTACTGCCTGTACACTTTTATCACTTCCAGAAGAATCCCAATACCCATAAACATTTATTCTCCATTCACCCTCCCCCATTCCTTCAGAACACTTAATCTACTTTTTATGTTTTTGCATTCAGGTAAATAAAATCATACAATATAAGTTCTTTTTTAAATCTGATTTATTTTTCAGAGAGTATGTTTTCAGTTTGTACACACTGTAAACCGTTTGTCTTACTTGTATATTTGAACCAGGCTGGGGTAGAAAACTGAACTGGTGGATATCTTATCTTACAAAGAATAAAGAAGTGTGCTTATTTTCTTTCTAAGACTGACCAAGTTAAGTTGACCTCACAGACTTTATTATTTCTCAACATCCTAGTTATTAATCGCATTTCAGCTCATACAACAGTTTTTCAGTGCTGGGTTGCTCTGCTATTACATCTTCTCGAGTATATTATATCAGATTATAACATTCAGAAAACTCTTATACTTATTACTACCAGATTGAAAATTCCAAGGTGGCAATGGCAGTATTTGTCTTCTTTGCTAATATATTACCATTATCGAATGCGATTTTTAGAATAGATTACACAATAAATAAAATGAATAAATGGATAAGTAGAGGAGTTAACATGTATAAATATTATTCTAACATTAAGAAACTTTTCCAAAATGTAAGTAACAAAATAGGATAGAACATACTAATGAGTATCTATCAAAAGATAAGAAATAAATTGATTTTTGGATTGATATCAAAGATAATACTATTATGTTAGGGTTTAAAATAATTGTAGCATAATTTTTATAGGATTGATTTCAATTGTCTTAGGTTTTTTAATATAAACCATTGAAAAATGAAGGTTCCTATATAAGATGATGGGGAACAGGAGCAGGACTTAGAGTAGTGGAGACTGGACTTAAACTGACATATAAATTTAATTACTAAGCATAAAGTGGTATAAACCTTCTTACGCAGTAGAAAGAACAAAATTAGTTTACACTTTAAATAAGAATCCAGATGATACAGAATGGAAAATTCTATAATAGAATGTAATAGCTACGTCTCCCAGGGCACCAGCTTATCTTCTCTAACAAAGACCACAAATTTGAAACGATTCAGAAGGTGCATTTCTCTAACATGTTTTTACCAATATAGGAGTTGGTCAAGAAGAAGACTGACATCTTCAACAAGTGAATTTTATCTCTGTGTGCAGGAAACTCCCATTTATTGCCATGTCCCATGCAGCAGGAAAGCCAGAAGAAAAGTAGGAGGGACAAGAGTATTTGGCTTTAAGGAAATCACCTGGTGTTTTTCACAATGCATTTATTCCCATCCTATAGGTTCAAAATTAGGCAGATGGCACACCAAGTTGTAAGATATATCTGGGAATGCGGTTTACACTCAAAACCATATTTATTCTTATCATTTGATTCAGAAAACAAATTAAATGACTGGCACAACTGAAAATAACCCAAGAGATTTGTTCAATGAAACAAAGCTGAACCTCAACCAAATAGATAAGCTGCTGCCTAAGATTAGCACAATTTCTTAGTATTCAAGAGTGAGTAAACCCTGCTTTTTACCACTGTCGAGGTGTCCAGTGTTGTCCTTTTTAGAGCATGGCTAGCTGAGGGTTAGATGGCAAGAAACATCATACTTGTATTTTACTCCCTTAAATGAATGATTTAGATAGGAATGATTCTCCAAATTTTGAAAACACTTATCAGAAATGTTCTCTTATTCCTTCACTCTATACCATGTAGACTATAATAAACTGTCTCTCTTCTGCCTTCACACATTTCATGCAGAACATTAGGGGTTAGCAGAGAGAGAGCTTATCACCAGCTTCTTTTGGACTCGCTGCTTTTTTCCAAGCGATCTGAGATGATAAAATTATTCACCTTAGGGCTCCAACCCAGCACTCCTTTTTTGATTTTCACCTATGTTTTGTGAGCTTTTCTGTTGATGCTAGAACTCTATGCAACAGTCAATGCCTCATAATTTAATTACATTATTTGTTCCTAGTTTTCAAGGAAAAATTTATTCCTGACATTCTTTTAATTTAGCTCAGATTCACTTTGCAGAAAGACAGTATTAGCTACTTTATGATCATTTAGTATTTGACTCTGATTTTGGAAGATGAAAAAGTTTTTTTGTCTATTTACCATGTTTTCTCAACCATTTAACCAAGATAATCTTATTCTATTGATTCTCCTAGAGATACTTAATTCATTTATTCTCTTCACCTGTCAGAATTTATGTTAGAATATCACCAAGAATTACTTACAATTGAAATAAATCAGAGAGACCACTAAGAACATTGTCAATCATTAATCCAGAAATCTTGAACTTTCTGAGTTTTTTATCCCTAAAAGAAGTTATTTATCAATAGCCTGGTTACAGATTTTTTATGGAGGCTGAGGCAGGATAATCACTTGAACCAAGGAGGCAAAGATAGTAATGAATGGAGATCATGCCACTGCATTCTAGCCTTGGTGACAGACTGAGTGAGACTCTGCCTCAGTGAATAAATAAACAAATAAATAAATAAATAAATAAAATCATCTCTTGAATGGAGGGTGAAAAAGGAGTATAACACGAGGACTTGGGGGAAAATATGCATTAGAAGGGAAGGAGAACATACTTAACATGCCAGTGGAAGATGAAATTCTAAATATCTGAGAATATTTTTGAGAACTATGTTTAATTCTCACTATAGAAAGATGTACCCTTTGAATGACATTAAAAATTCACTAGAAGAGTGAAGAATAATAGTTAAAATGTCACATAAGTAACAAGAGTCTCAAAACATAAAGTGTTCTAAAAGTTTAAAGTCCGTATTTGAGATAGAGGAGAGAATAAATAATAGTTCATTAATTAGACTTTATTATGTGAAAAGACTTTTCTAAAATTCTTCCATAATAATTGAAGATATAAATTACAATAATTAAAAGTTACAAAAGAATAAAAGCATTAAAATAAATTGTGACAATTTTAAAAAAGAGTAAAGTTGAAAATTATTTAATTTTTAATCCCAATAATCCGAAAGTGATTTTATCAATGTCCTAAGAAAATTAAAATAAAAACAAACTTAATAATGTAAAAGAAGGGAGGTTTCCGCCGGGCTGGGGGAGGGAGCTAGGGCTTCTCTGGGGACTCAGTAGTGAGAAGCATGGACCTTGGCGGGCCCCAGGCTTTCCCGGACGGTGCCGCGATCCCCCGCCCACGCCTCCGGCATGGTGCTGCTGGCTGGGACTCGGCCGCAGGGTGGCGAGGCGCGCTGCATGATCCCGCCACCGCCATCCCCACTCCTAGGCGCGCAGGTCGAGGAGGACCGCACTGAATTCAAAGAGTTCCAGGACTTCTCCAGTCTGCCCGACACTCGCAGCGTCGCCTCTGACGACTCTTTGTACCCTTTCCAGGACGAGGAGGAGCACGGCGTCGAGGGCGTGGAGAGCGTACCGGAGGAGGGCATCCTGGAGGCGTGGGGCAGCTGCGGACGCTGGTGCGGTGTGGGGTGAGCTTTAAGAAGGCGCAGGAGACTGACCACAATGGCTGGACGGGCCTTAATGTCGCCTGATACCACGACTTTGTGGATATACCGTGGTGGCCTTAGCTGAGTACCCCCACATTGATGTCAACTGGCAGGACAGGGAGGGGAACGCAGCCCTAATCATAGCTGCACAGGCAGGAACTGCCCCTGGCCCCATGGGCACAGTTGCCTTAGACACTGGCTCTCAGCCTTGCCCTTCCTGCGTCAGCATCACCTGGGCTGGTTCATTTGAGCTTTAACACAGATCTGGTGGAAACGGGCTGCCAGGCCCTGCCGCTGGAGTCTTTCTTTGAATAGGCCTGGGGTGGGGCCCAAGAATGGGCAGAAGAACAGGCTTCCTGGTGAGGCTGATACCGCTGGCCCAGGGATCCCACGTTGAGGACGGAGGGCTTTGAGTTTTCATGCCTGATGATGGCCAGGAACCCTTCTCAGTAGGCATTGAAGACCAGCAGAGTCCCAGACCCCAGGAGAGATGTCGTCAGACGGACACAGGCATCACGGAATTAAAGTGAAAATGAAGAAAGGAGCTGAGCATCTGTTTCATGACTTCCCTGCGTTGTTTTACTAAAGAAGCTGTTCTGGCCCAGTCAGGGCAGGCTATCATCACCAACTACTTGTTGAACTATGTCCTGGGTCTTGACCTTGAAGGAGGGATGAGTTTGGGTTGAAAACCGCCATGCAGGGTCGAACCGATCACATCGGAGCCCTGAGCTAGCAGGGGCGGGTGTCCACACGAGGGTCCCTGCCGTGGGATGTCGCCAGAGGAGTGGCCACTTACACGTCCGCCTCATGCAGAGGCTCTTGGAGCACCCCTGCCAGGAGCGGTTGGGGGAAAAGTACCAGCTTGAGCTGCCTCCGCTCCACGAGAGGGCGCAGAAGCCCGAGGGCTCCAAAAACTGCCTGCAGAGGGTCAGGGACTGCGAGCTGTCCGCGCTGACGCCGCGCGCCGTGCGTGGCCCAGAGGACCGGGGCGCCCTGGACCACATAGTCAGGATGACCACCAGCCTCTAACAGCACCGCCGTGGCCTTCGCGTGCCAGACCGTGTGCCCCGAGAGCACCCTGTGCGTGGGGAAGAGGCGGCTGGCGGTGCAGGAAATCCTGGCGACTCAGGAAATTCTGGCGGCGTGGCGTGGGGTCGGTGGGGGCGGCAGGCGCAGGTGGCGGGCGAAACGGAGGGCGCAGAGCAGCACAAGCGGCCTGGCCTAGAGGCGGCGGGCTCCCGTGAGGAATCCCCAAGAGCCGGCCTCCCACCTGCCCCGCTGCCGGGGTCCTGGGGCTCTGCCGACCCCTCCCCGCGGAAGGCTAGCCTCCTGCCCCTGCAGCGCCTGCGGCGGAGCAGCTTGTGGCCAGGCACGGTGGTGCCCCGGGTCCGCCTCAGCAAGGCACCCGGGCCCACCTTCCAGCCCAAGAGGCCAGCGCGGAAGGGCAGCACCAAGGACAGCGGCCACCTGCGGATACCCAAGTGGCCTAACAAGGTGGCCAAGGAGGAGAAACCGGAGGCGGAGGAGGCCGAGAAGAAGCGCCAGGCCAAGGTGCAGGAGAAGCGCCCGCTGCTTTGGAAGAAGAGGACGTGAGAGTCCGCGGGTGCTTGACACGGTGTGAGGGCAGGGCAAGGCCACGGGGCTGGGCACCATGGCAGCTCCCGGGACCACCGGGCCGCGTGTATTTCCGCGCTGTCTCTCTAGGATGCTCCCAGGAAGGGGCTGGGGGAGCCACATCGATTCGCCTGACAGCAGCCACCCTAGCAATCAGTACACCTAGCGGGCATGTTGCCTAAAAGGCTCCCTTTAGAGAACCTCAATTAAGATGTTTTTAAAGATCAATTTATTAGGCCGGGCGCTGTGGCTCAAGCCTGTAATCCCAGCACTTTGGGAGGCCAAGGCAGGCGGATCTCCTGAGGTTGGGAGTTTGAGACTAGCATGACCAACATGGAGAAACCCCGTCTCTACTACAAATACAAAATTAGCTGTGCATGGTGGCACAACTACTCGGAAGGCTGAGGCAGGAGAATCGCTTGAACCCTGGAGGCAGAGGTGGCAGGCAGCCAAGATCGTGCCATTGCACTCCGGCCTGGGCAACGAGAGCCAAACTCTGTCTCAATTAAAAAAAATCAATTTATTAAAGGGTATTTTCTGTGTAATTTTGTATTTTTAATCGTTATCCAATTTGCCAATTTTTACAAGTTATAGGACCCCTTGTATCCAAGGCAGCTTTAATACGCTTGCCTGAAGACCTTTTATTTAAAATACTGTTCCTAGCAATAAATATTTATGATATCTGTAGGAGTTTACACAGAAATCATGGGATTCTCTCCTTTTGGGCTGTTTGCTTTGGTCTTTTCTTCTCATCATGGGTGCACGTGCACACTGGGTGTTTTTATTAATTAGATTAAGTGATGCTGGATATTTCTATTTGTTGGAAGGATTGACTCGTTCAGCCACATGATCAAGTGAGACAGAGAGATCAGATTTTATTGTTTCTTTTTAAAAAGTGTTACCCATACCTCATATATTGGGGAAAGACTTTTATCGTCAAATTATAAAACAATGCAAAGATAAGCATGTATGTATTGCTAGAATTAAAGTCATTTTAAGCAAGGAGTTTCAGATAAACTGGATACAAAATCTTTAACACATTAAAAAAAGATATGAGACAAACGTGTCATTTGATAAAATGGGGGAAATATAATAAATGATTACCAGAAATACAAAATTAAGCCATATATGCGCTCAAGTAAATCGAATCCAGGCATCCTTAAAGTGTAATAAAGGATGCAACAAGAGTAAGGAGCCCAGAATGATGCAAATTAAAGGAATGGGGAGGAGGTGATGTTTACAACAAGCAAAGAGAATGCAGTGGGAAGCAAACATATTTTAGGCAAAT
Organism: Homo sapiens; assembly: GCF_000001405.40. Taxonomy (NCBI): domain Eukaryota; kingdom Metazoa; phylum Chordata; class Mammalia; order Primates; family Hominidae; genus Homo; species Homo sapiens. The sequence goes on along the minus strand of NC_000011.10, from coordinate 49,046,958 downwards.
TCTCCTGGAGTGGACCAGGCAGCCCTCTCTTCCAGACTCAGTTCCAAAGAGTCCCTTATGTGGGTATTTCTTTTATTTTTCCTTTGAGGACTGCACTTGGTGTTTAGTTCAACCTCATGTGGACCTCATGGAATTTCCAAGATGTGGGGCCTTGGCATTGTGGCACCTTCCTGCTACACGTACCTAATTCACAGCATTACCAAGTCACCATGAGCCCTACCCTCACCTATGTCAGCTGAGGACTCAGCCAGGCAGTGCCACATGGTCTCCCAGGCATGCTTCTCCAAGCTGGCTATCCCTGCTATGAAAATTCTCAAGGCACTGGTCCAGGGAGATGAGCCCTGGGCCTGTCCTAAAGCTCTATAGGTGATTGCACTACAGCCCACATGGAGAGCTGCAGCTCTAACTCAGGGATTTTGAGAGGCCTCAGTCACCTTTAAGTGGCCACTTTGTGGAGCTCCCACAAAGGGCTCCACCTTCCCAAGAACGTCTAATTGTCGTTGGAATAGCCAGGGTTAGGCAGCTTCTGCTCGGGTTGATGTGGCATCTGACCCTTGTTGGGTTGCCAGGCATTCCTTCCTGTTTCCGCCATGGGAAGTTAAAAATCATTTAAAAATCAAACTTGGGTTCCAAGGTGGCCGAATAGGAACAGCTCCAGTCTACAGCTCCCAGCGTGAGCGACACAGAAGATGGGTGATTACTACATTTCCAACGGAGGTACTGGATTCATCTCACTGGGGCTTGTCAGACAGTGGGTGCAGGACAGTGGGTGCAGCCCACCCAGCATGAGCTGAAGGAGGGTGAGGCATCACCTCACCCAGGAAGTTCGAGGGGTCAGGGAATTCCCTTTCCTAGCCAAGGGAAGCTGTGAAAGATGGCACCTGGAAAATCGGGTCACTCCCACCCTAATACTGCGCTTTTCCAATGGTCTTAGCAAACGGCACACCAGGAGATTATATCCTGCGTCTGGTTCAGAGGGTCCCACGCCAACAGAGCCTCACTCATTGCTAGCACAGCAGTCTGAGATCAAACTGCAAGGCAGCAGTGAGGCTGGGGGAGGGGCACCCACCATTTCTGAGGCTTGAGTATGTAAACAAAGCGGCCTGGAAGCTTAAACTGGGTGGAGCCCACTGCAGCTCAAGGAGGCCTGCCTGCCTCTGTAGACTCCACCTGTGGGGCCAGGGCATAGCTGAACAAAAGGCAGCAGAAACCTCTGCAGACTTAAATGTCCCTGTCTGACAGCTTTGAAGAGAGCAGTGGTTCTCCCAGCACAGAGTCTGAGATCTGAGAACAGACAGACTGCCTCCTCAAGTTGGTCCCTGAGTAGCCTAACCAGGAGGCACCCCCCAGTAGGGGCAGACTGACACCTCACATGGCCACTTACCCCTCTGAGACAAAGCTTCTAGAGGAACGATCAGGCAGCAACATTTGCTGTTCAGCAATATTCACTGTTCTGCAGCCTCTGCTGCTGATACCCAGGCAAACAGCGTCTGGAGTGGACCTCCAGCAAACTCCAACAGACCTGCAGCTGAGGGTCCTGACTGTTAGAAGGAAAACTAACAAACAGAAAGGACATCCACACCAAAACCCCATCTGTACATCACCAGCATCAAAGCCCAAAGGTAGATAAAACCACAAAGATGGGGAAAAAGCAGAGCAGAAAAACTGAAAATTCTAAAAATCAGAGCACCTCTCCCCCTCCAAAGGAATGCAGATCCTCACCAGCAATGGAACAAAGCTGGATGGAGAATGATTTTGACAAGTTGAGAGAAGAAGTCTTCAGACGATCAAACTTCTCCAAGCTAAAGGAGGAAATTCGAATCCATTGCAAAGAAGCTAAAAACCTTGAAAAAAGATTAGATGAATGGCTAACTAGAAAAACCAATGTAGAGAAGTCCTTAAATGACCTGATGGAGGTGAAAACCATGGCAGGAGAACTACGTGATGAATGCACAATCTTCAGTAGCCAATTTGATCAACTGGAAGAAAGGGTACCAGTGATTGAAGAACAAATGAATGAAATGAAGTGAGAAGAGAAGTTTAGAGAGAAAAGAGTAAAAAGAAGTGAACAAAGCCTCCAAGAAATATGGGACAATGTGAAAAGACCAAATCTATGTCTGATTGGTGATGAAAGTGATGGGGAGTATGGAACCAAGTTGGAAAACACTCTGCAGGATATTATCCAGGAGAACTTCCCCAACCTAGCAAGGCAGGCCAACATTCAAATTCAGGAAATACAGAGAATACCACAAAGATACTCCTCAAGAAGAGCAACTCCCAGATACATAATTGTCAGATTCACCAAAGTTGAAATGAAGGAAAAAATGTTACAGGCAACCAGACAGAAAGGTCAGGTTACCCACAAAGGGAAGCCCGTCAGACTAACAGCAGAACTCTCGGCAGAAACTCTACAAGCCAGAAGTGAGTGGGGGCCAATATTCAACATTCTTAAAGAAAAGAATTTTCAACCCGGAATATCATATCCAGCCAAACTAAGCTTCATACGTGAAGGAGAAATAAAATCCTGTATAGACAAGCAAATGCTGAGAGATTTTGTCACCACCAGGCCTGCCCTACAAGAGCTCCTAAAGGAAGCACTAAACATGGAAAGGAAGAACCAGTACCAGCCACTGCAAAAACATGCCAAATTGTAAAGACCATCAATGCTAGGAAGAAACTGCATCAACTAATGAGCAAAATAACCAGCTAACATCATAATGACAGGATCAAATTCACACATAACAATATTAACCTTAAATGTAAATGGGCTAAATGCTCCAATTAAAAGACACAGACTGGCAAATTGGATAAAGAGTCAAGACCCATCAGTGTGCTGTATTCAGGAAACCCATCTCATGTGCAGAGACACACATAGGCTCAAAATAAAAGGATGGAGGAAGACCTACCAAGCAAATGGAAAACAAAAAAAGTCAGGGGTTGCAATCCTAGTCTCTGATAAAACAGACTTTAAACCAACAAAGATCAAAAGAGACAAAGAAGGCCATTACATAATGGTAATGGGATCAATTCAACAAGAGGAGCTAACTATCTTAAATATATATGCACCCAATACAGGAGCACCCAGATTCATAAAGCAAGTCCTGAGAGACCTACAAAGAGACTTAGACTCCCACACAATAATAATGGGAGACTTTAACACCCCACTGTTAACATTAGACTGATCAATGAGACAGAAAATTAACAAGTATATCCAGGAATTGAACTCAGCTCTGCAACAAGTGGACCTAATAGACATCTACAGAACTCTCCACCCCAAATCAACAGAATATACATTCTTCTCAGCACCACATCGCACTTATTCCAAAATTGACCACATAGTTGGAAGTAAAGCACTCCTCAGCAAATGTAAAAGAACAGAAATTATAACAAACTGTCTCTCAGACCACAGTGCAATCAAACTAGAACTCAGGATTAAGAAACTCACTCAAAACCGCTCAAATACATGAAAACTGAACAACCTGCTCCTGAATGACTACTGGGTACATAACGAAATGAAGACAGAAATAAAGATGTTCTTTGAAAACAACGAGAACAAAGACACAACATACTGGAATCTCTGGGACACATTTAAAGCAGTGTGTAGAGGGAAATTTATAGCACTAAATGCCCACAAGGGAAAGCAGGAAAGATCTAAAATTGACACCCTAACATCACAATTAAAAGAACTAGAGAAGCAAGAGCAAACACATTCAAAAGCTAGCAGAAGGCAAGAAATAACTACGATCAGAGCAGAACTGAAGGAAATAGAGACACAATGAAACCTTCAAGAAATCAGTGAATCCAGGAGCTGTTTTTTTGAAAAGATCAACAAAATTGATAGACTGCTAGCAAGACTAATAAAGAAGAAAAGAGAGAAGAATCAAATAGACGCAATAAAAAATGATAAAGGGGATATCACCACTGATCCCACAGAAATACAAACTACCATCAGTGAATACTATAAACACCTCTACGCAAATAAACTAGAAAATCTAGAAGAAATGGATAAATTCCTGGACACATACACTCTCCCAAGACTAAACCAGGAAGAAGGTGAATCCCTGAATAGACCAATAACAGGTTCTGAAATTAAGGCAATAATTATGAGCCTACAAACCAAATAAAGTCCAGGTCCAGACGGATTCACAGCCGACTTCTACTAGAGGTACAAGGAGGAGCTGATACCATTCCTTCTGAAACTATTCCAATCAATAGAAGAAGAGGGAATCCTCCCTAACTCATTTTATGAGGCCAGCATCATCCAGATACAAAAGCCTGGCAGAGACACAACAAAAAAAGAGAATTTTAGACCAATATCCCTGATGAACATCGATGCAAAAATTCTCAATAAAATACTGACAAACAGAATCCAGCAGCACATCAAAAAGCTTATCTGCCAAGAGCAAGTGGGCTTCATCCCTGGGATCCAAGGCTGGTTCAACATATGCAAATCAATAAATGTAATCCAGCATATAAACAGAACCAAAGACAAAAACCACATGATTATCTCAATAGATGCAGAAAAGGCCTTTGACAAAATTCAACAGCCCTTCATGCTAAAAACTCTCAATAAATTAGGTATTGATGGGACGTATCTCAAAATAATAAGAGCTATTTATGACAAACCCACAGCCAATATCATACTGAGTGGGCAAAAACTGGAAGCATGCCCTTAGAAAACTGGCACAAGACAGGGATGCCCTTTCTCACCGCTCCTATCCAACACAGTATTGGAAGTTCTGGCCAGGGCAATCAGGCAAGAGAAAGAAATAAAGGGTATTCGATTAGGAAAAGAGGAAGTCAAATTGTCCCTGTTTGCAGATGACATGATTGTATGTTTAGAAGACCCCATCGTCTCAGCCCAAAATCTCCTTCAGCAACTTCAGCAAAGTCACAGGGTACAAAATCAATGTGCAAAAATCACAAGCATTCTTACACACCAGTAACAGAGAAACAGAGAGCCAAATCATGAGTGAACTTCCATTCACAATTGCTTCAAAGAGAATAAAATATCTAGGAATCCAACTTAAAAAGATGTGAAGGACCTCTTCAAGGAGAACTGCAAACCAATGCTCAATGAAATAAAAGAGGATACAAACAAATGGAAGAACATACCATGCTCAGGGATAGGAAGAATCAATATCATGAAAATGGCTATACTGCCCAAGGTAATTTATAGATTCAATGCCATCCCCATCAAACTACAAATGACTTTCTTCACAGAACTGGAAAAAACTACTTTAAGATTCATATGGAACCAAAAAAGAGCCCTCACGGCCAAGTCAATCCTAAGCCAAAAGAACAAAGCTGGAGGCATCACACTACCTGACTTCAAACTATACTACAAGGCTACAGTAGCCAAAACAGCATCGGACTGGTACTGAAACAGAGACATAGACCAATGGAATAGAACAGAGCCCTCAGAAATAATGCCACCTATCTACAACCATCTGATCTTTGACAAATCTGACAAAAACGAGAAATGGGGAAAGGATTCCCTATTTAATAAATGGTGCTGGGAAAACTGGCTCGCCATATGTAGAAAGCTGAAACTGGATCCCTTCCTTACACCTTATACAAAAATTAATTCAAGATGGATCAAAGACTTAAATGTTAGACCTAAAACCATAAAAACCCTAGAATTAAACCTAGGCAATACCATTGAGGACATAGGCATGGGCAAGAACTTCATGTCTAAAACACCAAAAGCAATGACAATAAAAACCAAAATTGACCAATGGGATCTAATTAAACTAAAGAGCTCCTGCACAGCAAAAGAAACCATCATCAGAGTGAACAGGCAACCTACAGAATGGGAGAAAATTTTTGCAATCTACTCATCTGACAAAGGGCTAATATCCAGAATCTACAAAGAACTCAAACAAATTTACAAGAAAAAACAAACAACCCCATCAAAAAGTGGGCGAAGGAGATGAACAGACACTTCTCAAAAGAAGACATTTATTCAGCCAACAGACACATGAAAAAATGTTCTTCATCACTGGCCATCAGAGAAATGCAAATCAAAACCACAATGAGATACCATCTCACACCAGTTAGATTGGCGATCATTAAAAAGTCAGGAAACAACAGGTGCTGGAGAGGATGTGGAGAAGCAGGAACACTTTTACACTGTTGGCGGGACTGTAAACTAGTTCAACCATTGTGGAAGACAGTGTGGTGATTCCTGAAGGATCTAGAACTAGAAATACCATTTGACCCAGCTATCCCATTACTGAGTATATACCCAAAGGATTATGAATCATGCTGCTATATATAAAAACACATGCACACGTATGTTTATTGTGGCACTATTCACAATAGCAAAGACTTGGAACCAACCGAAATGTCCAAAAATAAGAGCCTGGATTAAGAAAATGTGGCACATATACAACATGGAATACTATGCAGCTATAAAAAAGGATGAGTTCGTGTCCTTTGTAGGGACATGGATGAAGCTGGAAACCATCATTCTCAGCAAACTATCACAAGGACAAAAAAAACGAACAGTGCATGTTCTCACTCATAGGTGGGAATTGAACAATGAGATCACTTGGACACAGGAAGGGGAACATCACACATAGGGGCCTGTTATGGGGTGGGGGGAGGGGGAGGGATAGCATTAGGAGATATACCTAATGTAAATGAGGAGTTAATGGGTGCAGCACACCAACATGGCACATGTATACATATGTAACAAACCTGCACGTTGTGCACATGTACCCTAGAACTTAAAGTATAATAAAAAAAAATCAAACTTTCCAGAGAAGACATCTCCAGAGAAGACACACTGAATATGCACCTGCTAGGCTTCAGGCACCCAATAATTACTGCTTACCTAGATATCCGCAAATCTTCTAGACATGAGACTATTCATAGCAGATTCTGGTGTGTATCACATTTGTAATGAAGCACTTCATCCTCACTTACTCTAATAAAAATACTTTAAACTTACTTCCCAAGGCACTTTTGTCTAGTCTAAGCAAACATGTAGCTATCCCAGCTTTCTCAGTTATTTTAAATAAATCAATATTTAAAATACCTATAATTAGCGTATTTATAATATATTGGTTTGTGTTATATCAAGTAATTATAGTTTGTTTTATTATGAGACAGTCAGTCATTCTGTCACAGGCTGGACTGCAGGGCACCACCATGGCTCACTGCAGCCTGGATCTTCTGGGCACAAGCCATCCTGCTGCATCAGCCTCCTGAGTAGCTGGGACTATAGCATGTGCCATCATGCCAGGCTGATTTCTAAAGGAATGTTTAGTAGACATGAGGTCTCACTATGTTGCCTCCACTGGTCTGGAACTCCTGGCCACAAGCCATTCTCACACCTTGGTCTCCCCAAGTGCTGGGATTGGAGGTGTGTGCCACCATGCCTGGGCTCCTTTTTTATTCTACTACATTATGCATTATTTGACATTTTGGGTCTTAAAAGTTATAATTCCACAGCGTTCATGTAATTATGGAACCCATAAAGAGCTTACAATTACCAACATATTATATACATGGAAAAGTCTTTTCTTAACTTCAATTTTATCGTTTAAATTGGCATATGTTTATTAACTTGTTTCTGAGATTCATCAGCTTTGTTGCATTCAGTGAGTTATTTATTGTTTTATAGGATTATTTTGCATAAATACACCAAATTTATTTAGCTATTCTACAGTTGAAGAATATTTTGGGTCTAATTTGGAGCTACTATAAAAATTGATGCAGTGAACAATATTGTGTATGTTGAAGTATATGTAGGCAATCAGTTGACTATATTTTAGAATTAGAATATCTAGCCCATAAGAAATGCTAATAATCAGTTTCCCAAAAGGGATATCCATTTACATCTCTCCAGCCATGAATAAATTTCATTTATTCTGTATCTTTGGCAACACACAATATTGTGTGTCTTTAAATTTTGGTATTTTTTATGGGGGCCTGTGGCACAACTGGTGGATTAATTCTTACTTTTGTAAGACTAATGAAAGTGAGCACTTTTTTATATTTGGCTAGTTATTTATGTATCCAATTCTGTAAAGTGTCTGTTCAGATATTTTAGCCAATCTTCTATTGAGTTCACTGTCTTTTATTTATTACAATTTAAGTATTCATCATATATATGTATTATATTTTACTTTATGTATGTTGGGGTGAATATCTTTCTCCACTACTAGTTTGCATAATGTTTTTTGAAACACAGAAGTCATCATTATCAATATAAATGAACTAATTGTTTTAATTATTAATTTGTGCCCTGGTTAAGAAATCCTTATGAGAATATTGTATCAGGTTCCCCTTCCTTTCAGGACTTCAAACTATCTGGAAATGACTGTGTATGGTTTGAGGTAGGAGTCAATATTTAGTTACTTTAAAAAAAAATTCAATTAATCCAGCATTGGTCTGATCACATTGTGTATTTCAATGTAGACAAGCACACTAATAATGAAGGATTATTCATATCTGTGGTGAGAATTGCAAAATAAAGCCCAGCATAGAAGGTCAAATAATATTACCTCAAAGGATAGATTAATACAATGAAGCCTGATGGATAAGTGTAATATAGTTAGATAAAGAGGAAGAAAAACATTTCCCAGTTATCATTGAGACTTCACTCCAAGTTTTTTGCATGAAGCAAAAGATCCTGACTGTCTTCCATTGATTTTTACTTCATTCAGACATGTCTGCCATCTATTATTTCACTCAGTGACAGTCAGAAATAAAGAAAAAAAGAGAATATACTGTATGCCATGATCATGAATAATGATTTTTCAAAAATTATTTAATAAAGAACCAATACATATACTTTTAGTGTTTTCAGCATATTTAATAGTAACACAATAAATGAGTTTTGATAACATTAGAAGGCAATTCAAGATATAAAATAGAGCCTATTTGTCCTGTATGTTAAGGCACAAGGAAGAGGACTTCCTGGGATAAAGGGGTTCCCACAGCATGTGAACACATTTCTGATTTGTCTCTGGTCAGAAGTGAATACAGCAAAAGATAGGCCTGAGAGGAGGTGAGAAAGAGCAATTAGGGATGGTGTATATTAGGGAGCTTTGATTAACATCAACAAAGCTCACAGTCTTAGCCTCACAATCCAGGAATAATCCTACTCGGCTGGTAGGTCTTGGGATATATTGCAGCAGAAGTGGGGAGGTGGTAAAGAGACTGCGTTGAATGTCATTCTTAACACACCCAAGAAGAAAGAGTCCATCCTCTCCATCTATCTTCTCATTCTGATTCTTCTCTTTCCAATACATATTACAGACACCAAAAGCCCAATTCCAGGAGTCCCCTACATGGACCTCCCAGTAATATTTGCCCGAGGTGAAAGTCTGAGCACCCCATGCAAGAAAACTTCTAGGTGTTGCAGTGAAATAGGGTACATCTTGATGGTCACATCCAATACACATGCTTCTCAAAATTTCACATAGAAAGATATCACTGTTGGCTTCTTCATGATGCAGAGTAATATGCACTGCAAAAAAAAGAGAAAACATGCATAGACGTGTAAATAAGAAAAAAATAATTGTCTATCAAGAAGTTACTTTACCAGCAAATGTAAAGTCATAAAAAGTTTTGCTTGTAACTTCTAGTAAAGTATAGAGATGGTTAATATTATATACAAGACAAACAGAACCCTAACCACAGATATTATGTTTTTTTGAAAACTTACATATTGAGAGCCAAATGTGAGACCAACTTCTTTCAATCCAATTTTCAAAGTAAAATTTATACATTGTATGCCCTAAATGTAATGCTGTTATCAAGATCATTATTTAGAAATGTTTCTTATTCTTAAAAACTAGTGCTATCATTTTGGAAAGAATGTGAATGTGAAGATTTTCACTTACTCTAGAACTGCTCTAGGTATCTGGATAAAAGTCCATATTTACATGTTATAAGTGATAATTTAAAGCAGATCTCTGCAAAATCTTTGACCAGTCTCTCTGCTGTCCTCCATGCTAGCTCTGGGCTGAAGCTGGATTTTAGACTTAACATGTAGCTCTTCATATTGCAATTAAACTGAACTTATTTTCATTTGTAATTTTACTTATATTCACAAAATGATTTCTTCCTTTTAGCTTTACCTATTAATTCAAATGTTTGCAATATATGAATAATATATACACATTAAAAAAATACAAAACCCCCAAGAATCTCCAGAAAACTATATTCCCCCAAAGAACAGTTCTTAGCAGTTCAAATGAATACACTAAAGAAATGTACAATTTTGTATTTAACATTAAATAATTCACCATTCTGAGCATTATTTCATTGGCTCCTTTTTTAAATTTTCTACACTACTCCTTTTTCCTATTATATAACTCAGTACATATTATGCCAGAAAGTATTTCTTTTTCACTATCTTTCAAACTTAATGCTATAAATCTGACTGTAAATACAGACACGGATACCAAAGGGTTGCATGGTTATATTGTTCACTTATGTCTTAAAAGAAGTAAAATATTTGATAAAATATGAAATATTACCTATGTGATCCTAACAATAATAATATTTAGATAGTGGGAGTGCTGCCTGTGGGTGGAGACTTACCTCGGAATTGGTTGAGCCTGTCCCTCAGTCCAGTGATGGGCCCTGCACTGAGCTCTGGATTCAGAGGCTGGGGCATGTGCAGCAGCACGGACTCACTCCTGCAAGGAAAAACCTGCAGTTACAACATCTACAGCCATAAAATAAATAAAAATCACTATTTGTATGTAAAAGACATTTCATGAGAATCCTTTGAATCTACACATTTGATAATTCAAAAATTATTCCTTCCTTTTGCAAATTAATTCTTTACAGTTTCTAAATTTTTAAGCATGATGGAAGAATCTAAGCCAGAATTCAATCTGATCCTTCTTTTTTTTTGCCCCAAATGTGTAAGGTTCCTTAGCTTTATGGCCTTGAGAATATTTAGAAACGAAATTCTGAGTTCCACTTCTTGGCAGACTCCCCTGACATCTTTGTCTGAAATAGCGGGGTTCTGGGGAGACTGATGCTTCCACTGCTTCCTTCTCAAGATAAAGAATGGAAACTTGTTCTCTCCCCTTTTAGCAAAGAACTTCCCTAGAGACTTATACAGTTCTAACACTCCAGTTTTTTTCGATCTATTTTTCAGAACTGTTAACTGATATGTATATATGTATAAAAAACAAAACATCAACACTTTTTCACTGCTAAAATACTTCCTCCTCTTCTCTCCTGCTTCCTCTGGTGACTTTCTCACCATCCACAAAACAAAACTCTTATCTTTCTCCTGTGCAGGCTTTCAAGCAATAAAACAAAATCAGGGGCCGGGCGCGGTGGTTCACGCCTGTAATCCCAGCACTTTGGGAGGCTGAGGCGGGCGGATCACGGGGTCAGGAGATAGAGACCATCCTGGCTAACATGGTGAACCCCGTCTCTACTAAAAATACAAAAAATTAGCCGGGTGTGGTGGCGGGCGCCTGTAGTCCCCGGTACTCGGGAGGCTGAGGCAGGGGAATGGTGTGAACCCGGGAGGCGGAGCTTGCAGTGAGCCGAGATCGCGCCATTGCACTCCAGCCTGGGCGACAGAGCCAGACACCGTCTCAAAAAAAAAAAAAAAAAAAAAAAAAAAAAAAAAAAAAATCAGGAATCAAATTGTTTGTTTTAGTTCACTCTTCTTTTATTCATTTATTTACTTCGTGGCCTTGTCTTTTAAGGTGTGGGAACGAAAGTAGATGCAAAAAAAAAGTGGTATCAATATCTTAATTATTTATGCCATGACTTTATGCCATGACTTTAATAAAGCCTGCTTTGATAGTCGTGGAATCTTAAAGAACATATGCTAAAATCTAGGTACACACTCACCTGTGTAATATGTCTCCAAAAGCCTGAAAAAAAAAAAAAAAAGAGAGATTTAGTGCATTTCACAAGATGCATCTTTCACTAAGTTCAGTGTGAGATTTGTACTCAGTTTCTGAAGATATTATTCCCCTACCATCTTCTCTTCTGGAAAGTATTTTCTATTTCATTTCTTCTGTAATGAAAAACCCAGTCAGTTGTATTGTTATTAATTAACGTCCTGGGAAAGTCTGAGTCTTGAAGACATTCTCTAAACAAGTGAAGGGAGAAGAGGCCCAGAAGGTCTATGCTCTGTGGTAACCACGAAAAACCTACTCAGTCATCTTTAACTGAACCTGTTACCCAAATGAGTGGACCCCAAAATAACGTTAATGCAAACCTAGATTCCCAAAACTTCTGATCTTGCCATGTTTACAAATTAACCTAAATGTAAATGAATCACTCACTATTCTATACATGTTTAACAACCCAAAGTATATTATTGAATTAGATGGGGAATATTTCTTGGGGCTGTTACCTTGACCATTCCACAAAGTTTTGTGGCTGGTGGATAAAGTAGGAGGGACCTTTGGCCTGGTAGAATCCCTTAGTGGGGCTATACTCTCCCAACAAAGTAGCATTAGTTATGTGAATGTGTTTTTGGAAACACATCATGGAAATAAAATTAGGGAGATGGATTTCAGCCATGAGGAAAATACTTATACATGTGAATATTCAAAAACCTGAAACCACATGGCGAGTTTGTACCTGAAGTAGCTCCACATCTGGTTTATGGCACATTTCGTTCAGCTCCTCATACATTCCTCTTAAAATCTCCCTCCTATGAGCCATTTTGGCTTTACTTAAATGAAGTCGATGAAAAATATCTTTCCCCTTCTTTTTCAGCATCTCCAAATTATGTTTTTCTTCTTCATGGTGAAATGCAGGCATCTTCTGATACTCAGCTCTAATTGCTTCTAGCCTTAAATTCACATAATCCTGCAGTGATAATGGGTTAGTCAAAAGAGAAATGTATATATCCATCTCCTATTAAATCTCACTGATTCCTTTTGTCTCTCGAATGTCCAATAGTTCAAACCTCTGTCTTGCCAGTTCTTAGAATCTACAAATTTTGTTCCTTTCCTTTTTTCTGCGTAAAGATCAACATAGCTGTATCTGACCAATTACATTAAATTTATTCAAGATAATGTGTTTTCTAAGATAGTTGAAAATAAAAAAACACAATTTGAATTTCGCTATTCCAACCCATATTTATGGAAAAGTAAGAAGAGTTCATGCTTAAGAGTTGGAGTATAGGGCTATAGTTACTAGAAAGGAAACAATTATTTCTATTTCTGAGATATGCAACAGGTTGCTTAAACTCATTATGTGTAAAATGACCTTAGACTAGCATGTCCAGCTAAGTGCATTTCACCCAGCAAAACCTATCCTAATAAGGCTGCATTTATGATTTGGCCATCTTTGTCTCCCTGAATTCATTTCCTTCTATTCTTTTTCTAAGTCATCCCAATCTGAAACATAGACTTCTTTGTGGTTCCTCTGGCCTCCAAATATACACAAACTCAAAATTACTGCATATGCTATTCTCTCCAACTAGAATTACATATATATGTATACAAACACACACACATACATACATACATACATATATATATATACACACAACCACACACACATACATACATATACACACTCATGGTCCACATATATATCCACACACACATTTGTGTTCCCCCTCCTCTTCAAAACTTTGTTTCAATTTGAATTTTTCAGTGAGTCTTTTTTCTGACCACCCTATTTAAAACTCAAACACTAATCTCCAGTTTCTGGCCTCCATTGTCCTTTTCTACTTCCCTGCTTGATTATTCTCCAACAAAAAACCTACCACACTCAAATACATCATGTATTGCATATATTTGTGTATTGACCATTTGACTCTCTTATTTGGATTGTATGATTTGTGAGGACAAAGGTGCTTCCTTTCTTCTTTACTAGTATATTTTCTAATTTAATATTCAACGTAGACTAGGTTCTCATGAAATGCTTTTCAACAAACTAATATTAGCTATCATTCCCTCAAAATATACATCCACAAAGAGAAAATTATTTTTAATGTTTTTCTGAAGTCCTCAGAGTTCTCCTTATATTTAGATACTAGTTCCCATATTTCTGGCATGTTTACATGTCTCCCTCAAGACACAAATCCGTATTTCTCACCACTTTTCTCATCGTATGTTATGTATTTTTCAATATTAATTAGTTGAGATTCTTAATTTCATGGTTTCCCTAGATTTGCCCTGTCACTTTTTCTGCCTCAAATTTTCCATACAATTCCAAATACTACTTGCACACTAGCATTCAGATTAATGCTGACTGACACTCAGAAGTTTCAGCTGAGCATTCCATGACTGCCAAATAACCCTTTTGCCTAACATTTATCCAACCAGCAAATATAGAATGCTGTGCGATGGCCCAGTTTCTTGGATCTGTTGGTGTATAACTATAGGTTTGTATGAAACAAACCAGCATGCTTTGGGTGACATCAGTAGTTTTCTTAGAAATCCTACCTAACAGGCATACTATTCTATATAAAAATGAGGCCACTTTTTCTCAATGTTTTCTCTCGCTTTTTTTTTCTTTTTTTTTTACTGAATCCCAGAAACATTACAGTTTGATATCCAGTTCCTATTTTAAGAGTCACCCATTTGCCCACCATAAGTTCCTGGAGAAGGTAGAGTAGTACAGGACTAACCTTCCAGCATCTGGTTCTGGTGGTTTCCACATTCAGGTTTCTGTGATTTTCACAAGCTTTTTCCCACAAAGACTGCATTTTCTGTAAAAGCTTCTCCTGCAAAAGAGCCATAAATTGAAGCACCAGTGCAGACCATGACATAGGGAGGGGCCCCAGAATGAGAGACAAATAAACCCCTAGTAAATGGCATTTCCTTTGTTTCCCTTCATGTTTGTCAAAGCCCAGAGGTTGGAAGCTAAGAAAGCCCAAACAGAGCTGCTTAAAGGGACTCAGAGTTTGTTTTATCCAATCTCCAAGAAAATAGACCCACAGGAATTTTATGTATCCTTTACAGAAATCGATCTTCAGAGCCATCACTTACCTGGTGTTCCTCAGCAGCCGACTCAATGGGACAGTGTCTGTGATCCCGGTGCTCCTGAGAGCTGGAGCACAGCAAACAGAGCAGGCTCCTGTCCACTTCACAGAACATCTTCTTTGTCTCCCTGTGAGTGCCACACATTTGCTCCTCAGAGCTCAGGAATAGCCAGAGACTGACTTTTCTAGCAAGAGAAGCCATCTTCTTGAAATGAATGTTGGTTTTGAGGTTTATCTGCCCTGTTGACTTTGTGCATTCAGAGCACTGGACAAGAAATGGGCTGTCTTTCCAGTTGAGGTAGAAACAAGGCCTGCAAAAGCTGTGCCCACAGTCTATGGTGACCGGGTCTATGAAGTAGTTCATGCAGATGGGGCAGATGAGTTCCCTCTGAAAGACCTGTAAGATTCCAGAATTCATGTTTCTGAGGAACAAAGAGAAACATGTCATTTTGGGGCCTGGGTTGATGAAAAGCTTCTAAACATGTGGAGATATGTGATAGTTATATTTTCTTCTCTTGACAGTGTTCATTAAAGTACAACAAACTATTTCTTCTGTTACAAACTTAAAAATTTACACATAGAGGGAGTCTCCTGGCTTTATAACAGATATTACTAACTAGAGCACTCACAGTCCCTTCTACTCCTAGTTCCTGTCTGTAGCATAATACGAACCTATTCAACTACCCATTTTCTGAACGTAGATCTGGAAATTGGGTTTTGATTCTAAGTGGTCAGAATAAATCATAGTTGTCCCTATTCTTCTTTCAATAACTGATGAATGACTATGAAAGAGTGGGAAAAAACTACCTGGGCCAAAGAAATATGAGAAGATGGCCAAAGAAATATGAGAAGATGGTTCTATGACATATTTTTATAGAGGGTCACAAAAGCCGGGCAGCAAACCACCATGGCACAAGTTTACCTACATAACAAGCCTGCAAGTCCTGCAGTTATCCCAGGACTTAAAATTAAATTAAATTAAAAACAAAGACCCAAATCAAAACAAAATTAAAAAAAAAAGCCCACCAACCAAATAAACAAGAAAAAGACTGCAATTAAACCAATCAAGGTTCACTAGTAGGGAAAAGAAAAATTATTAAAGATATTGGGTCTTTTTATTTTCTTGCGGATTAAATTAACTTCCCCTAGGGCTGTGCAAACTCTGAACTAACATATAGGAGGTTTTTGTTAAACTCAGAGAGGTGTAATTATATTTCCATGGTGTGATGGTGAATTTTAGGTATCAGTCTGACTGGATTAACCAATACCTAGGGAACTAGTGAAGCATTGTTTGTGGGTGAGTCTGTGAAGGTGTTTCTAGAGAAGAGAGATATGTGAGTTGGTGAGCTGAGTGGGAGCCTCATCTCTCAATGTGTGTGGGCACCATCCAGTCAGCTGACACCTCAGATATAAAGAAAAAGGCAGAAAAAAGGCAACTTCCTCCGTCTCTCTCCTGAAACTTGTTCTGAAGCTTTCAGACTTGAGCTTAGCCAGGATACCGGTATTCTCAGGACACCAGCTTAGAGACAGCCTATGTTGGAACTCTCTAGACTCCATAATCAAGCAAATTAATTTTCCTGATGAATTCTGTCCCATGTAGAATCATGTATAGCTTGTGGACAGATGTATGTTCTGAGAAATGTGTCAGGTGTTTTTAGTTTTTTTTGTTTTTCTTTTTTTTGAGACAGAGTATCCTTCTGTCACACAGGCTGAAATGCAGTGGCGTGATCTCGGCTCACTGTAACCTGCGCCTCCAGGTTCAGAGTGATTCTCCTGCATCAGGTTCCCAAGTACCTGGGATTACAGGAACGTGACACTAGGCCTGGCTAATTTTTGTATTTTTTTTAGTAGAGATGGGGTTTTGCCATCTTGGCCAGGCTGCACTTGAACTTCTGGCCTCAGGTTATCTGCCCGCTTTGGCTTTCCAAAGTGCTGGGATTATAGGCACGTGCCACAGTGCCCAGCCAGGTGGTTTTATTGTTTTAATATGATAGAATATACCACACAAATCTAGATGGTATAGCCTACTACACACCTATGGTATACACTATAGCCTATTGTTCCTACAATAGGCTACAAACCTGTACAGTATGTTCTGTACTGCATACTGTAGGCAACTGTAACACAATGATAACTATTTGTGTATCTAAACATAATTGAATACAGAAAAGGTACAGTAAACATATTGGTATTATAATCTTATGGGACCACCATATGTGGTTTGTGGCTGACTCAAATGGCCGATAAATGTATCAGCACACATATACGTATACATCCTATGGTTCTGTCTGGAGAACTCTGACTAATATAAAAACTATAATCTTTGTTTTGGCAATTTTAAGTCCTTTAGCATAAAGCAGCATAAAGCTGCTAGTTTAATATCACTTCTGAATTTAAGTGAAAGCAGTGAAAAATCTTAGAATTGCAAATATTTTCCAGAACTCATCTAAGACATTTTAAGAAATTTTTCACAGTTTAATAAGATTGAGATTCAAGTGAGATGACAATCACAATCACATACCAAATTAGGTATTATAAATTTACTTGTTCAAAAAATTGTGTTTTGATTTCTAAAGTAGGATATTTTGGGGAGCTTTCTCATTGTTTTAGTTTCACTATTTTGCATCGTTCATCATTACCTTACTAATTTAAAGTCAAGTCTAAAACCTGAATGTTATGAAAGCAAATAACCTCATCATTCATTAATGCCTTCTCAATTCAATTTGACAATATTAATACACTCATTATATACATATACACACACACCTATGTGTACATATATATATCAACTCCATATATTCATTATGAATACATATCTGTTGCAGCAAACACTAGATATTTTGTTTTTCAGAACTATATTAAACAATCATAGAAAGCACAAAATAACAATTAGTATCCTTATAATTCATAAAATCTATAGTAAGAACATGAGTTACAAATGGTATCATTGTGTAGATTTAAGATAATGAGATATTTTTAACACTCTAATTTATTATTGTGTAAAGGAAAGATGATATAATTTTATCAATATGTTTCACTCACCCCTGAGTTCTTTTAATGGTTCCCACAACGATTTTTCCAAAAATAATTTTGTTAAGTTCACCTCAACGTCAGAAGCTCATTCACTGCCGTACTGAATTTCAGAGGTCACCAAAATGCAGTTCTAAGTGCAGTCCTTCTCCTTCAGAGAAAACTGAGCTTGTCTCTTCTGTGTCCTTTTATAAGAATCTGTGGAGACCACACCCACCTCTTTATGGGTATTTAGAGCATTCAGAAAGGTGGAGACAAAGATGATTAGGTTTATGCAGTATTTAGAAGACACCTTTGCAGCTCTGATTAAATTATCATCACACTTGCATTCTGAACACCAGTGCCTGAATGAATCATATGTAACATAAATCCTATCAGAGCATACATAGGCTAGAAATTAACTAAGATGCATTTTATACTGTTTATTGAGTTTCTTCCATGATACAGGCATTCCTCTAAGTGCACATTTATTTATTCTAGAGAAAGGGTCTCCTTCTGGAGTGCAGTAGCATAATCATAGCTCCCTGCAGCCTTGAATTCAAAGTAATCCTCCTGCTTCAGCCTTCCAAGTAGCTAAGACTTTAGGCTCACACTATATCACCTGGCTAATTTTTTTTGTTGAAATTTTTGGTAAAGTCAGTGTATGACTCTGTAGCCCATGCTGTTCTCCAACTCCTGGCTTCAAGTGGTCCTCTGGTCTTGGCCTTCCAAAGTGCTAAGAGTACAGGTATAAACCACCTCATCCAGCTTAAATGCTGCTTTAGTACATTTATAGGATATTTCCAGAGAAGTCCAATGGAAGATAAAACTTTCCTTTTTGTTTTCTGTTTTCTACCACTCTAAGAGAAATCACTGATTAACCAAATAAACCCACTAACCTGGGGTCTCTCACTGAATTTACAAAACTTCACCAGTTTCATGGGTGAAAGATGAATTATTATTTTAATGTTTTTCTCCATATAGTGCATGATGTCCTACAATGACTAGGAGTGCACCATGGGAATTATTTTGGGGATTACACATAACTTTTAGGATATAGGCAAATTCACAAATACAGAATCCAAATGATAGAGATGGACTATATTTTTCTTTCTATACCAAATCTTTTTGTTGTTATATGAAAATTATTTTTTAAAAAAGAGAATTCAGAAGGGACTACTCAAATATCTTCTGATAGAGGAATTCTTTGCCAATGGTCCAGAAGACTTATGGTCAAGACTGTCAAAACAGTGAAGACAAATCTATCAGACCCAGGTCTGTCCAGGTTCAAAGACAAAAGCAGAACCCATAAGATATATGTATAGTTAGGGAGATTCACATATGAATTAAGTGCAAAGACTTGGCTTACCCAATTGTGGGGGCTGCTTAAGCAAATGTGAGATCCTGGGTACAGTCCATCAGGAAAAGAAATCCCCCGCTGGCTGGATCCCAGTGGTCATGAATCAAAGCTTTGGTTTAAAGTCAATAGGGGGCAACTGGAAGATTAGAGTCCCATTTGCCGTTTAAAATGTTGTTCAAGGAATGCCTATGTGTTTCTTTAAAGGACTTTCACTGATGAAGTCAGGCTTACTTGGGTACACTTCCTAGTCACAGGATTAGGATTTTTGCTTGCATCTGCAAAATGCCTTTCCAGCAGGTCCTAAGTGTTTCATTGAAGAATAATAAGGTATGTCTATGCCACAAAATGGCTACTGCCCTCATTTTCCTCTTTGTACATACATGTACTCAAGTTGACACATCATAAAATCATCCAGAGTTTATATTTCATTAAATACAAGGAATTGAACAATAGATTTTCTTGTTCTATTGTCAGTTTACTGTCCAAGACCACCAACTGACTGACCACCCTGTATGCACATTCTGTACCTCAATAAATCTAAGTAATTAACCAAAGTGTCCACACAGAAGTAAGATCTGCGCTGGTTGTGTGTGGGGGCCCTGTTGGCTCAGTCCTGGACTCCAGAGTGGGAAACTTGTGAAACCCTCGGTCATGGACTGGATCCTGCGGACATTCTCTGCTTAAATTCTGGAGCTCCGTGGCAGGGCCCTGGTACTCCATTACAAGGTATGATGATGCTGTGTATCAGGAAGGAATTAAGGCAAGGAGAGAAAGGAAGGTAGGTAGCTTCTGATTTTATTTCAACCACTTTTTGCACCACATCATTCACTTATTCAAACACTCAGCTTTAAGCAGTTGAAGCCTAGAGCACTGGAAATTGGGAGCTTTCAATTACAGACCTACCTCTGTCTACTGTGGCATTATCAAGGAAACAACCTATTTTCCTACTTGAGTCTCAGACCATGAAACAAATATAAGAAAGTAATTCTCTTTAGAGCTGGCATTTTGTAGGTTCCAAAAGTCCTACCCAATCCAGAAGAGAGAGTAGAGGTGGGTATAGGCAAGAACAATCCGTGATGTGGATAAAGGACACTCCAGCCAATTTGGAATATTTCCTTATTTCCCAGTGCTTCTCCTTTTAATAAAAAAGATACTTTTTTGTACATGAGACTGTTTTCATTCTAGCATCTGAAACCTACCTCTACCACAAAGTTTTCTGTTGAATTACACATCTATTTTTGAGAATCTGGTAATAGACTCTTTTTTCATCTGGGTTCTAAAACTCATTGGAAAATCTTTGTATGAAAGTTGATCTATTTCTGCTTCCTTAACATATGTAGAAATCTGACTTTATTTAATTCTGGAAATTTTTAAATTTTTATAAAAATGCCATTCTATGATAAACACCATTTAAAACCTAGGTATTATAACTCCTTTGACATTTTGTTTGTTTTATTTGCGCACATGGAGAGAATTCTGCATATTTTTTCCCATGCTAACAAAATTTATTAATTTCCCAAAAAGTTGTATTTTGCTTTCTGGATCCTGAATGTCCAGGGCTATCTTTTCTTTAACACACTTTTTTTGGCATTTCTTCTCAATTGTTTTACCCATTTATTGTCTATTTTTCTACAAACCCCAGTCATTTTCTCTTGAAACCTCTTCTCTATTTGAGTGGAGAGAAATATGTTAGAAAAAGGAAGGGGACAATGTGATACATGGGCTATGATGTACCAGTTACTGTGCTGTCTCCATGCACACATTGTTCCTAATCTCCACAGAAAATATGCAATATGTGTAGCATTGTCCCAACTTTACATATGAACACATAAAAGGTAAGTTTTTTGTTTGTTTGTTTTTTGTTTTTTTGTTGAGACCGAGTCTCTCTCTGTCGCCCAGGCTGGGGTGCAGTGGCGGCGTGATCTTGGCTCACCGCAAGCTCCACCTCCCGGGTTCAAGTGATTCTCCTGCCTCAGCCTCCCGAGTAGCTGGGACTACAGGCGCCCGCCACCATGCCCGGCTAATTTTTTTGTATTTTTAGTAGAGACGGGATTACACTGTGTTAGCCAGGATGGTCTCAATCTCCTGACCTTGTGATCCGCCTGCCTCAGCCTTCCAAAGTGCTGGGATTACAGGCGTGAGCCACCGCGCCCGGTCATAAGCCATCTTTTTACGGTCCTGTTTCCTGTATGGAATGGATTCAGGGATCAAGCCCATGTCGTCAACTCCATAAATCCTCAAATCTCTCAATGTATTTTCTCACTTAGAGCCACAGAAACACATATGATTCCTTCTGTGCTTGTGTGTTCAAGTGAGGTTCAGCCTACATTCTGAAGTTTCTTCCTCTGATGAATGAAACATTCAGTTCTTGAATATTGCTACATTATCATTAGGCTGTAAAAATCAGAATCAAATAGGTTTTCTTCCTTGAGAAAATAATGGAGCCAACAATTACAAACAGCACCCTAGGTTTTAGATTTCAATCATGTTTTTCCTTTTCTATTCTTTTTTCTTTTCTTAGAGACAGGGTCTCACTCTGTCACCCAGACTATAGTGCAGTTGCTGGATCATAGCTACTGCAGCCTCAACCTCCTAGGCTCAAGTGATCCTCAACCTCGGCCTCCTGAGTAGCTCTGACTACAGGCAGACACCCCCACTTCAGGTTACTTTTTAAATTGTTTGTGGAGATATGGTCTTCTTATGCTGTTCTGGCTGGTCTCAAACTGCTGGACTCAATCCTCCTGCTTCAACCTTCCAAGGCACTGGGATTACAGGTGTAAGCCACTTTTCCCAGCCTCAAAGCATTTTCATAGCAAAGAGTTAACAAAACATTTTCTTCTCTAGATTCAGTAGACACAAGATTCCTATATTTTATTCTTCCCATATCTGGCTGTGTATCCTGTTCTCAGACATTACATTGCCGAATTTGTTTTCCATTCATCTTTCCTAGCACAGTATAGAAAAATGAGTACTGTGGAGTAGAGTTTTCACATTCTTTCCTGAACCCTACCAGTTCTAATGGTGCTCATGGACTTAGCCATTTCCCTTCACTGGAATCCATTTTTGTTTATAAACAACAGTAAGTGTTCTTTATAAAATTTCCAAGGAACAGAGCAGAATGTAAGGTTAGCATATCTTGTGGTTTTACCTACCCTAAGCCCAAAGGATCATGAGTACTACATATAGAAATCTTTCCTCCTTACCCCTGTCACATTCTACTTGGATGCTGTGGAGAAATAAACCCAGTGTATCCCCTTCTGCTATACAAAATAATACTATTTGGCTTAAACTGATGTTTGTAAAATTTCATCCACAGATTTCAGTCACATTTTCAAATAATCCATTATAAAACCATGTAATACAAGTTGACTGTTTGTTATTCACAATGTTAGGGCCAGAAGAATTTCAGGTTTTGGATATTTGTGGATTACAGAATATTTGCATATACATAATAAGATATCTTGTGTATCAACCCAAGTGTAAACACAAAATTTATGTTTCATATACACCTTATACAGATAGGCTAAAGATAATTTTAGACAATATTTTAAATAATTTTATTCATGAAGCAAAGTTTGTGTACACATGCCATTTTATTACCCTTTGTGAGTGCTCTTGCTTGGGGGCATCTAGGTGGACACAGAAAGATATATTGCAACTGAAGGGGCTGGGAGAGTCTTTTGTTCACTGAGAATATGTTTTGACTGTAACTTCTCATATGAGGTCACGTGTGGGATATTTCACTTTTGGTGACATTTCACAGCTCAAAACATTTGAGATTTTGGAGTATTTTGGATTTTTAGATATTTTGATTAGTGGTGCTCAACCTGTATGTTATTTCATCTTTTTTTTCTCCAGGTAGGAATGGAAAATGCATTTTTGTTTTTACTTGTATTACACATTTTTTTCCAACTCAAATTCATTATGCATATTGTTAGATGTCTTCAAATTTTGATGAAAAGTCTCAAGTTATATCAATTACTATTTTAAAAAATTTTTTGTAATAAGTAGATTAAATACCATGATAATCCACAGTTAAAAAAATAAACATAAATTCATGTGCTTGTATTCCAGTTGGGTTTTTTTCCAAACAATGAGCATTAATGAAATACTATGCCTTAAAACCTTCTTCTAAATATATTTGAGAATATTGTTTGAAAGTAAAAAATTGAAAAAGACTGAACATACCATAATAAATGACATTTGTGCTTAAGAAGGCTGTCTTTTTCAGAGATTATTTATAAAATAAAAATACACATTTCTAACCTTGTCTCAGTTAAGAGCTTGTTACTGATGTGCTACTTATGATGTTGAATGTTAGGCTAACAGGATGCACTGGTAATAGGACCCTGTCAAGCTGAACTTTCCCGATTTAAATGCTATCTCACCATTCCTGTGCAGTATGTTTTTATCAGAATTCTAGCAGTATGTATTTTATATTGTGACCTAAATAACAAGCACACACAAAAATGATTTCACACTGTGTATGCCGATGTATTTTAAAGTCTATGAAAAATATTGTAGGTATCGGCAAGTAGAACAGTGCTTCATACATAGAAAGGGACCAATTAATGCTAAGTAAATGTTATTAGTTACTTAAAGAACTTTGTATTATGTAAATACATCCAAATCAATTATTATTTGGATGGTAATATGATAGCAAACCTAGATGCAGATTTAAGAAGAATATTGAGCAAGAATGGGTTAGGAGGGTGTGAGGAGTAGGCCACAGAGAAAGTTAATACCTATAATTTGCTGAGTCAGAGTTGAAAGCACCTATAGGCTAAGTAGATACCTCCCATTCTGACCCATTTCAGCAAAATATTTGAATCTTCCATGTTTTTCATAGTTCTGGGAGTTTAGAAAATGCTTTAGAGAAGTGAATGAGCCACTATATTTTATATTCATTTATTTATTGTGTTTGGTGATTTGAGAATTTCTCTAAGTCACCAGAGATAGAGCTTCAGAATATTAATCTCAGGATACAAATCTATTTTTCAATTTTATACCCATACATAACCCATTCTCCAAAGGTGACCCCTCTGTTAAGTGATAGTAAATTATCTTCAATGTCATTTAAGTTCACCAGTTTCTTGTGAAATGTTAACTTTAAAAAGTTTAAAAACACAAAAAGCCATTCTTTAAAACTAAACATGTATAAATCAAGTTCTTAAAAACCAATCTAGTCTGGGCGTGGTGGCTCAGTCCCAACACTTTGGGAAACCGAGGTGGGCGGATCCCTTGAGGTCAGGAGTTCGAGACAAGTCTGACCAACATGGCAAAACCCTATATCTAATAAAAATACAAAAATTAGGCTGGCATAGTTGCACAGACCTGTAGTCCCAGCTACTCAGGAGGCTGTGGCAGGAGAATCACTTGAACCTGGGAGGCAGAGGATGCAGTGAACTCAGACAGTGCCACTGCAATTCAGCCTGGGCAACAGAGCGAGACTATATTTCAAAATAAATAAATAAATAAATAAATAAATAAATAAATAAAGTCTTCTACTCTTTAAAAATCATGGAAAATCTAGTATTGTAGATAAAAGTAGAAAACAAAATAGTTCTTCATATATTTTAGGTTTTAATAAGGAGTCATTAAAAGATAATTATAAAGTCACTTTATGTGGACTTAAAAAGGTAACATCAGGCCGCTGTGGCAGCTCATGCCTGTAATCCCAGCACTTTGGGAGGCCAAGGCGGGTGGATTACCTGAGGTCAGGAGTTCGAGACCAGCCTGGCAAACATGGTGAAACCCCCTCTCTACTAAAAATACAAAAATTAACTGAGCATGGTGGCAGGCACCTGTAATCCCAGTAGGAGATTTGCTTGAACCCCTGGGATGGAGGTTGCAGTGAGCCGAGATCCTGCCACTTCACTCCCGCCTGGGTGAAAGAGCCAGACTCCATCTCAAAAGAAAAAAAAAAATGTAACATTGTATAATGACATCAGACAACTGATTTAGTTATCTAACATTGCAATGTATTTGTAGAAGTTTTTTTTTAATTTTAATCGATAAAGCAACTATACAATTAAATAGAGCCAATGGAAAGGACTAGGTTTTGCCTTTGAAACTGCAGAAACCTAATCTTCTATTAAGGATGTATCCATGCATAGTTTAAATTTTTTAAAAAATACATAAATAAAAGAAATGTAGTGAAGTGTTTTAAGAAAAGTTTCTAACTTTGGAAATTCTACACAATGTACATGTAACAAAGTTCAGTCTTTCACATTATTAAAAAAAATAAAAACCCTCAGCGTTGGCCATTAGGATGCCAAGACATATCCAGTGAATCCTCAATTATAAAGCATCTAGCCTGGCTCACTTTGAAAACCTTTCTTCTAAAATTGTCTTCCTGGGGTCTTTAATACTTGACTCTAATTTATAGTTCTAGAAACTATTGAGTTTAGAGAAAGTAAATTCCAATCTACCCTTTTTTAAAAAACCTAAGTAGGCTTAGGACTTTCTTCCTAAAATGTATGAACATTATTGTTCAAGCCCGTCATCGCAGCACATTGAGAGGTGGACACAGGAAAGGAGTTTGAGAAAAGCCTAGGCAACATTGCAAAAACTCGTCTCTCCAAAAAAATAAAAATTAGCGGAGCATGGTGGGATGAACCTGTGGTCCCTGGTACTGGGGAAGCTGGGGTGGGAAGATTGCTATAGCCAGGGGGGTTGACACTGCAGCTAGACAGGATCCAGTGACTGCACTCCAGCCTGGGTGACAAAGCCAGACCCTGTCTCAAAAAGAAAGAATATAAAATATCTCACTAATATTTGTAATGTTTATTATGTTGAAAACATTTTGGATATATTGGGTTATAATGTTTTATTAAAATTAAGTTCAATTGTTTCTAATTGTTATAAATATCATTAGAAAAATGCATTCCCTCCCCTCTCCATTATAGTTTCCCTGAAAATACATGCACTAAAGAAAAACAATGAAGAAAGTATGTTTAATTAAATAATATTCAAAATACAAAACAAAAAAACTTTTGAAATGTATTTAAGACAATGCTTACAAAACAATGTATATTATTAAATGCATCTGTTATTAACTTCTTTGTTAATAACGTCTTTGTTAATAACCTTTCTTTAGGTCTGTCGCAAACAGCCAGAAAATTAAAGCAAATTCCCATTGAAAAACTAAAAAAAATTAGATAAATTGCAGAAAATTGATTAAAAAGCATGCAAAACATAAATCAACAAATTCAAAAGTAGGTCCTTTAAATAGATACATTAAATTAATAAATTCCCAATGAGATTCATTTAAACAATGGAGAGGGGGAGTTCAAATCAAGAATAAACAGGCAAACTCATAGGTCATCCAGATATCAATAAGCCAGTATGAATATTTTAGGAACAATTTATACCTATACATTTGACAATTTTGATGACATGAGAAAATTTCTTGAAAAACACAGCTGACTAAAACAGACGGAAGAGAACATAGAAAAATGAAAGATATGATTTGGATTCTTAAAATTCAGTGTTATTACTTAAAAAACAAAACTCACAAAGAAAACTCCAGGGATCTCTTTCAGCGAAATTTTCAAAGCATTTTAGAAAGAAATAACACACTTTTAGACAAATTCTTCTAGAGAACAGAGAAAAAGCAACACTTTCTAACTTATAACTTTGTTTTTCTTTCATTTTTTTCTTTCCTTTATTTAGACAAGTTCTCCCTCTGTCACTCAGACCAAAGTGCAGTGCATGATCATAGTTCATTGCAGCCTCAAACACCTAGGCTCAAGTGATCCTCCTGCCTGGTCCTCCTGATTAGCTGGAACTACATGTGCTTGCTTCCAGGCCTGGGTAAAAACATTTTGTTTTTAGAGACAGGTGTCACCCTATGCTGCCTGGGGAAACCTGGAATTCCTAGAGTCAAGTGACCCTTTTGCCCAGCTGTCCAACTAGCTGGAATTACAGACAAGAGTCACCAAACTCTATTCAAAATTAGTTTTCTGTATGTACTTTGTTAAAGATAATTATACACATAATTATTGTTTAAATAATTATTTACGACATTGCATCATATTTTTATATAAATATACATGCTGTACATCTTCTACATGTCCATACATATATACTGATGTAAAGTATCTAATTTAAAATTATTCACATGGCGTAAAATCAAAAAAACACATTTTATTTTTGCATAAATTCACCATTGAAAGTAGTCATAAAATAGGGAAGACAACAAAAAAATTAGACAAGTAAATTCACCAACTGTTGTATATAAAGTCATAGTATTTAAAACACAACTAAGTGCCTAGGTGCACTTTTTTATGAGAGCTCCATAGATGGGTTAGTTATTTCATTTAATATTTTAGAGTTGTACATATTCAGATAAATAATGACTGGAGACTTATTTAGCAATGATATATTTTAAAACTAGACTGATACTTCACTGGCTTCCCATAATTTCTAGATAACAAACTCATCTTTTCCATGTTCTGATGCATGTACCTGCCTCTGCAGCCTCATCTCCCATCAGATCACTCTCATTCTTGTCACTCTAGCTCCAATGGCCTGGAGCTCAACTGTACCAGGCTTCCTCCATCCAGGAAGCTTTTGCATCTGCTGCTGTTACTGCAAAGAAAGTTTCTCTCTATCTCTCTTTACCAAGTTAATGTATTCCTATTCCTCAAATCTCAATGCTTTCATATCTTCATAAAAGCCTTGTGTGAGCTTGCATTCAGCACCTCCCTCCTACTACCGACCCTCAAAACATGTACTGCTTATTTATTGAGCTTATAGTTCTAATTGTATATTTACTTGTGTGATTCTTTAATTATGATACATCTCATTCACTAGTCTGGATGTTCTAGCAGGACTGAAATTGTCTATTATAGTTTAATATAATTTATTTCTAATACCTAGTTCATTGTCATTGGTATATGCTTGTTGAAGAATAAATAAAAAATCTTTAATGGAAATATAGATGATACATTTCAGTTTAAAATAATAAAGCAATTGTTTTTAATTGTGAGGGCATTGTTTGTGAAATAAAACATTACTTAATGAAATAATTGTTTCAGTTGTAATGTCTGTGTACAACCTACGTCAGGTTAAGATTCTTGCATCTCACTCCAAAATCCTCTACCTTCTGTTGGGCTGTAATCCCCTAGGCATGATTGTCTGTACTTTATAAATCCGATCACCCCATGTTACACCCTTCCCCAACGTTACACCCTTCTGTGTAACCTAATCTTCCATTTCCACTTCTTTCTCCAGACAGTAGCCAATCCCAGGAAGTGGGAGTGTTCTTAAGTGAGTCTAATCACTTAAAAAGCAGAGTTGTCCAGGGAAGACTTCTCCAGAGAAGTCAGACTGAATTTGTGGAGGCTGGGCTTTGGTGAGCTCAGTGTTGCTGCTGACCTGGATATCCACGAATCTTCTAGACTTGAGACAATACATCGCAGATTCTGGTGTGTATGACATTTGTAGTGAAGCCCTTCATGCTTAATTTTTCTTATAAAAATACTTTAAACTCACCGGCCAGGACATTTACATCTTGTCTAAGCAAACAAGTAGCTTACCCAGTTATTTGAAATAACATCATTGTATAAAATATCTGTAATTAGAGCATTTATAATATATTGGCTTGTGTTATATCAAGTTATTTGACTGGGTTTTTTTTTTTTTTTTTTTGAGATAGGGTCTCACTCTGTCACCTAGGCTGGACTGAAATGGCACTATCATGGCTCACTGCACCTTGGACCTCCTGGGCTCAAGCAATCCTGCCGCCACAGTCTCCTGAGTAGCTGAGACTACAAGCATGTGCCATCACGCCAGCATTATTTTTAAAAGAATTTTTAGTAGAGATAAGATGTCAATAAGATGCGCAGGCTGGTCTAGAACTGCTGACCCGAATCCATCCTCATACCTTGGCCTCCTCAATGCCAGGATTAGAGGCACGCAGCACTATGCCTAGCCCCCATTTTGTATCATATTACCTTATGCATTATTTGGCATGTTATGTCTTAGCAGCTATAATTCCACCGTATTTGTGTAATTATGGAATCCAAAAAGAGCTTACAATTTTCAATATGTTACGTATACAGAATAGTCTTTTTCCACTTCAATTTTATTTTGTAAATTGGCATATGTTAATTGTCTGTTCAGATCATTTGCCCGTTTTTTAATTGGGTTGTTTGGGTTTTTTTTTTTCTTTTTAATTTGCTATTGAGTTATTTGATTTCCTTGTATATTCAGGGTATCAATCTCCTGTCCAGTGAATAGTTGGTAAATATTTTTTCTCATTCTGTCAGTTGTCTTTTCACTGCATTGATTGTTGCCTTTGCTGTGCAGAAGCTTTGCAGTTTAATATAATTCCAGCTGTTGATTTTTGCTTTTGTGGACTAGGCTTTTGTGATTTTATTCATACAATTTTTTCTCTGATTAATGTTCTGGAGCATTTCTCCTATGTTTTCTTCTAGTAGATTTGTTCTTTCAGGTTTTACATTAAAGTTTTCAATCTATTTTGAGTTGATTTTGGCACTGGATGAGACGTGAGGGTATAATTTTATTCCCTGCATGTAAATATCCAGTTTTGCCAGCAGTGTTGATTGAAAAGACTGTCCTTTCCCCAGTAAATACTGTTGCTACCTTTGTCAAAATTCAGTTGGCTGTAGAGAGGTGTAACAGTATCTGAGTTCTCTGATCTGTTCCACTGGTTTACTTGTCTACTTTGACACCAGTACCATGCTGCTTTGCTTACTGTAGCTTTGTAGTATACTACATGTCGTCAGTGTAAGTGTTAAATGTGTGGGATTAATTGGAAAACCCTTGTTGTAAAGGTCATGTTTGTAGTCCTTTTCAAATCTTCAATGAGCAGACTGGATTTGAAAAGTGTTCAAATAGATCCCATCAACTGGTAAAGACTCCCAGGAAGTAGGGACTTCGATCACTGTGGAGAAACACAGGGAATAAAGATAAATTGGTGGTCATGCTTCCATTAATTACACCTCTGGATTCTTTAAAGAAAAAATTTGAGTGTTTACTTTCTTTTTTGGTTTAAGTAAAAACTGATTAATTGTTGCTGAGTACTTTCATAGCTTGCGTAGTCACCATTTCAAAATATGAAGATACTCTGATGGTCTGAACTCATTCTGAGCAAAAACATTGTCTTGAATAAGAAATAACAATTTTTCATTGTATTTATGTAAAGGTTGAATTTTGAGATTAACATTAGAAGCATAAGTTCAGCTGTTTATAGTTACAGGAGTTGAGTGTTGAAGCCCATAATGATTAAACTAAACACACTTAGATTAAACTTAACCAATTTTTAATTGTCTTTAGAAAGGTACATCTGTTACTTGGGTGCCAGAGAGTGAGACTAAGTATCCCTGTATAAGTTCCACTCAAGGGGTCATGGAGGAAAAGAAAGAGAGAGAGAGAGAGAGGGAGATGGGTTTGTATGGGTTTCTGGAACAATCAGCTAATAGAAGTAACTGTGAAGTTATCCTAATTGTTCCCCTCTACCCCAATATTAAGCTTGCCCAAATAACTTATAATTGAGAACATTGCTTGTTTTAAACTAAAATGATGCTTGTCTCATTTTTCCACTTGTGTTGTAGTATAAACCCAGCTTGCCTGTATTTACCACATCTAGGTCTGTACTGGGCTTAAGTTAACAGGTAGATTGAACAGAGCTGAAGCAGACAAGAACTAGCCACGGGCCCTTCCCCCTCCATGTGGTCAAAACATAATATTCTCACTTAAATTTTTCTGTTTTAAATTTCCAGAAACATGGATTCAGACACACTGCAAACCTTCCAGAGGGAGCTCTGTTGCTTTATCTGCAGGAACTACTTAATGGACGCAGTCACCATTGACTGTGGGCATAGCTTTTGCAGGCCCTGCCTTTATCTATGCTGGGAGAAAGGCCAAGCTCCAGCGGTCTGTCCTGTGTGTGGGAAAATCCCCTAGAAGACTGACTTCAACACAAATATTGTTCTCAAGAAGTTGGCTTCTCTTGCAAGGCAGCGCAGACCTCACAACATCAACAGCTCAGAGAAGCAGATCTGTGTGCTACATGAAGAGGAAAAGGGGCTCTTCTGTGAGGCAGAGGAGAGACTCCTCTGTGGGCCCTGCTCTGAGTCACCAGAGCATGAGGCTTATGGCCACAGCCCAATATGATGGGCTGCTGAGGAGTGCAGGGTAAGTGACACCTCCAATGCAACTGGGAATCCACATGATCCTAAATAAGAGAGAAAATGAGAGCTTATGATAATAAAGGTGGAGAGAATGGAGATGGTGAGGTTCTGAATTTTCAATATAAATCTCTAGATATAAATGTGTCCTAGGAACAAGGTTTGCTTTTGCTGCAAGCTTGACTTCTCCAGAGCCAGGATATATGAAATCCAATTTCTTAAAAAATTGATTAGCTGTTGGGTCCCCTCAAACTCTCTACTATATGTTTCTGTTACCTCTGATATTCCACATATTAGAATCAAATTAGGTTAACTTGTAAAAACTCCGACCACTTCAGGGGAACTCAAATTTACCATTCTGTCAACAACAGGCTTTTCTCATAAAAAGGGAATAACATATCCAGTAACATCTTATCTGCTACTAAAGGTCATGTCTATTTTGCAGGAGAAACTTCTGAAGAAAATGGATCCTTTATGGAGGAGAACTCAAGAAATGCAAAACAATCTAAATCAGGAAATTAGCAAAATCCATTCATTAACGGTAGGGATAAAAAGGTTTTATATTTTTAATGTAGATTGGCACAATGCTAGCTTAGACTTCTTAGCTGAATTCTGCTTACCAGTTAAAAAATAGCAGTGTCCTCTTCCCAGAAAAAAACAAAACAGGGATTTCAAATGATATATCAGCAATTATCATTATACAGGCCAACAGGAGCTGGTGCAAAAAATACTAGTACGTACATGTATATGAAATAAACAGGGCATGATAGTTATTCCTGATGTAACCTTGAGGGTTTAGATAAAACTTCCAAGGCACTGAGAATAGGATAGCATTGAGTTGTTTAAAGCATTGTATTCACATCGAGTAGTTTAAAGTTTTGCTGTGAAGGTGAGGAGAGAAATAGAGAAATTAGTGGGGGAAAAAAAAACCTGAAGTAATTTCTTTAAAAACTCGGTGGTAGAGTGTATACCGAAATATTTAAAAATGTTTAGAAGAATCAGGCAAAGGAACAAGAGAAAATTAAGAAGAACCAGGTAAAAAAGACAATAATTAATGAAGTAAGAATCCTGTAGAAGCATCACAGGCAGGGATCTTGAGTCCTTTTGAGGTACTGATTTATACAGGAAGGGAGACTAGGAGGGACATGAAGAAAGGATGGGTAGAGGAGACTAGCAAATCTTCAAGAAACTTTTCAAGTATGAGACGCAGAGCTTATGAGTTTACTGCTTGCATATCCTAGGAGAATAACAGTTGAAGTGTTAAGTGTTTTGTTGAGAGTGAGGAGATGCAATTCTTTTAACTGAGTATCTCTGCAGGACTATGTGGCCCTCAGGAAAGGGATGATCAGATATCAATATCAAAAGTTGCGCCAATTTCTCCTGGAGGAGGAGCAACGCCATCTGGAGACAATGGACAGAGAAGCAGAAGAGATTTTTCGACAACTCCAAAACAGTGAAGTAAGAATAACTCAACATATAAAAAAGATGAAAAACATGTACAGAGAGCTGTGGGAGATGTGCCACATGCCCGATGTGAAGCTGCACCAGGTGAGGAGGGAGGGTCCATCATCCAGAGTCAGGAAGACTTTGTTGGGCAATGCTGCCAGGACATTCATATGCTACCTGCAAATGTAACTACTCTTAGATAAGTGACACATGCTCCTTGACTCTGCCATTGCATTTGTCCAGTGACTTATTTTTGCACATTCTGGTAATCTTTGGGGAGATTTTTGCCATTTTGATAGATCACATAGGACAAAAATCCTCTTCAGTATAATCAGGAGTACTAGCCACAAAGAAATGTTATCCAAAATAAACCAAATGCTAGGCCAGGAGAATATTAGCTTTGTTAATAAAACTCAATTTAAGTTCCCTAGTACATCCTCACTTCTTGGGATTAAGCCTGGGAGATGAGTGACACTGAGAACTAGATAGCCGTGTACATCACTCCATAGTCTTAATCTCAGCTCCTTCTTTCCTAATGCCCACTGAGGAAGACCACCATGGTTCAGTTGAGGTTCTGTTATTAACACAGCCTTGGGTGGTTCCTTAGAGGTGTATCAATAAACCTACCTTGTTAACCCAGAAAAACAACAAAGAATACTAGGGAAAGTAGGACAGAATTCTCATGATTAAGTACTTGTGTTTTTCTTTGCAGGACTTGGAAAACATACTGGAATGGTGAGTTACACTAATGAACTTTGATTGCTGAGAAAGTCATTCCCTTATTGATAAAGACAATGTACCCTTGAAAGTCAATGTACCATTGAAAAAGGTGGGGATTAAGTTCATTAACCACCTTCATGCAATTCCACATAGTTGAAAACCCAAGTATAACTTCTGACTTTTCCAAAACCAAACTACGAATGACCTCTTATTGACTGGAAGCCTGTTGATACCGTAAACAGTCGATTAACATATATTGTATGTTATATGTATTATATGCTGTATCCTAACAATAAAGTAAACTGGAGAAAAAAATATAATATAGAAAATTATAAGGAAGAGAAAATATATTTATTACTCATTAAGAAGTTGATCACCATAAGGTTCTTCATCTTCAATGTCTTCACATTGAGTAGGCTGAAGAGGAGGAGGAAGAGAAGACAGTGTCTCAGCAGTGGCAGAGGCAGAAACAAAAGAAATGGAGTGGCAGGCAGGAGAGGCAGGCAAGCTAGGTGAAACTTTCATTGAAAAAAATCCACTTATAAGTGGACCCCCAAATTTCAAACCCTTGTTGCTTAAGGGTCAACTACATGTTTTGAGGTATTTAGCATTGATCTGTGGCTATGTTCCATTTTGGTTTCAAAGGAGAACCTGAGACCTTAAGCTTCTTTGTCTCAGAAGTTTCCTTCTTATCTGGCTGAATGAATTTGTATCTAAAAACAGTGTGCCATTCTGGATTTTCTTCTACCCACTCACCCCATCTTCTCCAGCCCTGCCGCAGCAAATCTTAGGAAGATTACTCTGAGTTATCACAAAGGAGTCTCCTATTCTGGAGAGGCAAGAGGTGAAAAAGAGAGGAAGGAGGGAAATGCCCTAAGCACAGGAAAGGGAGGGAGGATTTGTTCCCAGGGATATCAATAGCCAGGCCCTGCTCCATCTCTGCATTCCGCTGTTGTAGGCAGAATCTAAGAGGGGAATGGCTGCCTCAGGATCCTCAGCGCCAGAGCTGACAGGCTGAAAGTAGACTCCTTTGGTTTGAACAAAAGTTCAAAACCTTTAGTGTCAGTGGGCATTCCCTGTAAGACCCTGACTGCATCACTGATGACAACTACCGACTGAGGTCCCAAAGGCTTTGGCTGAGTTTTCTTCTCTCAGCAAGTATCCCAGGATATCTGTATACTTTGAAGAGGCCGGAGGGGGAGAGGGAGGAAATGACACTCAGTACTTTTAAATTAGGATCATGTATGAGAGAATGGAGAAATTGGACTTTAACATGTTAAATTTAGATAAAAGTAACATTGCTATATCCTCAATACAGTTGAATAAAATGTATACTGAATTTAACAAAAAAGGGAGATTTCTCAAGAAATATCTTGGATGAAAATCTGAAATATTTGTATGACTGTGTGATTATGCCTGGGCCTGAAAGTGTAACTGAGGTTGTTCTTTGCAGGACAGAGTTGGTGCAAATGGAAAAGCCCCAGCCAGTGAACCCAGAACTCACTTCCTGGCACATCACTGGAGTGTTAGATAAGCTCAACAAATTCAGAGG
Organism: Homo sapiens; assembly: GCF_000001405.40. NCBI lineage: Eukaryota > Metazoa > Chordata > Mammalia > Primates > Hominidae > Homo > Homo sapiens. The sequence continues at coordinate 49,011,772 of NC_000011.10, read as the reverse complement.
TAAGAGCCAGCTGCTTGGCAGTACAGCCTCAACTTCTGTTTAGTGGATTCCTTGGTTGAGCCATTTCCCATTTTAGTTTTAATTTCTGTGAATTTATCATATATTGTAGAAATAATATTTATCATAAAAATTAGAAAGCTTTGACCAACCAAATAACTAAAACTTCCATAAACAGAACAACTTTACTGCTGTAAGATACATTTTGCAACAACTGGAAGCTGAGGGTTCTGTGAAAATGGTCCAAACAGGTAAAGCAGCCATTAGACAACAGAAGGCTAAAACCAGGATTAGACTGAATGAAGTAGTGGCTGACCAGGTCATGTAAAAGCAGAACATGATCATTATTTTCAGAAACTTCTAAAGTGCACATGTATGGAAGTCCATCAAATTTTGATGTTTAAAAATGAAGGAAGTGAGGCCGGGCACAGTGGCTCATTCCTGTAATCCTCCAAGGCTGAGGCGGGCATATCACCTGAGGTCAACGGCTGGAAACCAGCCTGGCCAACATGGCAAAACCCCATCTATACTAAAAATACAAAAATTATCTGGGCATGGTGGCACATGCCTGTAATCCCAGCTACTCGGGAGGCTGAGGAAGCAGAATCGCTTGAACCCAGGAGGCTGCAGTGAGCCCAGATCGCACCACTGCACTCCAGCCTGGGCAGCAGAGTGAGACGCTGTCTCGAAAAAAAAAAAAAAAAAAAAAAGTAACAGGCACATTTTATATCCCATTAAATAAGAGCATCATAGCAGAGTGAAGTCTATTTGTTAATTATATTGAATACAAACAATGCAAGTGGCATTTTCTACTAAATAAAGAATGTTACATATCTCTTGAAACAAATCATGCAAAGCCAGACATTAAATCATTGATTCACACAATTAATGATGTTTGTTTATTTGTTTTTCTGTGTGATTTTAAGTATTCTCCTGTGCTGTAGAAGTCATAATAACCCTTGATCTTCATAGATGACAGTCTCCAAAGTCTTTTTGCTCCCTGTATTCTGTCACTTACAGGAGGTACAAATAAAGCCAGTACCTGGGCAGATAACATCTGACCCCCATGTAACTCCTTGATCTGATTTTTGTTCTTCTTGCAGCGGATGATCCTCTGAGTAAGGAAAAGGCGAATCACTATATGAGCCTTTCTGAGGATGTGAGAAATGTGATATTTGGAGATGACCATGATGGTGCACCCGGGGAGTCCCAGAGAGCAGAGAACTTTGCAGCATGGGGAGCTCAGGCCTTCTCCTCCGGCAGGCATAACTGGGAAGTGGATGTAACCCACTCCCCCAACTGGATTCTGGGAGTCTGTAAAGATTCCAGGACAGCAAACACAAATCACGTTCCGGCTTTTGAGGAAGGATTTTTTCTATTTTCTTCAAAGAGAAACAACCTTTATAGCCTCTCCAACATTTTTTTTCCCTTAACTCACTATGTGCAGAGACCTTTGGGTCGGGTTGGGGTCTTTCTGGATTATGACAACACAGTTGCGAGCTTTTATGATGCTTCAAAAGGTTCCCTCATATACAGCTTTTTCCCTACCTCTTTTTCTTCCCTTTTGACACCTTTCTTTTGTTTTGGTTCCCCATGAAAGTCAGGTTTCATTATGATTTCTTAGTGAGCTTTCTTGCCTGAAAAATCTTCTAATCTCGAGACCTTCTCATGTGAGACAATAGGACAATGTATGAGCATCTTTGAGTTCACTGTAACTTGAGGAAACAAAATTATTATCTGGGTATGAAATGGGATAACCACATTGACATTATACATTTGTTTCTTAAATTTTACTTTAATAAAGAGTTGTGAAAAACCATAACTGTCTGATTCCTGGACATTTTGTATACCCCGAAATGAAACCCAAAACTCTTTATCATTACTCTCTATTCATTGCACCTTCCCCACCCACTCGACTCACAATCCCTTTTGTACTTTAGATCTTTGTGGATTTGTGTACTGTAGACCCTTTATGCAAAGCAAATAATACAAAATATGGTCTGGATCATCAGTTACTAAAAATTGCTGATTTTTGTAAATGTGTAAAATATATTAGTTGTAAGAGTGAACTGTACTGTCTAACTGACATATATGCTCAATTATAGTTCTTGGTTTCAATGGCCCTTGCATGCATTCCAAAGTAGCATCATAAAATGTAAACTTAGACTGGAAAAGCTTTGAAGAAGTTTGTTTTGATGCAAATAATTTTTAGCTGAACAAATTCTTCTTCTTTTTTTTTGCTTCTAGCATAGATTATTTATTTATTTATTTATTTTATTTTTTTGAGACTGTGACTCCCTCTATCCCCCAGGCTGGAAATACAGATGCCTGACATGGGCTCACTGCAATCTCCACCTCCCGGGTTCAAGAGATTCTCAGCCTCCTGAGTTGCTGGGATTACAGCAACGCCTGGCTAATTTTTGTATTTTTAATCGAGACCACAGGATTTCACCATGTTGGCCAGGCTGGTCCCAAACTCCTGACCTCAAGCAATATGCCTTGGCCTCCCAAAGTGCTGGCATGGCAAATGTGAGCCACCAAACGCGGCTGGTTCTTATCTTCAATATTCTCACAAATGCTGGATTCAGAAAAACTACTGGTTTATCAAAGTCATTTTATTATCATCTATGTTTTCTTCAATGTTACCTTCAAATTGGGAGTCTTGGTAATAAAACATCAGTAATTGTGCATTGTCTTTCATGACAAATTTGGTCCATCCTGACTATGTGCCATTCTTTGCAAAGGATAAACAGCTTTTGAGTCAGATCTGGAGTTAATGAAACCTTCAGATTCCGTAAGCAAATAAGTAGAGACGCTGTGTTTAAATTGTCTGAAACCATCCTTGCCTCTGAGATAGTTCCCTCTTATCGGGAAGCTAACTCATATGGCTCTAGAAATAGTGTACTCCTACGTGTTGTTAAGAGTCTCCAGGTAGGTAAATCTTCAATGCTTTCAACGAATTTCCCTTCTCTTAAAAAGTCTGTGAAAACCATTTTTTAAAACTTCTTCCTTCAACGTAATTTTAGAAAAAAAGATGGAACCAAAGCCACAGGTGGTGGTAAAGTCTACAGCCAAACTGAAGTGTTGCAGCAGCATAGGAGACAGGAGGCTCAGAAGAAAGCCACGCAGAAAACATCAAAACCTCTGGAGACTATGCAAGTGCCTTGTGCTTCTCTTGAAGCCCGATGCCAGCGGTGACTCCAGCACATCTATGGTCCTTCAGTCTTGCAGTCTCCAGATCCCTCAGTCCCCTATTATAAAAGTTTCGGAATCTGGAATCTGTTTTCATTTGGATAGAAAAGGGGGTCAGAAAATTAAGAACTTTACCAGGTTTGGACAGAGCAAGCTGGGATGGCGTGGTAGGTATTGAAATTAGCTGTGGATACAGAAACTTGTACTTGGAGAATAGTGGTATTTGTTGTGAGTTTCCAAAAGACAATATTGAACCAAGGTCATACATCCCAGGTTAAACGTTTGTAAATAGATTATTTTACAGGACTCTCCCTGAAAAGTGTAACTTCGAAGAATGACCTGTTGGTGGTATTAGGAAAGAAATAGAGGCCATAGTGAGGGAAGGAAGGAGGGATGAAGGGAGCTGGCATGTGAACTGGCATGCCAGACAGATTAAAAAATAATGAAAACAAAAGCAAAAATTACAGATTCCATACATTTCTCAAAGGAAGACATTTATGCAGCCATCAAACATATGAAAAAAAGGTCATAATCATTGATCAGTAGAGAAATGCAAATCAAAGCCACAATGAGATACCATCTCATGCCAGTTAGAATGGCGATCATGAAAAAGTCGGGAAACAATTGTGGCAATTCCTCAAGGATCTAGAACCAGAAATACCGTTTGACCCAGCAATCCCGCTACTAGGTATATACTCAAAGGATAATAAATCATTTTACTATAAAGACACATGCACACGTATGTTTATTGCAGCACTGTTCACCATAGCAAAGACTTGGAACCAACCCAAATGTCCATCAGTGATAGACAGGATAAGGAAAATGTGGCACATATACACCATGGAATACTATGCAGCCATAAAAAAAAGATGAGTTTGGCTGGGTGCCAGGCTCACGCCTGTAATCTCAGCACTTTGGGAGGCCGAGGCAGGTGGATCACGAGGACAGGAAATGGAGACCATCCTGGCTAACACGGTGAAACCCTGACTCTACTAAAAATACAAAAAAAAAAAAAATTAGCTGGGCATGTTGGCGGTCACCTGTAGTCCCAGCTACTTGGGAGGCTGAGGCAGGAGAATGGTGTGAACCCAGGGTTGGGGCTTTCAGTGAGCCAAGATAGCGCCACTGCACTCTAGCCTGGGCGACAGAGTCAGACTCCTTCACAGAAAAAAAAAAAAAAAAAAAGGATGAGTTCATGTCCTTTGCAAGGACATGGATGAAGCTGGAAACCATCATTCTCAGCAAACTAACACAAGAACAGGAAAACAAACGTCGCATGTTCTCACTCATAAGTGGGAGTTGAACAATGAGAACACATGGACACAGGGAGGGGAACATCACACACCAGGGCCTATCTGGGGGTTGGGGGATAGGGGAGGGATAGCATTAGGAGAAATACCTAATGTAGATGACAGGTTGATGGGTGCAGCAAACCACCAAGGCACATGTATACCTAGGCAACAAATCTGCACTTTCTGCACATGTATCCCAGAACTTAAAGTATAATTAAAAAAAAAAAAAGTAAAACACAAGCAAAGAAACAAACAAAATCCTACAGATTCCAAGACAAATTGGCTTAGGTATTTGATATGTAGGGGGGAAAATGCAGGGGAAAATTATAGTAAAGCGACATTTACTTTGGCGTTTGAAGAAATTGGTGGGTCTTGCTTTCAATATGTCAAGGATGTGACTTCTGAAGGTGTGAATAACAACACCCCTCAATAAATCTGTGTGCTAATTAATAACAGACACTCCCACATTTTTATCATTAAGGTCCAACCTAATCCTAATTCAGATACTCATTCTAATTAATGCAGTCATCTCAGAATTTCAAAGATATTTGTTGGCCAGTTAGTCACTATTAGTTATCCTTAGAAAGAAACTATTTGAGAGTAACATTGAGAGGTACTTATCAATTTTTAAGTGTACATATATTTTAAACCTATAATATCATTAGTATGGAAATTTCCCTAAAAATGCACAAGGATATATGTATATTACATATATTGTGGCAATATTTTCAATATGACAAGGGAGAGAATATAGTTCAACAAAACACTGCATAATCTATTGCACTCTCTATAAATATGAACAACATCTACATATACTCACAACCAGTCACTTGCTTAACTAAAAAAAAGTGATCTCATGGAATTAAAAAGTAAAACAGAGGATACTAGTGGCTAAGGAATGGTAAAAGGCAGAGGGTATAGGGAAAGGTACAAAATTAAATATAATTAAATATAATGAATACTAAAAGAGAAAATAAATACAATTTAAAATACAAAATTATAGGTAGATGGGAGGTATAAGTTGTAATGTTCTATAGCATTGCAAGATGATTATAATTAATAGTAATATATACTTTCAAATAGCTAGAATGAGGATATTGCAGGTTCCCTAAAAAAAAAAAAGAAATGATAAATGTTTGAGATAATGTGCTAAATACTCTGATCTGATTGCTATGCATCATATGTATCAAAACATCACTATCTACCCTACAAATATGTAAAATTATGTGTCTATTAAAGATAAAATTTTAAAGTACTGATTCCTTGATATCCTCTGTACAGTGATAGTTTGTTTTTCTAATATTCTTTTAATGGGTAATCAAACACAAAAAATGGTTTGACCTGCAAGATAACATAAGAATAAATGTAAAAATATATGAGTCAGGTTCAGAGTTGGAAATTTGTGTCCACAATGTCATTTTAAAATTAGCAATACTACATAGTTGATAATTGAAAGATATAATTAATCATGGAATAATTATGAGATGCATTTTCTCTCTAGGAATGTCTCTATAACAAATCAATTAGAAGGAATCAAATCAATCTGTTCTATATTTATAAAATGGTACGTGACCTGATGCATTCATCTCTAGTGTAAGGAAAGAATATTTTTTAAATCTCATGGCACAAGACCCCCTCTATTTCAGAAAATATTTTTGAAGGCATTGCCAAAATGCGTGTTTTGTATAATGTTATTATATAAAATATAAAAACTATGCATTTAATAATCCTGCCCCCCAGTAACATAAATGTAAATTATTCTATTATAAATGGTCCAAGGAATGAACAGGTTATTCATTCTATTTATTCTATTAAACATGAAGTAAAGAGAACCATTAAACATTGGAGAAAATGCTTAAATTGATTAGTATTTCAGAAGATGGAAAATCACAGAGTACATTACCGTAAATATGCATTAGATTGTCAAAAGTTATTTAATTGCATCCCATACTAACCAATTCAACTGACCTTTTCCAACAAAACAGTGGCAATATAAAAGATCAGGGTTTCGGTGACTTCCTCCAGATAACCTCCAACAGAAATGTCTTGGATATTTCTATATTAAGACAGAAAACTTATATTGTTATACTTACTTATTTGTATATTTGCATAATCTACTTGCAGTGACACAGGATATTAATATTATTTATCTTTGATATTGTGCAATGGAAGAAGTGTTTCACATAGACACAAATAGAAACAAACTTTATTCTTTATACTTACTAGTAAAAAGAGGATAAAAGTTCACAGAACTTTATAGGCAGTTTGGATGCTATGAATTGGTAATCAAAGACTTAGAAACTAAGGTTTAGTTTTAAAAAGTGTTGTGTGAATTAAAAATCTTACATATTTATCTATGCAATTACAATTTCTGGTGCTCTTCAGTGTGTGTGTGTGTGTGTGTGTGTGTGTGTATGTGTGTTTGTGTGTATGTATTGCAATGTGAGTCTGATTTTTTTCAGCTTTTTTGAGTTTGAATAAGGACTTTATTTTTCTTTGAAAAAATGTATTGTTTTGGAAAGATTTTCCTTGGGTATAGAACTCAGATTGACAATATTTTTCTTTATTATTACTTCAGAGATGTTTTCCATTCCTAGTCACTTGCACTATACCTGACAAAAAATTAATTGACATTTTTTTCTTTTTTTCTGAACATTAGGTCTGTTTTCCTTTCCCTCCCACCCTCCCACCGTCCGTCCCTTTCTTCCTTTTTCCTTCCTTTATTTTATTCTTTCATTTTTTTGTCACTGATTTTAAGCAATTATTAGAGTGGGGCATAAGTAATTGTGGTTTTTACCATTGAAAGTAAACGCAGGCCATGCACGGTGGCTCACACCTCTAATTCAAGCACTTAGGGAGGCTGACGCAGGTGGATCACCTAAGGTCAGGAGTTCCAGACCAGATTGGCTGATACGGCAAAAACCCATCTCTGCTAAAAATACAAAATTTTTTTTTTTAATTATACTTTAAGTTTTAGGGTACATGTGCACATTGTGCAGGTTAGTTACATATGTATACATGTGCCATGCTGGTGCGCTGCACCCACTAACTCGTCATCTAGCATTAGGTATATCTCCCAATGCTATCCCTCCCCCCTTCCCCGACCCCACCACAGTCCCCAGAGTGTGATATTCCCCTTCCTGTGTCCATGTGTTCTCATAGTTCAATTCCCACCTATGAGTGAGAATATGCGGTGTTTGGTTTTTTGTTCTTGCGATAGTTTACTGAGAATGATGATTTCCAATTTCATCCATGTCCCTACAAAGGACATGAACTCATCATTTTTTATGGCTGCATAGTATTCCATGGTGTATATGTGCCACATTTTCTTAGCTGGGCATGGTGGTGGGTGCCTGTAGTCCGAGCTACTTGGGAGGCTGTGGCAGGAGAAATCGCTTGAACCCAGGAGGCGAAGGTTGCGGTGAGTGGAGATCGCGCCACTGCACACCAGCCTGGGCGAGAGAGTGAGACTCTCTCAAAAAAAAAAAAAAAAAGAAAAAAAAGAAAAAAAAAATGGCAAAACCGCAATTACTTTTTGCACCAACCTAATAGATTATGATGAATATTGCTATAGCTCTAGTTTAACTTTTTCCCCTTCCTTTTCTTCACACTTTGTAATGTAACATGATGCAAATCTAATCAGCCTGTAATCCCCATCAATGTTGTCCTCATTTAAGAAGTTGTAGGTTGTATGTCTCTTATACAAATTTTTCTTTTTACATCTACCATATCTCTACATACTTTATCTGAATATAAAAAATATGGTTATTTCAAATGTTGTAATGTCCTGATCTGCTAATTCTAGCGTCTCTGTCTATCCTGTTTTAATTTGTATTGATTATTTTTTTCTCTTTATGGGCATTTTTTTGTACTTCTTTACTCTCTTGGTAATTTTTTATTGTATTACAGACATAGTGAATTTTTTTACTGCAAATGTATTTTTAAAAACATTTTTGAGTGCTATTTGTGAGCACTGTTGAGTTTTTTGGAAATAATTTGATCTTTTTGGATCTCTCTTTGAGAATTTGTTAGCCTAGTCTGGAAAAAGGTTGAAAAAGGATCTATCTGGACACATTTATTTCCTACTGCTGTGCCAAGTATTTTCTGTCTACTCTACCCATCATCCTGGAGAATAGCTATAAATAATTTTGGGTAATGTGTATTATTAATAAGCACACATTTATGCACTTTACTGAGGATACTATGCTGCTAAAAACTGATAAAAAAATCTTATTAATGTTTTTGAAATCATTTGCTACAGGAGAGATTAGTTGTGTTTTAGAATCTAAGGTTGTTTTTAAAAAGCACAGTGGTAAAAAATTAACAGCACCTTAATAGGGTCTACCTGGAATATATACACTCATATTGTGGAAAGCTTAGAGATGCATTTCTTCCAAAAACCCTTCATGGCTAGAGCTGTATCTAGGTAAGAAATACTTCAGAATAGGAAGGCATCCAGATTTCATTATTCAGTTTTGGTAGAGTTGGGAAGTGAGTTATTCGGCTGGGCTCGGTGGCTCACGCTTGTAATCCCAGCACTTTGGGAGGCCGAGGCGGGCGGATCACGAGGTCAGGAGATTGAGACCATCCTGGCTAACACGGTGAAACCCCGTCTCTACTAAAAATACAAAAAAAATTAGCCGGGCGTGATGGTGGGCGCCTGTAGTCCCAGCTACTCGGGAGGCTGAGGCAGGAGAATGGCGTGAACCCGGGAGGCGGAGCTTGCAGTGAGCCGAGATTGCGCCACTGCACTCCCGCCTGGGCCACAGAGCGAGACTCCGTCTCAAAAAAAAAAAAAAAAAAAAAAAAAAGAAAAAGAGAAAAAAGAAAAAAGGAAGTGAGTTATTCATTTAAAATTACTCTTTATTATTTTCCCATGATTTTGCCTTTTTTGTTTGAATGCTATTTACAAAATTTTGTAAATTAAATATTAAAATGAGGAAATAAGCAATAATCAAAGTAGATGACTTGGGAAGAGTCAACGGCCTGGAAAAATGTGCATGTCAAAACATGGTTTCACTTAATTACCAGTATTCTTTCCACACAGCTCATCCTTTTGACTGTTAAACTTTTGGTAATAACTTTTTTGCAGACATCTTCTCATACTTGTAAACCACTACAAGGAAATAAATAGAGACCCACATACAAATGTCCAAATGTTTAAAATGTATAACTCTAGCTAACAATCTGTCAATAAATATTTTGCATCCTTTTTCTTCAAAAAATAGTATATAACTTCCTCATAACATAGAAGGCTGTGCTGGAGTTTAGAATTGCCAGATTGTTATAGGACCAACAGGTTGTACAGTAACAGCTTACTGTGCCATAACATGCCAACCACACTAAGACAGGAGATTTGCAGCAGATAATAACTTTAATGATCACAGTGTTCTGAGTGAGAACATTGGAGGAGACCCTAAAATCCATCTTTCCAAGGAGTTCTGGGCTGGAATTTTTAAGGGGATTGTGGAAGGTGAAAGTCTGGAAAATTCTGCTTGATTGGTCGCTGCAAGGGGGTATGAAATTATCAGGATGTGGACACTGCATTATTTGGTGAGTCAGTTGCTTCTGGGGACTGTCAGCACCACAGAGTCTGTAGTTTAATTGGGATGCAGTATAGAACAGTTGCAGAGAACTATAAACTGGGGTCTACCTGATTCTAGGAAATAGGCAATAAATGACTAGGAGAAAGCACTTCAGAGATCTAGCTCACCTAATAATTTATTCTGAAAATGTTGCAAGCTTGGTTTATTTTTATTTCTCCCAGTCTCTTCTTCCCTGATTAATTTTATGGCGTTTAAAAGGATGGTTTCAAGACCTCAGCATTGAGCAATATTGGCTCGTCTGCTCTGGAAAAAATGGGAAGAAAAAGGTAAGAAGCTCCTTGTTCAGACAGGGAATTTGGGATTTAGAATTCCAAGAGGAACTCTAGGAGCCAGAAAGCCTTCTCCTCCAGCAGGGTTAGATTGGGCAATTTTGGAAGGGCCATTAGGAAGTGCTCTATTGTGTTGGTCCCAGAGCAAGGGCCACTCTTTCTACCTTCACTCCTTCTTTCTGAAGCTAAGAGTTTGCTCTGTCCAGTGAGCAGTAAAAGCTTGTCCTTGCAACTTCTACTCTCTAACATTCCTTCTTCCAGATTTTACTTGGCTTCTTCTCCTGCTTTTGGATGGCTCTATCTACTGGTGTTGAAGAATTAGGAGATTTCTGCGACTTGAGGATTCCAAAAGATTATTTATCCCTCTCCCTCCACTACGCTTATGCATCCAGGTATATGATCACTTGGATATTACAGAGACTGTTTGTTTTTAGTCTCTGCCTTCTGGCCCCAGAATTAAACCTGTCTTATCTCTGAATGGATTAATTCTGGAAAACTCCCAGATTTCAATGAAGTCCAGCAAACAAAAAGATATGTTTTGGTGGAATCATCCAGATTACCTATGTACAAAGCGAGGCATCCTAGAAGCTCAGGCTCCTTCTCTTTCTTCTCTCTTCTTCTTTACCTTAACTAGTTTGCTACTTTTTATTTTCTTTTTTTGTAAGAGAAAGGTAATTATTTTTGAGAGCTGTCACTTTCAATTTAGCAAAATGGACCAAAAAATAATATGATATAACCATTCATCTAAAGACAATGTCTTGGTACTATTTAGTTGCAGACTTTTTATTCTATGTGGTTATGCATTTATTTTAATAATATAGTTGCACCTATACATAATAACATCAGTATTTTTCCATATTGTCAGAAACTCATTATTATAATTCTTAATAGTTACTAATGTGCAGATATCATCCCTTGTTTTTGCCGAATTATGGTTTAGTTATTTACTTCTGTTTAATGAACATTTAATATATCTGATTTCTATGTATTCTCTTTTCTCTTTTAAATTGTGTAGCTGCAAAGCCCCAATGAAAGCTTTGAAGGTAAATCTCCTTATGAAAACTTAACTAAAAAAAAGTCCTTTCCCGGAGTTCACTGGCATGTCTAGGTAAAGAATCAAATACAATTCCCCACTGAATTCAATGTGGGATTGTTTTGAAAATAAAAGAGTATTGTCTTTCAACCATTATGTTAAAGATTAACTTTCAAAATGCTCTAAAAGCTGATAAAGGAAAAGCATTACTTGGGTTCATAAATAAAATACTACTGTGTGTCTCAAAATTAAATCTGCAAGACATCAAAACATGATGTCTCTTTAGAATATGTAATCTATACATACGATACAATTCAACAGATTATAAGGTTGATTATCACTTATCTAAAATGCTTAAGACTGGAAAAGTTTTAGATTTTTGATTTTTTCAAATTTTGGAATATTTGCAGTATACTTATTGGTTTAACATCCCTAATACATATCCTAATACATATCCTAAAATATCCCGTATTTTAGGACATGCTAGAATTATTTGCTAAAATTAATGCTCTAATTAACATTTTCTTTCAATGTCATGTTGCTGCTCAAAAACTTTTGGATTTTGACCCTTTTTAAAAAAATTTCTTAATTTTTTTTTTGTGGGCACATAGTAGGTGTTTATATTTGTGGAGTGCATGAGATGTTTTAATACACGTTTTGGATTTTTAGATGAGGAATGCTCAACTTGTAATAGAGAGAATGGTGAAAAGTAATTCTGATAATTCTGTGCCCTCATCATCTTGTCTTTATGCTTTTTCTGAATATCATATAGTTAACAAATATTTATAGTACTCTAATAAAAAAAGCATCTTTTCAGCATTGGATGTATCCTCACAAGCAAGGAAGGGAGAATAAATATCTCAGTAATCTGGGATTATTTATTTAAACAGTACAAATAATTTATATTATTAAGGACAAAATTTACGTTCAAATTATCTGAAAAATGTTTTCTTCATATACCTATAATAGATATAATTAAAAAGAAATGCTAACTAACTTCAGTGTTGCTGAAAGAGACTTGGGAAGTTCTTGCTGTGATCAGTCTCTGAACTCTGGCATGTGCCTCTCCATTCTAGTGCATCCTATGCAGGGCTGCCCTATCTCAAAAGACCTATTTTTGACATAATAAGTGGGATTTGTGCTGCTCAGAAATGTCAGTGCATCCCTACTACCAATTGATTAATTACAACATACTCTGCTTAACACTGAAAGCCCTCCACTCTGTGACCCTGGCTTTTTCTAGTTTTATTTCATGTTGTTTTTAGTATCTATGTATCATATTCAGCCAAACAATTGAATTTTCAAAGTCTGATTTCTTTCTACCTTTTTTTTGTCATTACCTTTACATAGAGTTCCTTATTTCCACTTTCATCTGGCAAAATTCTATTTATCCAGAATAACAATATTATGAGGCCATTAATTTTGAAAATGTTAAACATTTATGATTAATTTATGATTAATTCTGTGTAAAATCAAAAAAGTAGAACACAATTTGAACAACATTTTAAGATGGAAGGAAAAAATACTTGGTGAGAATACTAAGGTAATTTCTTTAAAGTAGAATTTTGAGGGTAAACATCTGTGTATTAAATAGAATATCATTATATAAATATCAAATCCTGGCAGCTGATGTAAGGATACATAGAAAGATAAGAGTAGATGACCCAGAAATAGGTTCAGTGATATATAAGCAAGTATTAGTAACAAAGAATACAGCAAAAATTGATGGGGAAAGATTATTCAACTATAGTATTGTATAAGCTATGTTAGTACCTGGTATAAAAGTAAATTCAGAATTGCAGTTCACGTTGTATGCTAACATAAACAAGAGGTGTAAAGAATCCCTTTATGCCAGGAGTTCAAGACCAGCCTGGGAGACATAGTAAAACATCATCTCTACAAAAAATAAAAAGAAAATTAGCCATGCCTGGTGAGGTACCCTGTTGTCCTAGCTACTTTGGAGGCTAAGGTGGAAGAATCACTTTATTCCAGGAGTTTGAGACTGCAATGGGCTACAATTGCAATGCTGCTCTTCAGCTTGGGTGACGGAGTGAGACTTTGCCTCAAAAACAACAAAAAGCTTTAAGTAGCTATCTTATTTTAAAAGTATAATTCTTTCTTCTACAATGAATAAATTTACATATGACTAGGCCAGATGTATCAGGCAGAGATTGTTCTCTACTACTTATATCTCAAGAAAAATGAAAGACACTTACAAGGAAGCTCTAAGAAAAACATTTTTTTTCATCATTCTGGACTTTGAGATTATAATTCTTTAGACTGATTTCCTGTCTCGGTGGTGGATATCATCCTGGAACTTAATTTGTTCAAAAACCTCACATAATCTGATATTTTAAAAAACATGAAATGCATAGAATCCATAAATTATTGTGCGTTAAAAGTCTTCAGAAATTCAAGGATAATTTCTGTGGGATCTCAGGCCTTCTGCATTGTTGGGACTGAGACTCACAGCACTGGGTTGCAGACCTCTGTTAACAGGTCTGGACAAGGAATGATGTCAGCCCAGATAATTCTAAGGAAGGCTTTCTGCTTTGTTATAAGGCGAGTAATCATTGAAGTCTCTAGACAAGCTCACAATCATCATTCCAGCATACGCAAATACATCAGAACAGTTTCAGTATGCTCCTGGTTTATGAATCTTCATCTGCCTCTTTTTCATATTCCTTTTATTTTATTTATTTATTTATTGAGATGGAATCTTGCTCTGTCACCCAGGCTGGAGTGGAATGGTGCAATCTGGGCTCACTGCAACCTCCGCCTCCCGGGTTCAAGCATTTCTCCTGCCTCAGCCTCCTCAGTAGCTGGAGTTACAGGCGCCCGCCACCATGCCCAGCTAATTTTTTGTGTTTTTAGCAGAGAGGGGTTTCACCATGTTGGCCAGGCTAGTCTCGAACTCCTGACCTTAGATGATCCGCCTCCCTGGACCTCCCAAAGTGCTGGGATTACAGGCGTGAGCCAGCGCACCTAGCCCTTTTTCCCTATTCCTAAATATTTTCTCATAATTTGTTCCTTACATACTTATTTGCTGGAATACTCAGACCCTTCTTCGCCACTCATAAACTACAATGAGGATCCAATTCAAGTATCATAGGAATGGTTCAAGTAAACTTTTCTATAACTAGCCAAGAAAATAAATTGTTAATACACAGGGACTAGGGAAGCCCAAAGGAAGTGCTGCTAGGTCAATTATGGGCCCCAAGGCAGATATTCCATGGGTTATACTTAAAAGACACTCTATTGACCCCAGACGGGGAGAGCTGTTCAGGCAGAGACTCACAGGTGCAATTGATGAGAGAGGATAGAACATGAAGTGCATTGGAGGAATTGCCAGAAATTGGGTAAAATTGGATCGAAGGAATGTGACCTCATGGTCTCTGCATGGGACTGAGAATGTTAGAGTGCTTGTTGGAAAGACGCTATTCTGAAGGCAGAAAGACATTTAGATACCTATTGTAGAAATCCAGGTGAGAATGTAGAAAATAAAAATAAGGCAATAGTCAAAAAAAATCATGAAAGATTTGTAAATCAAGGAAAACATGATTATGGAAATATTTTCTTATAGACAAGAATAAATAATTATTTAAGGTGATCTCCTATACTGTAACTTAAATCCCGGAAAGATGACCTTGTTCCTCAGGTTTTGAGATATGGAATAAATGAAGAGATAAAACACAACATGTTGAATGTAAATGATTATGGAATACACAGCTGATGATGATGTGAGATGATACGTTATCTACATGATGAATTGAAATGAGGTGAATGATGTAGGCACTGACATGAGCTTTAGGCTACTATTGACCTTCTGTTTTCCTGAATCTGTGTTACTGTCCTTACTTGCAGTAAATGGCTTAGTGTCACTTGTTTTGGGGGATCTTTTGCTAAAATCTTCATAGAGGTTCAATGCTTTCTGAGGAAACATGTTGCCGTCAATTGGAACACGTTTCTTGCTCATGCTTTCTACACACACATTTAACGACCATTTCTTTAATCTTAAATAAGCCCTTATTATACACTGTGGGTGTAACTTCTGCTGTTTGAAACGCAGTGCAAAACTTGTTTGGATTTGTTTTTCTTCCTTCACAATTTTATGAGTAAAAGATTCAACCCACAACCTCAGCATATTTTTTTTTCATTTCTTTTTGAGTAGAAAACTTTTACCTTTTCATTTAAAAGAAGCACTTTATTATGGCTTCTCTTTAGCATATTTGAATGACCAGCATCACTACTTGTGTGATTTGGGGGCATTATTGAGTAAGAAATGAATTACTTCAACACAAGCACTGCCATACCATGGCAGTTGAATAAATTGATATCTGAGAGGTTACTGATGATTGTGCTGGTATAAATCATGTCCTAGGGCGGACAAAGTAGGACTGAAAAAGATTTCATCATAATATTCAGAGCAGCAGGGAACTTAAAAACTGTTTGTAGATTTTTTAACTTAATATTTTTTGGCGAAATTTTGATCCCTGGTAACTCAAACCTCAAAAAGAAAAAGTGTGTTCTCATTGCACATGCACCCTAGAACGTTAAGTATAATTTTATATATATATATATATATATATATATATATATATATATGAAAAACTATGGATAAGGAGGACTATTGCACATAACCATAGATACATTTTCTCCATGATTTGTATGTGGTTAAACATAAAATAAGCTGAGAAAATACATAAGCACTCTTGACTATAAGTCTTGTGGGGGCTATTGGCAAAGAATTCCTCTGTCAGAAAACGTTTGAGTAGCCGCTTCTGAAATCTCTTCTTTTTTTAATTGTCACATGACAGCAAAAATATTTGTTAAAGAAAGAAAAATATAATCCATCCCTATCATTTGGATTCTGTATTTGTGAATTAGCCTATGTCCTAAAACTTGTTTATAATCCTCAAATTATTACATTGCATTTCTAGTCATCATAGAACATCATGCACTATGTGGAGAAAAGCCTTAAAACAATAACTTATATTTCACCCATGAGATTGGCAAAGTTTTGTAAATTCAATAAGAGACCTCAAATTAGTGGGGTTATTTGGTTAATCAGTGATTTCTCTTAGAGTGGTAGAAAATAAAAAAAAGTTTTATCTTCCTGTTGGACTTCTCTGGGAATAGCCTATAAATGTACTAAAGCAGCATTTAGGACTGGAAGAGGTGGTTTATGCCTGTACTCCCAAGCACTTTGGAAGTCCAAGACCAGAGGATCATTTGAAGACAGGAGTTGGAGAACAGCCTGGGCTACAGAGCCATACCCTGACTCTATGAAAAGTTTTAAAAAACATTAGCCAGGTGGGATGGTGTGAGCCTGTAGTCCTAGCTACTTGGGAGGCTGAAGCAAGAGGATCCCTTGAGCCTTGGAATTCAAGGCTGCAGTGAGCTGTGAATGTACCACTGCACTCCACAAGGAGACAGTTTCTCTAGAATAAATAAATGTGCCCTTAGAGGAATGCCTGCATCTTGGATGAAACTCAATAAACAGTATAAAATGCATCTTAGTTAATTTCTAGTGTATGTCTAATCTCATAGGATTTATGTTACATATTATTCACTTCAGTCACGGTTTTTTGGAATGAAGGAGTGATGATAATTTAATCAGCGGTGCAAAGGTGTGTTCTAAATACTGCATAAACCTAATCATCTTATTCTCTACCTTTCTCAATACTCCACCCACTTAAAGAGGTGGGTGTGGTCTTCACAGATTCTTATAAAAGGACATAGAAGAGACAAGCTCAGTTTTATCCAAAGGAGAAGGAGCGCACTTAGAAGGAGCTGTATTTTGGTGACCTCTAAAAGTCAGTACTGCGGTGAATGAGCTCCTGACCTTGAGGAGTACTTAACAGAATTATTTCTCGAAGAATCATTGTGGGAACCATTCAAAGAAACCAGTGGTGAGTGAAACTTATATTGATAAAATTATATCTTCTTTCCTTTACAAAATAATAAATTAGAGTGTTAAAAATAACTCATTATCTTAAATCTACACAATGATACCATTGTAATTCATATTCTTGCTATAGATTTTATGAATTATTAGGGTACTAATTGTTGTTATTTTGTGTTTTCTATCATTCTTCAATATTGTTTCAAAAAAATTGAAATATCTAGTGTTTGCTGCAACAGATACGTATGCATAATGAATATATGGAGTTGATATTAATACATATATGTACACATAAGTGTGTGTAAATATATGTGTAATGAGTGCATTAATATTAAACAATTGAATTGAGAAGACATTAATGAATGTTAATTCATTCATTCAGCTTTTAGTCATAACTTTAAATTAGTAAGGTAATGATGAGAGATGCAAAATAGTGAAACTGAAAAAAATGAGAAAGCTCCCCAAAATTTCCTAGTTTGGAAATCAAAACACAATTTTCTGACCAAATAAATGTATAAGATATAATTTGATACGTGATGGTGGTTGCCATCTCACTTGAGTCTTAATCTTATTAAACTATGAAAAATTCCTTAAAATGAATTAGATGACCTCTGGAGACTATTTACAATTCTAAGATTTTTCATTTCTTTCACTAAAATTCAGCAATGTTATCAAGTACAGGAGAGTAAAGTAAAGGACTTAAAATTGCCAAACAAAGACCATAGTTTATATATTACTCAGGGCTCTCCAGACAGACAGAATGATAGGATGTGTATGTATATATGTAGAGATACATTCATGAGCCGTTTCAGTCAACCACAAACCACACATGGTGGTCACATAAGATTATAATACCAGTATGTTTAATGTACCTTTTCTGTATTTAAATATGTTCACATGCTAAGTAATTACCACTGTGTTACAATTGCCTACAGTATACAGTACAGAACATGCTGTACAGTTTTGTAGCCTAGGAGCAACAGGCTGTACTGTATACCATAGGTGTGTAGCAGGCTATACCATCTAGGTTTGTGTAAGTATAGTCTATAATGTCAAAACATATAAAACCGCCTGGCTGGGTGCAGTGGCTCACGCCTGTAATCCCAGCACTTTGGGAGGCAGTGGCAGGCAGATCACTTGAGGCCAGGTGTTCAAGTCCAACCTGGCCAATATGGTGAAACCTTGTTTCTACTAAAAAAAGAAAAAAAAATGAAAAAATTTACCGGGTGTAGTGAGGTGTTCCAGTAATCCCAGGTACTCAGGAGGCTGAGACAGGAGACTCGCTTTGACCTTGGAGGCAGAGGTTGCAGTGAGCCAAGATTGCACCACTGCACTCCAGCCTGGGTGATAGAGTGAGACTCCATCTCAAAAAGTAAATAAATAAAACCTCCTTACACATTTCTCAGAACATATATCTGTCATCAAGCTACACATGACTCTACCTGAGAGGGAATTCATCAGGAAAATTCCTTTGCTTGATTATGGAGTCTGAGCAGTTCTAATATAGGCTGCCTTTAAGCTGATGTCCTGAGGATACCGGTATCTGGACTGAGCTCAAGGCTGAAAGCCTCAGAACCAGCTTCAGGAGAAAGAAAGAGGAAATTGCCTTTCCTCTGGCTTTTTCCTTTTATCTGAGCTACCAGCTGATTGAATGGTGCCCACTCACACTGAGGGATGATGGTCCCACTCAGCTCACCAACTCACATGTCTGTCTCCTCTGGAAACACCTTCACAGACTCACCCAGAAACAATGCTGCACCAGTTCCCTAGGTATTGGTTAATCCAGTCAGACTGATATCTAAAATTCACCATCACACCATAGAGATGTAATCACACCTCTCTGAGTTTAACAAAAATCATACTATATGTTAGTTCAGAGTTTGGGTATCCCTAGGAGAAGTTAATTTAATCCACGAGAAAATAAAAAGGCCCAATATCTTTAATTATGTTTTTCTCTTCTATTAAACCAAAATTGATTTAATTGCTGGTTTTTTGTTTATTTGGTTGGTTGATTGGTTTTTCTATTTTGTTTTGGTTTGGTTTTTTATTTTACTTTAATTTTATATTATTTTAAGTCCTAAGATAAATGTGCAGGACATGCAAGCTTGTTACATAGGTAAACATGTGCCATAGTGGTTTGCTGCCCCACTGTTGTGTCTCTAAAAATATGTCGTAGAACCCTCTAGCCATCTTCTCATATTTCCTTGGCCAAGGTAGTTTTTCCCAGTCTTTCCTACTCAGCAGTTACGTGAAAGAAGAATAGGAACAACTACAATTTATTCTAGGTCATGTAGAATCAAACCCAATTTCCAGATCAACATTCAGAAAACGGGAAATTGAATAGATTGGTATTATGTTACATACAGGAAATAAGAGTATAAAGGGTTGTGAGTCATCTAGTCAGTAACATCTACTATAAAGCCGAGAGACTCTCTCTGTGTGAGATTTTTATTTTTGTTACAGAATAAATAGAGTGCTGTGCCTTAATGAATACTGTCAAGAGAAGAAAATAGGGCTATCAGGTATCTCCACATGTTCAGAAACTTTTCATCAACCCAGACCCCAAAATGACATGTTGCTCTTTCTTCCTCAGAAACATGAATTCTGGAATCTTGCAAGAATTCCAGATGGAACTCACCTGCCCCATCTGCATGAAATACTTCATAGACCCGGTCACCGTAGACTGTGGGCACAGCTTTTGCAGGCCCTGTTTCTACTTCAAGTGGCAAGACATCCCAATTTTTACTCAGTGCTTTGAATGCATGAAGACAACATGGCAGAGAAACCTCAAAACTAACATTCATTTGAAGAAGATGGCTTCCCTTGCCAGAAAAGTCAGTCTCTGGCTATTCCTGAGCTCTGAGGAGCAAATGTGTGGCACTCACAGGGAGACAAAGAAGATGTTCTGTGAAGTGGACAAGAGTCTGCTCTGTCTGCTGTGCTCCAGCTCTCAGGAGCACCGGTATCACAGACACCGTCCCGTTGAGTGGGCTGCTGAGGAACACCGGGTAAGTGATGCCTCTGAAGATCTATTTCTATAAAGGACACATGAAATTCCTGTGGGTCTATTTTCTTGGAGATGGAGTAAAGCCAAATCTGAGTCCCTTTAAGCAGCTCACTTTTGGGCTTTCTTAGCTTCAAACCTCTGAGATTTGATGAAGAAGAAGGGAAATAGAAGAAATGCCATTTACTATGGGCTTATTTGTCTCTCATTCTGTGCCCCCTCCCTATGAAACGGTCTGCATGTTACTTTATTGTTTTCACTGGTGCTTCAATTTATGGCTCTTTTGCAGGAGAAGCTTTTAAATAAAATGCAGTCTTTATGGGAAAAAGCTTGTGAAAATCAGAGAAACCTGAACATGGAAACCGCCAGAATCAGCCACTGGAAGGTTAGTCCTGTGCTACTCTACCTTATCCAGGAAATTATGGTGGGCAAATGGGTGACTCTTAAAATAGGAACTTGTTATCAAACTCTAATGTTTCTGGGAGTCAATAAAAGAAAAGAAAACATTGAGAAAAAGTGACCTCATTTCTTATATAGAATAGTACGACTGTTAGATAGGATTTCTAAGAAAACTACTGAAGTCACCCAAAGCATGCTGGTTTGTTTTCATACAAACCTGTAGCTATACACCAACAGATGCAAGAAACTGGGCCATCTCACAGCATTCTATATGTGCTGGTTGGATAAACGCTTGGCACAAGATTCATTTGGCAGTCATAGAAAGCTCAAGTGAACCTCTGAGCCTGGGTCAGCATTAATCTGAATGCTGGTGGACAAGTAGTATTTGGAATTGTATGGAAAATTTGAGGCAGAAAGAGTGACAGGGGAAATCTAGGGCAACCATGAAATTAAGAATCTCAACTAATTAATACTGAATAATACATAACATATGATGAGAAAATTGGTGAGAAAAATTGATTTGTGTCTTGAGGGAGACATGTAAACATGCTCAAAATATGGGAACTAGTAGCTAAATATAAGGAGAACTCTAAGGACTTCAGAGAAATATTAAAAATGATTTTCTATTTGTGGATGTATACTTTGAGGGTATTATAGCTAATATTAGTGTGTTGAAAAGTATTTCATAAGAACCTAGTCTATGTTGAATATTAAATTAGAAAATTTGCTAGTATAGCAGAAAGAAAGCATCTTTGTCCTCACAAATCGTACAATCCAAATGAGACAGAAAAAATGGTCAACATGCAAATATGTGCAATACATGATGTGTTCGAGTGTGGTAGGTTCTTTGTTGGAGAATAATCAAGCAGGGAAGTAGAAAAGGACAATAGAGGCCAGAAACTGGAGATTAGGTCTGATTTTTAAATAGGGTGGTCAGAAAAAAGACTCACTGAAAAATTCAATTTGAACAAAATTTTGAAGAGGAGAGGGAACACGAATGTGTATATGTATATATATATATATGTGGACCATGAATGTGTATATATGTATAAGTGTGTGTGTGTGTGTGTGTGCATAAAATTCTAGTTGGAGAGAACAGCATATGCAGTAATTTTGAGTTTGTGTATATTTGGAGGCCGGAGGAACCACAAAGAAGTCTATGTTTCAGAATGGGATAACTTAGAAAAAGAAACGAAGGAAATGAATTCAGAGAGACAAAGATGGCCAAATCATAAATGCAGCCTCATTAAGATAGGTTTTGCTGGGTGAAATGAATTTAGCTGGACATGCTAGCCTAAGGTCATTTCACATAAAATGAGTTTAAGCAACTTTTGCGTATCTCAGAAATAGAAATAATTATTTCCATTCTAGTAACTATAGCTCTATACTCCAACTCTTAAGCATGAGCTGTTCTTACTTTTCCATAAATATTGGCTGGAATAGCGAAATTCAAATTGTGTTTTTTTTTATTTCCAACTGCCTTAGAAAACACATTATCTTGAATAAATTTAATGTAATTGGTCAGATACAGCTATGTTGATTTTTATACAGAAAGAAAGGAAAGGAACAAAATTTTGTGGATTCTAGGAACTAGAAAGACTGAGGTTTAAATTATTGGATATTCAAGAGACAAAAAGAATCAGTGAGATTTAATAGGAGATGAATAAATACATTTCTCTTTTGACTAACCCATTATCACTGCAGGATTACGTGAATTTAAGGCTAGAAGCAATTAGAGCTGAGTATGAGAAGATGGCTGCATTTCACCATGAAGAAGAAAAACATAATTTGCACATGCTGAAAAAGAAGGGGAAAGATATTTTTCATCAACTTCATTTAAGTAAAGCCAAAATGGCTCATAGGAGGGAGATTTTAAGAGGAATGTATGAGGAGCTGAAGGAAATGTGCCATAAACCAGATGTGGAGCTACTTCAGGTACAAACTCACAATGTAGTTTCAGGTTTTTCACTATTCACATGTGTAAGTATATTCCTCATGGCTGAAATCCATCTCCCAACCTTTATTTCCATGATGTGTTTCCAAAAACACATTCGCATAACTAATGCTACTTTATTGGGAGAGTATAGCCCCGCCAAGGGATTCTACCAGGCCAAAGGTCCCTCCTACTTTATCCACCAGCCACAAAACTCTGTGGAATGGTCAAGGTAACAGCCCCAATAACTATTCCCCATCTAAGTCAATAATATATTTTGGGTTGTTTAACATGTATAAAATAGTGAGTGATTCATTTACATTTAGGATAATTTGAGGACATGGCAAGATCAGAAGTTTTGGGAATCTAGGCTCACATTAATATTATTTTGAGGTCCACTCATTTGGGTAATAGGTTCTGGGAAAGATGACTGAGTAGGTTATTTGAAGTTACCACAGAGCATAGACTCTCTGGGCCTCTTCTCCCTTCACTTCTGGAGAGAATGTCTTCAAGACTCAGACTTTACCAGGACATTAATTAATGACAAAATGACTAACTGGGTTTTTCATTACAGAAGAAATAGAAAATGCTTTCCAGATGGGAGGGAAATAATATCTTCAGAAACTGACTCCAAATTTCACACTGAACTTAGTGAAAGATGCATCTTGTAAAATGCCCTAAGTATTTCTATTTTTTTTTACAGGGTTTTGGAGACATATTACAGAGGTGAGTGTTTACCTAGATTTTAGCATACATTCTTTCAGTTTCCACGAATATCAAAGCAGGCTCTACCAAAGTCATGGCATAAATGAGTAAGATATTGATACTACCTTTTTTTTTGCATCTGCTTTCACTCTTACACCAGAAAAGACAAGAACACTAAATAAATAAATAAATAGATAAATAAATAGTGAAATTAAAAAAATGTTTATTCCTGATTTTGTTTTATTGCTTAAAAGCCTGCATAGGTGAAAGATAAAGTTTTGTTTTGTGGATGGTGAGAAAGTCACCAGAGGAAGCAGGAGAGAAGTGGGGGAAGTATTTTAGCAGTCAAAAAGTTGATGATTTATTGTTCATACCTATATACAAATCAGTTAACAGTCCTGAAAAATAGGTTGAAAAAACTGTGGAGTGTTAGAACTGTATAAGTCTCTAGGGAAGCTTGTTTCTAAAAGGCAGGTCTAGCTGCCTGGAACAAGTTTCACATTCTTTATCTTGAAAAGGAAGCAGCAGATGCAGCAGTCTTCCCAAAACCCCGCTATTTCAGACAAAGATGTCAGGGGAGTCTGCCAAGAAGTGGAACTCAGAATTTCATTTCCAAATATTCTCAAGGCCATAAGGCTAAGGAACCTTACACATGTGGGGCAGAAAAAAAGAAAGATCAGACGGAATTCTGACTCAGGCTCTCCCACTATGCTTTAAAATTGGGAAACTATAAATAGAAATTAATTCCAAAAAAGAAGTAATAATTTTTGAATAATCAAATTTGTGGATTCAGAGGATTCTCATGAGCTGTCTTTTAAATAGAAATAGTGATTTTTATTTATTTTATGGCTGTAGATGTTGTAACTGCAGGTTTTTCCTTGCAGGAGTGAGTCCGTGCTGTTGCACATGCCCCAGCCTCTGAATCTAGAGCTCAGTGCAGGGCCCATCACTGGACTGAGGGACAGGCTCATCTAATTCTGAGGTAAGTCTCCACCCATAGGCAGCACTCCCACTATCTAAATATTGTTATTGTTAGGATCCCATAGGTAATATTTCACCCATTATCAAATATTTTACTTCTTTATAGACATAAGCGAACAACATAATCATGCAACCCTTTTGTATCTGTGTCTATATAGTCAGATTTATAGCATTAAGTTTGAAAGATAGTGAAAAACAAATACGTTATGGCCTCATATGTACTGAGTAATGTAATGGGAAAGAGGAGTAGGGTAGCAAATTTAAAAAAGGAGCAAATGGAACAATGCTCAGAATGAAGGTGAGTTATTTAATGTTAAATACAAAATTTTACGTTTCCTTAGTGTATTCATTTGAACAGCTAAGAACTGTTCTTTTGAGGATTATCGTTTACTGGGGATTGCTGGGGGGTTTTAATTTTTTAAATGGATACGTATCATGTATTGCAAAAAAAATTAGTTAATGGGTAAACATAAAAAGAAGAAATCATTTTGTGAATACAAGTAAAATTACAAACAAAGAGAAGTTCAGTTTAATTGCAATATGAAAAGCTACAGGTTAAGCTTAAAATCCAGCTTCAGCCCCAAGCTAGCATGGAGGACCACAGAGAGACTGGTAAAAGATTTTACAGAAATCTGCTTTAAATGGTCACTTATGACATGTACTTATGGATTTTTATCCAGTCATCAACAGCAGTTCTTGAGTAACTGAAAATCTTCACATTCTTTCCAAAATGATAGCACTAGTTTTTAAGAATAAGAAACATTTCTAAATAATGATCTTGATAACAACATAGTATTTAGGGCATATAATGTGTAAATTTTGCTTCAAAAATTGGATTGAAAGAAGTTGGTCTTACATTTGGCTCTCAATATATAAGTTTTCAAAACATTTTTAATACCTGTGGTTAGTGTTTTGTTTGTCTTGTAGTTAAAATTAATCATCTCTATGCTTTATTAGAAGTTACAAGCAAAATTGTCCTTGTGACTTTACTTTTCCTGGTAAATTAACTTCTTGATAGAACAATTTTTGCTTATTGACACATGTCTATGTATGTTTTGTTTCTCTTTTATTTATTTATTTATTTTTGCAGTGGATATTACTCTGAATAATGATGAGCCAACAGTCGTATCTTTTGATGTGGAGATTTGAGAAGCATGTGTATTGGATGTGACCGTCAAAATCCACCCCATATCACTGCAACACCTACAAGTTTTCTTGCATGGGGTGCTCAGACTTTCACCTCCAGCAAATATTACTGGGATGTCCATGTGGGGGACACTTGGAATTGGGCTTTTGGTGTCTGTAATAAGTATTGGAAAGGGAAGAATCAGAATGGCAATATATATGGAGAGGAGGGACTCTTTAGTCTTGGATGTGTCAAGAATGACATTCAGTGCAGTCCCTTTACCACCTCCCCACTTACACTGCAATATATCCCAAGACCTACCAGCCTCATAGGATTATTCCTGGATTGTGAAGCTAGAACTGTGAGCTTCGTTGATGTTAATCAAAGCTGCCTTATATACACGATCCCTAATTGCTCCTTCTCGCCTCCTGTCAGGCCTATCTTTCGGTGTGTTCACCTCTGACCAGAGATAAATCAGAAATATGTTCATCTGCTGTGAGAACCCGTTTACTCCAGGAAGCCCTCTTCCTTGTGCCTTATCAAACAGGACAAATAGGTTCTGTTTTATGTCTTGAATTGCCTCCTAATGTTATTAAAACTCAGTTATTGTGTTACTATTAAAAATGGTAAAAACACTAAAAGTATATGTATTGGTTCTTTATTAATTTTTGAAAAATCATTATTCATGATCATGGCATAAAATATATTTTTTTTTTTTTTGTTTATTTCTGACTGCTACTGAGTGAAATAATAGATGACAGACATGTCTGAATGGAGTTAAAATCAATGGAAGAGAGTCGGGATCTTTTGCTTCATGCAAAAGCTTGGAGTGAAGTCTTAATGATAATTGGGAAATGTTTTTCTTTCTCTTTACCTAACTATATTGCACTTATCCATCACATTTCATTTTACTAATCTATCCTTTGAGTTAATATTATTTAACCTTCCATGCCGGGCTTCATTTTGGAATTCTCACCACTTATATAAATAATCCCACATTATTAGTGTGCTCTTCTACATTGAAATACACAAGGTGGTCAGAACAATGCTGGATTAATTGAATTTCAAAAAATAACTAAATATTGATTCCTACCTCAAAACACACACAGTCATTTCCAAATAGATTCAAGTCCTGAAGGTAAGGGGAACATGATAAAATATTCTCATAAGGATTTCTTAACCAGGACAAAAATTAACAATTAAAAAAATTAGTTGGTTTATATTAATGATGACTTCTGTGTTTCAAAAAACATGACACAAGAATTGAAATGCAAACCATTAGTGGAGAAAGATATTCACCCAAACATATATAAAATAAAATACAATACATGTGCATGATTAATACTTAAAATGTATTTTATTTTTCCAGATTCTTCCAGAGTGGCATAGAATAAACCTAGATGGCAGAGTCAATGATGAGATTAGCTGTGGAAATGGGAAACCGTTTTTTGGAGGACAGTAGTAATGCTGTGAACTTGTGAAAACAACCAAGTATTCAGTAGCAACTAAAATGTGTCTCCATAAGATTATTTTACAGATGCGTATCTGAAATCTGAAATTTGGGAGAACATTCTACTAATGTTCTCTAGTAAAAAAATACAGCTGGAAGGAAGAAGGGAGGGAAGATGAAGGAGAGAGAAATTGAATGCATTTGAGAGAAAATGCTATTTAGACTAAAATAGAATACTGCAGATACCACAACAAAGTGGTTAAGGTGTGTCTTATGGAGCAGAAATGGCAGAAAATACCACAGTAAAGAGATTTACAATTGGATTGTTAGTTCTGGCTTTTATTCTGTCAGTGTTTTGGCTTCTAAACACATCAGTAATCTCCTTTGATCCATGTGCTAATTAACAACCAACACTCTGCCCCCTCTCCCAGATTCTTTCATTGTTTTAAACCTAATCTAATTCTAATCCAGCTGGTCATTGTGACACATGTAATCAACTAAGAATTTAAAAAATATTTTTGATGAATAAATGAAAAATTAGCTAGGTCCAATGGCATAAACCTATAGTCTTTTTTACTTTGAAAGCTGAAGTGGGAGGATTACTTGAGCTCTGGAATTCAATGCTGCGGGGAGCTAAGAGTGTGCCACTGCACTCCAGAGGGTGAAACTTTCTTTGGTATAAATAAATAAATGTGCACTTAGAGGAATGCTTGTGCCTTGGAAGAAACCCAAGAAATAGTATTAATTTCAGTTAATTTCTAGCATATGTTTACTCTAATAAGATTGATGATAGATATGCCTCATTCAGGCAGTGGTTTTTACAATGATAGTGTGAGGCTAATTTAATCAGTGATGAAAAGGTGTGTACTAAATATTGCATAAACCTAATCATCTCTGTCTCCACCATTCTTAATACCCTAAATATCACTAAAGAGGTGGGTGTGGTCTTCAAAGATTCATATAAAAGGATGTAGAAGAGACAAGCTCATATTTCTCCAGAGGAGGACAGCACTTAGAGTTAACTGCATTCAGGTGACCTTGGAAAGTCAACTGTGCAGGGAATGAACTCCTGATCTTGGGGAATACTTAAAAGAATTTTTTCTTGGAAGAATTACTGCAGGAAACATTCATAGAACCTTGGGGTGAGTGCAACTTATATGGAGAAAATTATTTCTCTCTTCCTTTAAAAGAGTAAATTACAGTGATAAAAATATCTAACTGTCTAAACTTACTTAATGATCTTATTTGTAACTCATATTATTGCTATTCATTTTATGACATGAGGTTATTAATTGTTGTCATTTTGTGTGTTCCAAAAGTTTTTAATATATTTTTGAAAAATTTTAGATATCTAGTGTTTGCTGCAATAGATTTGTATGCATCATGGATATATGGAATTCACATTAAAACCTATATATGTGTACTGCATGTACTAATATTGGTACAGTTAAGTAAAAAAGGATAATTATTGAATACTGTAAATGTGCTTTCATAACATTAAGCTTTTAGACATGATTTTAAGTTACTGAGGCAATGATGAGTTAAAAATGGTGATACTAAAGGAAATAAGAATGCTCTCCAAAATGCCCTAGCTTAGAAATCAAAACACAATTGTTTAGCAGATAACTGTATAAGGAATGATTTGATACTTGATAGTAGTTGTCATTTTAATTGAGGCTTACCTCAGATGAAACTATGAAAAATTCCTTGAAATGGCTCAGATGACCTCTGAAAAATATTTGCAATTCTTAAATTTTCACTTTTGGTACTTAAATTCAGCAGTGTTTAGTAAAAGAGAGTCAGGTAAAGGACTTCAAACTGCCAAGGGAAAGATTCCAGTTTGTATTGGTCAGGGTTCTCCAGAGAGACAGAACCATAGGATGTGTACATAACTATATATATATATATATATATATATATATATGTATATATACCAAAAATACTTACAACTCTGGTACAATTGCCTATCGTATACCATACAGGTTTGTAGCCTAGGAACAATATGCTATACTGTATACCATAGGTGTGTAGTAGGCTATACCATCTAGGTTTGTGTAAGTATACCCTATGATGTTCAAACAATAACGAGACTGTCTAATGCGTCCCTCGGATCATATATCTGTCCTCACTCTACACATGACACTGTACAGGAGAGGAAGTCCACTAGGAGAATTTGTTCCCTTGATTATGGAGTCTGAGAAGTTGAACACAGGCTGTCATTAAGCTAGTGTCCTGGAGATACCAATATCCTGGCTGAGTTAGAATCAGCTTCAGGAGAAAAAGAGGAAACTGCCTTCTCTCTGCCCTTTATCTTCAGTCTGAGCTACCAGCTGATTGGATAGTGTCCACCCACATTGAGGGTTGCTGTTCCCCACTCAGCTCACCAACTTACATGTCTCTCTGCAAACACCTTCACAGACTCACCCAGAAATAATGCTATACCAATTCTCCATGTATTATTTAATCCAGTCAAGTCAACACCTATAATTAACTGTAATACCACAGTAATATAATTATATATATTTCAGTTTTTAAAAAACTGACTATATGTCAGTTCATAGTTTGAGTAGCCCAAAGAAGAAGTTAATTTAAGCCATAAGAAAAACCCAATATTTTTCATTATTTATTTTATCTCCTAGTGAGCCTAGACTGGTTTAATTGTTGTCTTTTTGTTTATCTGGTCGGTTGGTTTGTTCTGGGGTTGTTTTTGTTTTAAAGAGCCGGCTTCTGGGTCCCTTTCTCTAAAAATATGTCATAGCACCCTCTGACCATCTTCTCATGTTTTGTTACCCAGTGTAGGTTTTCTACACCTCTCCCACAGTCATTCAGTAGTTATTTGATAGAGAAATAGGGACAAGCATGTTTTATGCTAGACCACTTAAGATTAAAACCCGAGTTTCATATCGACATCCAGGGAATAGGTTTTTGAACAGATTTGCATTATGTTATGGGCAGGAACTAGGAGTAGAAGAGGTTGTGAGTCATCCAGTCAGTAGTGTCTGCTATAAAGCCTTAAGACTCTCTTTGTGTATGAATTTTTCATTTTTGTTACAGAGGAAATAGTTTGTTCCGCTTTAATGAGCACTGTCAAGAGGAAAATATAGCTATCACATATGGTGATATGTTCACAGATTTTCACCAACCCAGAACCCAAAATGACATGCTGCTCTTTCTTCTTCAGAAACATGAATTCTGGAATCTTGCAAGTCTTCCAGAGGGAACTCATCTGTCCCATCTGCATGAACTACTTCATAGACCCAGTCACCATAGACTGTGGGCACAGCTTTTGCCGGCCCTGTTTCTACCTCAACTGGCAAGACATGGCAGTTCTTGCTCAGTGCTCTAAATGCAAGAAGACAACACGGCAGAGAAACCTCAAAACTAACATTTGTTTGAAGAACATGGCTTCCATTGCCAGAAAAGCCAGCCTCCGGCAATTCCTTAGCTCTGAGGAGCAAATATGTGGGACGCACAGAGAGACAAAGGAGATGTTCTGTGAAGTGGACAAGAGCCTGCTCTGTTTGCTGTGCTCCAACTCTCAGGAGCACCGGAATCACAGACACTGTCCCACTGAGTGGGCTGCTGAGGAACGCCGGGTAAGTGATGCCTCTGAAGATCTATTTCTATACAGGACACATGGAATTCTTGTCAGCCTATTTCCTTCGAGATTGGATGATGCCATCTCTGTGCCCCCTTAAACATGTCTGTTATGAGCTTCCTTGACTTCACACCTCTCAGATTTGACAGACATGAGGAGAAACAAAGCAAACTCTATTTTCTGTGGGCTAATTTGTCTCTCATTTTGGGTCCTTCGTATATCAGAGTGTGAATGATACTTTATTGTCTTCACTTGTGCTTCAATTCATGGCTCTTTTGCAGGAGGAGCTCCTAAGAAAAATGCAGTCTTTATGGAGAAAAATGTGTGAAAATCACAGAAACCTGAATATGGCAACCAACAGAATCAGATGCTGGAAGGTTAGTAGTGTGTTACTCTACCTTCTCCAGGAACTTATGGTGAACAAATGGGTGACTCTTAAAATAGGAACTTGATCTCAACCCATAATGTTTCTGGAAATCAACAAACAAGGAAAAAACACTTGAGAAAAAAACACCCTAATTTTTTATATAAGTTAGTGTGACTCTTTGGTAGGATTTCTAATCAGACCACAGATGTTACCCAAGCATGCTCATCTGTTTCCATACAAACCTATAGCAATACTCCAACAAATACAAGAAACTGGGCCATTTCACACTGTTCCCAGTGGGCTGCCTGGATAAATTCTGGACACATGTGTTATTTGTCAGTCATGGAAATTTCAGGTGACTCTTCTAAGGCTGAGTCAGCATGAAATTGAATGCTGGTGGGCAAGTATATTGAAATGTGAGCTACATTTCAGGCAGAAGGAGCAAGAGTGCAA
This sequence comes from Homo sapiens, assembly GCF_000001405.40. Taxonomy (NCBI): domain Eukaryota; kingdom Metazoa; phylum Chordata; class Mammalia; order Primates; family Hominidae; genus Homo; species Homo sapiens. The sequence continues at coordinate 48,980,462 of NC_000011.10, read as the reverse complement.
CCTTAGGGAAAGCATGAAATTAAATATCAGAACTAATTAATATTGAATCAGTCATAACACATATAAAGGGAAAAGTGGTGAGAAATGTAGACTTGTGTCTTGATGAAGACATAAATATGTGAGAAATATGGGAACTAGTATTTTATATAAGGAGAACTCTAAGGACTTGAGAAGAATTCTAGAAATGATTTTCTCTTTGTGGATGTTTATATTGAGGGTATGATATCTAATATTAATTCATTAATTTATTGTAATATTCATTGAAAGATATTTTGTGAGTACCTAGTCTAGGTCAAATATCAACTTAGAAAATTAAGGAGTAAAGAAGAAAGAAAACACAAATCTTGCAATTGAAATGAGAAAAGCAAATGGCCACCGTGCAGATATGTGATGTATATGATGTGTTAGAGTGTAGTAGTGTCTTTGGAGAATAATCAAGCAGGAAGTTAGAAAAGGAGCACAGAGTCCAGGGACTGGGGATGAGGGTTTGAGTTTTAAATAGGGTGGTCAGACAAAAGGCTCATGGAAAAATTCACAGAGAAGCAAAACCTTGATCAGGAGCAAATATATATATCCTCCTGTTTGCCTTCCTCTTCCTCATAAATATATGAATATATATGTGTATCTGGGTGTCAGTGTATATATATTATATATATATATGGATATATATGAGGAATATATATGTACACACAGATACATGTATATATTCCTCAAATATCCATATATACCTATATTTGAGAAATATATATGAGTACATATATGAGAAATATGTATATATACATGAAAATAATTCTAGTTATAGAAAACAGCATGTGCAGTAATATTTAATTTGCATTTATTTGGGGGTTTGAGGAACCACAAAGATGTCCATGTAGCCGATTAGGGTGAGTTTGGAAGAGAATAAATGAAACCTTTTTAGAATATGTTATGCTGGGTGAAATGCATTGAGTTGACAATGCTAGTCTGTGGTCATGTCATCATTTGTCATATAATGGTTTTACATAACTTGCCCCAATTCTCCAAAATAGAAATAATGGTTTCTTACCTAGTCAGCATAACTTGATATTTTGATTCTTAAGAAAAAACTGTGTTTTCTTTCTATAAATGTGGTGTGGAAGAGAGAAATCCATTTTTATACAACTATCTTAGAAAACATTTTATCATTAATCAAGTAAATATAACTGGGCAGAAACAACTATGTTGATATTAATACAGAAATGAAAGGAATAAAATTTTGTGGAATCTGAGAATTGACAAGATCGAGGATTAAAATATTGGGTGTTCAGAATGCTAAGAGGAATCAGTGAAATTCAAGAGAAGATGGATAAAACATTTCTATTTTGACTAATTGTCACTGCAGGATTATGTGAGTTTAAGGATAGAAGCAATCAGAGCTGAATATCATAAGATGGTTGCATTTTTCCATGAAGAAGAGCAACGTCACTTGGAGAGGCTGCAAAAGGAGGGCGAGGACATTTTTCAGCAACTCAATGAAAGCAAAGCCAGAATGGAACATTCCAGGGAGCTTTTAAGAGGAATGTATGAGGATCTGAGGCAAATGTGCCATAAAGCAGTTGTGGAGCTATTCCAGGTACGGACTGACCATGGGTTATCATGATGTTGAAGATTCAAGTGGATGGGTGTTTTACCTCTCTCCTGAAATCCGTCTCCCCCTTTACTTCCATGATTTGTTTCCAAAAACACGATTCTATAACTAATGCTACTTGGTTGGGAGGGTACAGCCTCTCCTAGTGATTCTACCAGACCGAAGGTCCCTCCTACTTTATCCACCAGCAACAAAACTATGTGGAATGGCCAAGGTAACAGACATCCCCAAGAAATATTTCTCATCAAAAGTCAGTGATATATTTAGGATTTTTGAAAGTAGATAAAATGAGAAGTGATTCATTGGCATTTAGGCTAATTTGGAGACATGGCATGATGGAGAAGTTGGGGAATCTAGGATCACACTAATATTATGTTGGGGTCCACTCATTTTGGTAACAGGGCTTAGGGAAGATGACTGAGTAGCTTCTTCATGGTTACAGCAGAGCATAGACTCTGTGGGCCTCCTCTCCCTTCACTTGTAAAAAGAATGTCTTCAAAACTTAGACTTTATCAGGACATAAATTCATGACATATGATAGACTGGGATTTTCATGAGAAAAGAAACAGAAAATGCTTTCCAGGAGGGAACACTGTAGGAAAATAATATCTTCAGAAACTGTCTCCATATCACACAATGAACTTAGTTGAAGATGCATCTTGTGGAAAGCACTAAGCCTTTCTATTTTTTTTACAGTCTTTTGGAGACATATTACAAAGGTGAGTACATACCAAGATTTTAGCAGATTCTTTCAGTTTCCACAAATATCAAGCAGGAACTTTGATATTGAAGGTATAAGTGATTCAGATATTGATACTACCTTGTGCTGGTTGTACTTTCTCCATCCCCCACCCCATGTAGTCATCTATTTTGTTGCCATACTCAGTGATTTTATTAAGCAGTTCAATGAAAGTTCTGCAAAACCAAAAATAAATAAATAAATAAATAAATAAATAAAAAAGAAAGAGAACAAAAAATAAATAAATGAAAGAAATAAAGGAAGTGAGCATCTCTATTCCTAATTTCCTTTTTATTGCTCAAAAGCCTTCATATTTGCAAGAGAAAATATTGCATTTACTACATGGCTACAAAGTAAACCAGGGGAAGCCAGAGAGAAAAGGGGAAAGTATTTTAGCAGTGAAAAGTGTTGATGATTTCTAGTTTATATTTAAATATATAATTCTGAAAAATAGATGAAACAAACTATTTGGAATGTTTGAACCGTGTAGGCCTCCAGAGAACCTCAACTATTAAAGGCAGATCTCCCTGCCTGGAGCACGTTTCAACACCCTGGCCTTGAGAAGGAAGCAACAGATGCAGCAGTCTTAAAAATAACCCCACTTTTCCAGACAGTAATTTCAGGAATTTCTGGTGAGGTCTGGAATCCAGAATTTCATTTTTGAATATTCTCCCAGTCTTAAGACTAATGATCCTTACTAATTTGGAGCAATACGAAGAAAGATCCGAATAAATTCTCAGTCAGATAGACTTTTCCATCGTGCTTGAAAATGAGGAACTGTGAATAAGAATGAATTTGAAAAAGAAAATGATAATTTTGGAATTAGCAAATGTGTGGGTTAAAGGGATTCTCATGAAATGTCTTTTAAATAAAGGTGGTGATTCTTATGTATTTTTTTGGCTGTTGATATGGTAACTCTATCTTTCTCCTTGCAGGTATGAGTCCCTGCTGCTGCAAGTGTCTGAGCCTGTGAATCCAGAGTTCAGTGCAGGGCCCATCATTGGACTGATGGACAGGCTCAAGGGATTCAGAGGTGAGTGTCAGCCCATTGGCAAAATTCCCACAATGTATTACTTCTTGTTAGAATCATGGGGGTAATATTTTACCCTTCGTCAAATCTTTATTTCATTTCAGCAGGAAGTGAACCATATGACGATACAACACTTTTATATCTGTGTTTCTGTTTATAGTCCAATTTATAACATGAAGAGTAAAACATAGTGAAAAACAAATATATTCTGGGCTCACATGTATAGAGTTATATATTGGGTAAATGTAATGACATAAGAAATAAAAAATTGAATAAATGGAAAAATGCTCAGAAGGAAGCTTAATAATCCAAGGTTACATAAAAATTTTACATTGCTTTACTGTATTTCATTTGAATTGTTAAAAACATTTCATTGGGGAATAGAGTTCACTGCAGTTTGTTGGAGTATTAGTATTTTCTTACAATAAATATATATTATTGATGTAAAATTTTGACTTAATATATAAAAAGAAAAAATATTTTGTAAATAGGAAGTAAAAATGGAAATGATAATTTCAGTTTAGTTACAACATGAAGAGCTACGTGTAAAATTTAAAGTTCAGTTTCAGTCTAGAGCTAGCAGGGATGTCTGCAGAGTGACTAGTGAAAGATTTTGCAAAAATCTGCCTTAAGTTACCACTTATAATTTGAACATGTGGACTTTTATCCAGTTATCTAGAGCAGTGCTTGAGTAAGCTAAAATCTTCCCATTCTTGCCAAAATTATATCACTAGTATGTAAGAACAAGAAATATTTTAATAATAATTACCTTGATAGCTAAAGGGCATTCAGGGCATATAATATTTCACTTTTACATTGGAGATGGGATTAAAACAGGCTGGTCTTTTATTCGACTCTCAGTTTTTAAGTTTTCAATAAATTTTCAATGTCTGTTTTTAGGGTATTGTTTTTTCCTATAGAGAATATTAATCATCCTTATACTTTCTTAAATGTTGTAATCAAAATTCTCCTGTCCTTGTAACTTCAAATTTCTTGGCAAAGTAAATTCTTGGTAGAACAACTTTTCCCTCAAGAATTCTAATTTCTGTTAATTACATGTATCTATACTTTTTTAAAATTATTTTTGCAGTTTATCTTACTCTGCAGCATGCAAGAGCCAGTAGTCATATCTTCCTGCATGGAGATTTGAGAAGCATGAAGGTTGGATGTGACCCTCAACATGATCCCAATATCACTGATAAATCTGAATGTTTTCTTCAATGGGGGGCTGATTTTTTCATATCTGGCAAATTTTATTGGGAGTTTAACATGGGGCACTCTTGGAATTGGGCTTTTGGTGTCTGTAACAATTATTGGAAAGAGAAGAGACAGAATGACATGATAGATGGAGAGGTGGGACTCTTTCTTCTTGGATGTGTTAAGGAGGACACTCACTGCAGTCTCTTTACCACCTCCCCACTTGTAATGCAATATGTTCCAAGACCTACAGACACAGTAGGATTATTCCTGGATTGTGAAGGTAGGACCGTGAGCTTTGTTGATGTGGATAGAAGTTCCCTGATATACACCATCCCTAATTGCTCCTTCTCACCTCCTCTCTGGCCTATCATTTGCTGTAGTCACTTCTGACCAGAGAAAAGTCAGAAATGTGTCTATATGCTCTGGAAACCTGTTTATCCCCAAAAGCCCTCTTTTTTGCACCTCATCAAATGGGACAAATAAGTTATATTTAATGTCTTTATTTGCATTCTAATGTCATCAAAACTCATTTATAGTGTTTCTATTAAATATGGTGGAAACACTAAAACTGTGTGTATTGGTTCCTTTTTTAATTATTTTTGGAAAATCATTACCCATGATGTATGGCATAGAATATATTCTCTGCTTTTAAATTATTTCTGAACGTCACAAAGTAAAATAATAGATGACAAAGTTGTCTAAATGAAATTAAAATCAATGGAAGAAAGTAGAGATCTTGGGCTTCATGAAAAATCTTGGAGTAAAACGACTCAATGATAACCTGGAAATATTTTCTTTCTCTTCATCTAACAATATTATACTTATCCATGTGTTTTATTTATGAATCTATACTTTGAGGTAATCTTATTTGACCTCCTATGCTGGGCTTATCTTTGTAAATCTCATCTTATATACAAATGCTCATGCATTATTATAGTGCTGTTAATAATGTGCTGTTAATAATAATTATAGTGATGTTAATGATGGAGAACATATATAAATAAAATACAATACATGTGCATGATGAATACTTAAAATGTATTTTAAGTATTTTCCAGATTCTTCCAGAGTGGCCTAGAATAAACTTGGATGGCAGAGTCAATGATGAGATTAGCTGTGGAAATGGGAAACCGTTTTTTGGAGGACAGTAGTAATGCTGTGAACTTGTGAAAACAACCAAGTATTCAGTAGCAACTATAATGTGTCTCCATAACGTTATTTTACAGATGCGCATCTGAAATCTGAAATTTGGGAGAACATACTACTAGTGTTCGCTAGTGAGAAAATACAGCTGGAAGGAAGAAGGGAGGGAAGACGAAGGAGAGAGAAACAGAACGCATTTGAGAGAAAATGCTATTTAGACTAAAATAGAATACTGCAGATAGCACGACAAAGTGGTTAAAGTGTGTCTTATGGAGCAGAAATGGCAAAAAATCCCACAGTAAAGAGATTTACAACTGGATTGTTAGTTCTGGCTTTTATCCTGTTAATGTTGTGGCTTCTAAATACATCAGTGTTCTCCTTTGATCCATGTGCTAATTAATAACCAACACTCTGTCCCCTCTCCCAGATTCTTTCATCATTTTAAACCTAATCTAATTCTAATCCAGCTGTTCACGGTAACAAATGCAATCATCTAAGAATTTAAAAAAGATTTTTGATGAACTAGTGAATATACCTCATTCTCAACAAAAATACTGTTTGAGAGGAAAAGTTGATGGTATTTGCCACCATTTAAGTGCATCCACACATGCAGACATATACATATATATGTATATGTTTATGTATCTGAGTTAATTGCATTAATTAGAGTGGCTACCTGGATTAGGATTAAGCTGGGCTTTGCTGATGAAAGAATTCGGAATGTTGTTTGGTTACCCTGTAATACCTATATGAATATATTAACCCTGTAATGTTACTACTGCCAAAGCTCCCTTAGATGTAATCAAGGATGATTGTATAGGGATGTATATTGTTGCACTCTTTCCAATCATGAAAGAGAGAAAAATAAATATACTGTAATGTGGAAATTGTTTAGAAAATTAGAATGCATTTTACTAAACCCTGTAAAAACCAACACCATCTATATGTGTTAATATATTGATACTAACAGATTTTCCTTTATCTCTTACGTGACTATAATTCCTATTTTTCGCTAGTATTTTTATTATGGACAGACACAGTATTTTATTATGGATGGATATAGAAACAAAAATAATTCCCTCTACAGAGGGTATAAAAATTATATATCATCATATATATTATATATAAAATGTATTTTGTATTATAGGTAAATATTTATATATTTATATTATATATAAAATATATAAAATATATAATATACAAATATTTATATATTTGTATTTTATATAATATATATTATATATAATATAAAAATTATATATATATATATAATATAGGGACTCGATTAGTTTCTGCTAGTGTGAAGACAAGTCATATCATGTCTAGGGGCCATGATGATAGGAGCAGTCAGAGGATTTCTTGCATTGTGATGAGTGCATATATGTTAAACGAGCCACTTATCAGTAGAATTGATAGCAGGATAACGGCTAGGGTTACTTCATATGAAATTGTTTGGGCTACAGTTTGTAATGCGCCAAATAGTGCATAATTTGAATTTAATTGCTCTTCTTGATCATAGAATAGAGTAGACGGCTAGGCTTGATACGGTTAGTAAAAATAGGAGGCCTATATTAAAATTAATTAGAGGATCTGGTATAGGGATGGGGGTTCACAATAGGAGAGCGAAAGAAAGGGCCAGGGTTGGAGCAATAATATAAAGGTTAATAGTAGATGTTGAGGGCCATAGGGGTTCTTTGCTGAAAAGTGTTATTGTGTCAGTGAAAGGTTGAAGCAGTCCCGAAGGGCTTACAATGTTAGGCCCTTTGTGTAGTTGTATGTAGCCTGAGTTTTTGTTGAATGAGTGATTTAAAATCAATACTGATAATAATGATAATTATTACTGAATAGTTATATTAATGATAACAATAAAATTATTAATATTAATTATTAGTAATGACTGATATTAACAATTGATACTGATCTTATTAATTAGAAAACAATAATATTAGGTACCAATAATTAATATTAATATTAATAATATGAAAACTTTTTATTAGCAATTATTTCTCACTATTGATGTTGGTAATTAATATTAATGTTAATCATAAATAAGTAATAATTAATAATAATATTACTCCTAATACCGCAGTGCGTGTACACCCACCTATGATTTTGTTCCTAATGTCCAGGGAGGGAGACAGCATGGTATTACTTTCAATATTGCAGTAGGTGTACACCCACCCGGTGATATTGATCCAAATATCCAGGGGGTAGAGTATGACGTAACTCCCAATATAGCAGTGGGTGTACATCCACCCGGTGATATTGCTCCTAATATTCGCGGAAGAAGAGAATGATATTACTCCCAGTATCGCAGGGAGTGTACACCCGTTCTGTGATATTGTTCCTAATATCCGGAGGGGGAGAGGGTGATATTACTCCCAATGTCGCAGGCTATGTACACCCACCCTGTGATATTGTTGCTAATAATATCCAGGAAGGGAGAGGATGATATGATTCCCCATACAGCAGCAGCTGAACACCCACTCTGGGATATTATTCCTAATATCCATGGAAGGTAGAGGCTGATATTACTCCCAAAATCGCAGGGGGTGTACATCCATCCTGTGATACTGTTTTTAATATTCAAAGGCGGAGAAGTTGATATTACTCCCAATATCACAGAAAGTGTACAAACCCGTGTGATATTATTTCTACTTCCAGAAGAAGAGAAGATGATATTACTCCCCATATCGCAGGAGGTGTACGCCCACTCTGTGATATTTTTCCTAATATGCAGGGCGTGAGAGGATAATATTATTGTTAATAGTGCAGGATGTGTACAGCCCCCCTGTGATATTGTCCTTAATATTCCAAGGCGAAGAGGATATTACTGCCAATATCGCAGAAAGTGTACACCACCCCAGTGATATTGTTCCCATGATCCAGGAGAGAAGAGGATGGTATTACTTTCAGTATCGCATGGGGTGGACACGCCCCCAGTGACACTGTTTTGAATTTCAACGTGGGAGAGGATGGTATTACTCCCAATATCACAGGGGGTATAAACACTTCTTTGATATTGTTCCTAATATTCAGGGGTGGAGAGGATGTTATCACTCCCTATATTGCAGAGGGTTTACACCAATCTGTGATATTATTCATAATTTCTAGAGGGGGGGATGATATTACTCACAATATCGTAAACACGCTGTGTGTCCACCGTGGGTCATGATATCCAGGGATGGAGAGGAGGGTGATATTACTCCCCATATCGCAGGGGGTGTCCACCCCGCCTGTCACACTGTTTCTTATATGCAAGGGGAAGAGGATGATATTACTACCAATATCAAAGACGTGTACAGCCCCCCTTGTGATATTGTTCCTAATATCCACGTTGGGAGAGGATGATATTACTCCCAATATCACAGAGGGTGTACACCCCGCCTGTGATATTATTCCTACTATCCAGAATAAGAGAGAATGATATTACTCGCAATAGTGCCGGGGTGTACACCCCCCTTGTGATATTGTTCCTAATATCCAGGGAGGGAGAGCATGATATTAATAACTCCCAATATCGCTATGGGTGTACACCCACCCTGTGATATTGCTCCTAATATCCAGGGGGTAGAGTATGACATTACTCCTAATGTAACAGTGGATGTACATCCACCCAGGGATATTGCTCCTAATAATCATGGAAGGAGAAAATGATATTACTCCCAATATCACAGGGAGTGTACGCCCCTTCTGTGATATTGCTCCTAATATCCGGAGGGCGAGAGGATGATATTACAGCAATATCACAGGCTGTGTACACCCACCCTGTGATATTGTCCCTAATATCCAGGAAAAGAGAGGATACGACTCCCCATATAGCAGGAGGTGTAAACCCACCCTGAGATATTGTTCCTAATATCCATGGAGGGAAAGAGCCCTATATTACTCCCAAAATCTCAGGGGCTGTACATCCCCCATGTGATATTTCTCTTAATATTCAATGGCGGAGAGGATGACATTACTCTCAATCTCGAAGAAAGTGTACACTCCCGAGTGATATTGTTCCTAATATCCAGAAGAGGAGAAGATGATATTACTACTCATATTGCAGAAGGTGTACACCCACTCTGTGATATTTTTCCTAATATGCAGGTTGGGGAGAGGATAATATTGCCAATATCGCAGAGAATGTACACCCGCCCTGTGACATCGCCCTTAATATTCAAAGGCGGAGAGGATGACATTACTCCCAATATTGCAGAAAGCGTACGCTTCCCATTGACATTGGTCCCATGATCCAGGAGAAAAGAGGATGATATTACTTTCAATATCACAGGGTGTGTACACGCCCCCAGTGATATTGTTCCTAATTTCAACGTGGGAGAGGATGATACTACACCCAAGAGCGTGTACACCTTGTGAAATTATTCGTTATCGTTTTGTGGGATGTTACTCCTAATGTCACACGGGGTGTACACACAGTGTAATATTCTATGGAAATCTTACTCGTAAATCACAGGTCCTGTACACCCTTTAATATCCTTTGTAATATTGTAGGAAAACGTTACTCTGAATGTCACAGGGCATATACACCCTGTCACAAAATTCATAATATCCTAGCGGGAGTTCACTACTAATTTCACAATGCATGTACGCCCTTTGATATTATTCGTATTATCCGAAAGAGATATTACTACTGATGTCCCAATGCATGTACATTCTCTGATATTATACGTTATATCCTCGGGGATGTCACTTTTAATGTCACACGGGGTGTACTCCCTGTGTTATTTGTCATAATATCCTAGGGGAATTTTACTTTTAATGACACACGGGGTGTACACATTGTGATACTATTCGTAGTATTCTAGAAAGATATTACTGCTCAGGTCACAGGGGATGTACACCCTGTGATATTATTCGTACTATCCTAGGGGACGTTACTCCAAATGTCACAGAAGGTGTAAACGCTGTGATATTACTGGAAATGTGTCAGGGAAAGGTACTCGTAATGTCTACGGGCATGTACATCATGTGTGCACAGCCCCTGTGATGTTCTTTGTGATATTCTCGAGGGATGTTAATCCTAATATTACATATGCTGTTAACTATGTGTGAACACCTTTGTGGTATTATTCCTAACATACTAGAAGGATGTAACTCCTAACATCACATGGGGTATACGCCATGTATGTACACACTCTGTGATATTATTCATAACATCTTAGGGAGATGCTCATAATTTTACAATTATTCACGCAATACTTTAGCGGGATGATACTCCTAAAGTCACAGGATGTGTAAACCCTGTGATATTATTCAGAATATTCCAGGGGGATGTTACTCCTAATGTCACAGGTGTGTATACCCTGCGATATTATTCACACTTTACTAGTGCGATATTACTACTAATGTCACAATATGTGTACACCTTCTGATATTATTCATAACATCCTGGGAGGATGTTACTCCTAACGTCACAAGGGTGTACACACTGTGTTATTATTAGTAATATTCCTGGGGGATTTTAATTTTAAAATACATGGGGTGTCAACCCTGTGATCTCATTCGTAATATCCAAGAAAGATGTTACTCCTAATGTCACATGGGGTCTACAGCCTGGGATATTATTTGGAATATCCTAAAGGGATGTTATCTTAATGTCAGAGGGTGTGTACACCTATTGATACTATTTGTAATATCCTAAGGAAATATTACTTTAAAAATCACAGTGGGTGTACATCATGTGTGTACACCCTGTGATATTATTCACAATATCCCAGGGAGGTATAACTTTTAATATCACAGCAGATGTTCTCTATGTGTGTACACCCTGTGATACTGTTCATAATAGGCTATTCAGCAAGGCGCCCACGCCCACCTTCCAGCCCCAGAGGCCGGCGCGGAAGGGCAGCACCAAGGACAGTGGCCACCTGCGGACACCGGCCACCTGCGGACACCCAAGTGGCCTTACAAGGTGGCCAAGGAGGAGAAACCGGAGGCGGAGGAGGCCGAGAAGAAGCGCCAGGCCAAGGTGCAGGAAAAGCGCCTGCCGCCCTGGAAGAAGAGGAAGTGAGAATCCGCAGGTGCTTGACACGGAGTTAGAGGGCAGGGTGAGGCCGCGGGGCTGAGCACCATGGCCGCTACCGGGACCACCAGGCCGCGCGCGTTTCCACGCTGTCTTTCTAGAATGCTCCCAGGAAGGGGCTGGGGGAGCCACATCGATTCGCCTGACACCAGCCACCCTAGCAATCAGTACACCTAGCGGGCATGTTGCCTAAAAGGCTCCCTTTAGAGAACCTCAATTAAGATGTTTTTAAAGATCAATTTATTAGGCCGGGTGCGGTGGCTCACGCCTGTAATCCCAGCACTTTGGGAGGCCGAGGCGGGCGGATCACCTGAGGTTGGGAGTCTGAGAGTACCTTACCAACATGGAGAAACCCCGTCTCTACAAAAAATACAAAATTAGCCGAGCGCGGTGTCACATGCCTGTAATCCCATCTACTCAGGAGGCTGAGGCAGCAGAATCGCTTGAACCCAGGAGGCAGAGGTGGCAGGGAGCCAAGATTGCGCCATTGCACTCCGGCCTGGGCAACAAGAGCCAAACTCTGTCTCAATCAACAAAACCTCAATTTATTAAAGGGTATTTTCTGTGTGATTTTGTATTTTTAATTGTTATCCAGTTTGCCAGGTTTTACAAGTGATAGGGCCCCTTGTATCCAAGGCAGTTTTAATACACTTGCCTGAAGACCTTTTATTTAAAATACTGTTTTTAGCAATAAATATGTATGATATCTGTAGGAGTTTACACAGAAATCATGGGATTCTCTCCTTTTTGGCTGTTTGTTTTGGTCTTTTCTTCTCATTGTGGGTGCACATGGACACTGGAGGTTTCTATTAATTTGATTAAGTGATGCCGGATATTTCTATTTGACGGAGGGATTGACTCATTCAGCCACATGATCAAGTGAGAAAGAGATATCATATTTTATTGTATCTTTTTAAAAAGTATTATCCATACAGTCATATATTGGGGAAAAACATTTATCATCAAATTATAAAACAATGCAGACATAAACATGTATGTATTGCTAGAATTAAACTCTTTTTAATCAAGGAGTTTTAGATAAACTGGATAGAAAATCTTTAACATATTAAAATAGATATCAGGGAAAAGTGTCATTTGATAAAATGGGGGAAATGTAATAGATGATTACCAGAAATACAAAATTAAGCCGTATATGCTCTTAAGTAAATCGAATCCAGACTTCCTTGATATGTAAAAAAAGGATGCAACAAGAGTAAGATGCAAATTAAAGGAATAAGGGGGAGGTGATGTTTAGAACAAGCAAAGAGAATGCAATGGGAAGCAAACTTATTTTAGGCAAATTCTCCTGGAGTGCACCAGACAGCCCTCTCTTCCAGACTCAGTTCCAAATAGTCCCTTACGTAGGTATTTCTTTTATTTTTCCTTTGAGGACTGCACTTGGTGTTTAGTTCAACCGCATGCGGACCTCATGGAATTTCCAAGACGTGGGGCCTTGGCATTGTGGCACCTTCCTGCCACATGCACATAATTCACAGCATTACCAAGTCACCACGAGCTCCACGCTCACCTCTGTCAGCCCAGGACCCAGCCAGGCAGTGTCACATGGTCTCCCAGGCATGACTTTCCAAGCCGGCTATCCCTGCTGCGAAAGTTGTGAAGGCACTGGTCCTGGGAGCTGAGCCCTGAGCCTGTCCTAAAGTTCCATAGGTGACTGCACTGCATCCCACATGGAGAGCTGCAGCTCTAACAGAGGGATTTTGAGAGGCCTCAGTCGCCTTTAAGTGGCACTTCCAGGACACCCATCTTGAGCTCTCACAAATGGCTCCACCTTCCCAAGAATGTCTAATTGTCATTGGAACAGCCAGTGTCTGGCAGCTTCGCTTGGGCTGATGTGGTTTCTGACCCTTGGTGGGTAGCCAGACATTCCTTCCTGTTTCCGCCATGGGAAGTTGACACTGGGAATGGTATGGAGCCCCCACTTCTACCCTAAGCTTTGGGTGTCTGCTGCTTCCAGGTCAAAAATGGACATGTCTAGTCCTGACCGGCCACTACCACACTGTAACCAGATGCTCATAGTCTCCAGGGGTGTGTCGAACAGCAATGGCAGGACAGCAAACAACTGGCTATTTCCCCAGGTCCCAGGCTGTTCCAGAGTGGGCTTGTTGGGTCCCTGTTCCCAATGTGTTCCATCCTTACCCAGGTGCACAGGGTACCCTGGCGCCAGCACAGGTCTTGTCAAGTAATGCTCCTGGTGTCCACAAAACAGCTCCAGAGATACTTGCATTTTGAAAAGCCTGCCAAGCCAACAAGTATGGGGCAGGACCCAGATTGCTTTGGCAAATCTGAAGGTGAGATGGCCACTTGCCTGGTGAGTAGAAGCTGCCTTTACCTGGCCAGTGTATGCAACTTGAGAGAAAATCACAACTTCATGGAGGGGTTCTGTTGGGACTGGGAAGCCTGACCTCCCCAAGAGCTTTGGTATGGCCCCAGTGGAAAGACTGGATTTTGAAAACCCACCAGACCCAACTGAAAGAAGGGTCATCCCTGATGGGATCCCAGACTCTCCCTGGTCTCTCTGGACTCACTCTAGACGTGGCTTGCCTGTGGACAGCCCTTCCCTTTGGCCCATGAGGTAGGTCCAGGTAGCTTCTGCAGCTGTGTGCCTGGCTACTGGCCAGGCACTTCTCATTTTTGCCATGTGGAAGCAGATATGCTAGTAGAGGAATTTTCCAAGTCAAAGGAAGTGTCACCAAGCCTCTTTCCTCGATCTATGGCAAGCCCATGCTCTTGGTTTCTTATTAGCTTTGGAGTGGGAAGTAGAGGGGACAAGCAGACCTCCAGCCAGGCTCAGGGAGTGTGGGAGGGCAGGAATAAAAGTCTAGATGATGGGAAACTGGAGCCACCTTGAGGGGGGTGTCCTCGGGTCAGTGTCGGGGTGATCAGATGAGCCAGTTTATATTTAAGCAACATTATTATGTTCAATTATTTTGGCTAAGGGATTCCTCAGGGGAGGTGTGGTCATCTGGTCCCAGAGGTGGCGTGAAATGCCCACTCATCTTCCTGAGCCATTTGGAAGCCCTTTCTTCTAGCCCTAGGTAATGGTGACACAGGCTCCTCGGTCTCAGGAGGTGCACAGGGCTGGGGGGGTGCAGGCTTCTTGTCACTTACCCACTCAGCACTATTGGGCATCGGGCATTCAGAGGTCTCACAGTGGCCTGTCTAAAAACCTGGTGTCCTAGGAGAACATTTATTATTTTTGTCTATTTTTGTTTCTTTGAACTGCTGCATTCACTGACAGAGGGCTCGCCCTCCGTGCACCCCTCCTGTTGTTCAGGAAGGAGGGGACTGATGAGCATGGACAACCTTCTCCCCTTCTGTCAGTTGCCACCACACCATCCCCTCTGGCTTTATCACCACGTTCTCCCACCCCTGTAGCCTCATCTCTTCTTCCTCATTCACCCTTCCTTCCTTTGCCTGTTTTCCTCTCCCAGTTGCTTATGTTCTTTATCATCCTTGGCACCACCTACCCTGAGGTCTACCAAGGACAGAAAAGCAGAGACCTCTGTGAGGCAATGTGGTGTTATCATGGTGGGACCTCCAGGCCCCGTGAGTGAGTGAACAGCTGGCCTGCCAGCATCTGTGCTGATGGCTAAGAATTCCTACACCGCCGTGCCCCTCCCACCTCCTCCTCTTTGCTCAGAAGGGAGACCAGGTTTGCTCTCTTGCAATGACAGCCCAGCCCCTGCTGTGCACAAGGATGGGGCTCAGGGTCCCTCCCTGCACCCTGATGTTAATTAACTGTAGATAGCGAATTTCAAGTGACAGCTACCTTCTCAGGGATTTATATATAAATATAGTTAAAGGAAAAGCTAAAGTCTATTTTATTACTTTTTAGTGTTTGTGAAAATTAAGCTTAAACTGCACAGAATAAATATTTCTCAGACAATGTCGATGCTACTGATTACAAGTGAGATGGGTGGAGCTCGTCCCTTGGTGTAGAATTTTTTCCTTGATTGGAGATTGGGGACTCTGGCAGCAGAAATGGCTTTGCGGTGGGTGTGAAGTCACTTCTGTCCCTCGGAGGGCCTCTTGTGGATGTGAAAGCATATATTAACACCAGTGAAATCCACCTCCATGTGCATGGAGGCGACTGATGAGAACACAAATGAGCCATTCCTGGCAATTCCCTGCAGAATCGGTCACTCCTGGTCTGACATTGGAGCATGTGAATTAAGAGTGACAATTTTTTCTACTTGCTTCTGTGAATAAAGTATTCTACAGTCAGCCAGCACTAAACTCACTAGAAAGGAGGAGGGAAGAGTGTGGAGCCAATCATCTAGAATTACCTCAGTGTGCAGAGGCTGTCCCCTGGCTGCTCTTGGGAAAAGCAGAGTGAAACATCCTGTGCCTCTTTCTTCTGGAGCTCCTCCTGACAGTCTCCTGGCAACACTAGAGACCTCAAGACTATGGAGATCAGAATTTCATTAGCTTTGTCATCTCAGCATTGGCCACTTCTGAGACCTGAGGCTCCTCCTGGGAGCAGGAGACAGGGAGTTCATGATGTTCATTAGAAAATAGGATTTATGAATGCAGGAGGGCCGTGCTGGACTCCTCTGCCTTCTTCTCTCCCTGCTGTCAGCAGTGACCAGGTCTCCGGTGTGGAGGCGGGTCTGTTGTGGGTGAAACAGAAGCCCCTGGGGTAAGGCCAGACCCCAGGCCTGAAAAGGATGCAAAGCCTGCTGTTTCAGGCTGTCAGGAAGAATCGTGGGTACAAAGTGAACATGATGAAATGCATCCCAGAGAGGAAATGAATGTGCCCTCACTAAGAAGTGGGTCTGGCTGCCAGGTCTCTGGCAGCCCACCAGCAAGAGGACTACATCCCCTGCAGCCCTGCCATCCACACTACATGATGTGGAGTGGCTGTCTCTTCACTCTTGCCCTGGGAACCAAGCCTGCTTTGAGGAGTGTGTCACAGCCCTGATGTGTACCTTGCATTACTCTTTCCCCAGGTGTGCCCGGAGACTCAAGCTTGCTCATTTCTGTCCTGACACATCTCGCTGGTCCTGCGGTGGTCAGAGTCCTCCTGTTCTGTGTCAGCTCCTAGACATCATTAGTCTGTCACGTGATACAGTATGAGCACTTTTCTCTTTTACAGTATTTGGGGAAATTCTAACACACTCCCCAGGGATTTGCGCAGGTCCCTCTGTCTCCCATGGTGGGTAATTCTATGGATTCTGCACCTGGCAGTCAGCACTCCCCCTTGGAAGGCCCTGGGGTCCCTTTTTCTGTGGGCCTGGTCCTTGATTTCTACCCCTGTACCTTTTAGCTGGGACCTGCCTAGAACTGCCTGGAGGGCCATGGTCTAGGGAAGGACAGGTGGAACCCTGACCACAACAGATCCTTCTAAAACAACAAAGTCACCTTGATGACGACGACTGCAGTGGGGTGAATGCCATCGCAGCGGGCATGCTGGGAGCTACCAAGGGCTTACCGCAAAAGCAGTTCTTCCCAAGGCACTCTTTGCATCTTCCCCTCCTCACCTCTCAGTACATTTGGAACTTGCTTATGCGTTGGAATGACTTAAATCAACTGCTCATTTCAGTGCCCCTGCACTCACATGTTCCTTCATTAACATTTTAAATAAGTGGCTAAAAAAACTCCTCTGGAGGTTGTTTTTGAAAGCAAGGAAAAGAAAAACACACACTACCTGAAATGATTTTACTAATTTTTGAGTGACTTAGTTGAAAGTCAGTGTTGCGTACACAATTTCCTCATGTTGAGCCAGCTTGAAATAAGACTTGATAAAAGGCACGGCCCTCACTGGCAGGCGGTGCCACTGTGGACAGAGTACACTGTGGTGTGAGGGTATGCACAGGTGATTGTAATTGTGTTTACTCATACACAAGGATAAACTGAAAGGACACCGGGCTTCATGCTGGCAAATGTTACAATGCTGCTGTAGCTTGTTGTGGGCCCTGGGCAGTGTCAGATGAGAAATGCTTTGATGGCATGTTGTTCAATGTTTATAATGGAGACTCCCATGGCCCAAGGACCCACTATGAGCACACCGCCCACTGTGGTGGAGAACACGGCTGGAGTCATCACAGCCCAGGTCTTAATTGAAAGGCAGTGTTGACCCAGAAGGCTTGTGTAGAACCCATTTGGCCAGGTCTGGACCATCTCTCTCCATCTGACCTGCCTTGGCTGCACAGAGGGACCCAGACCCAAAAGGCCCAGACTCAAGAGGAAACTGAATGATGTAACCAGCTTTCATTTATTTTTTCCATATGATCATAAGAACTGTATTACTATGTATGCTTATTAGTGTTATTTACAGTCTGTTACCTTTTATTAGATAGAATATCAATAAAGAACAAAAAATTGCCTGTAGTAAAACCATGCCTGAGGCCAAAAGTGCTGGCTCATGCCTGTAATCCCCGCACTTTGGGAGGCCACGAGGGGCAGATCACCTGAGGTCAGGAGTTCAAGACCAGCCTGGACAACATGGCGAAACCCCAGCTCTAAAAAATACAAAAAAAAAAAATTAGCTGGGCATGATGGTGGGTGCCTGTGATTCCAGCTACTTGGGTGGCTGAGACAGAAGAATGGCTTGAACCTGGGAGGTGGAGGTTGCAGTGAGCCGAGATTGCACCATTGCCCTCCAGCGTTGATGAAACAGAGAGAGAAGGAGGGAGAGAGAGAGAGGGAGGAGAGACGGTGGGGGGAGAGAGAGAGAGAGAAATAAAGAAAGAAAGAAGAAAGAGAGAAAGAAGAAAGAAAGAAAGAAAGAAAGAAAGAAAGAAAGAAAGAAAGATAGAAAGAAAGAAAGAAAGAAAGAAGAAAGAAAGAAAGAAGAAAGAAAGAAAGAAGAAAGAAAGAAAGAAGAAAGAAAGAAAGCCAGCCATGCCTGAAGGGCACTGTGTGGTCATCACTTCAGCAGGTTGACACTCACCTGGAGGTCATGAAATCTGTCCATTAGTCCAGTGATGGGTTGAGCACAGAGATCCGAGCTCACACACTGGGGCATGTGCCGCTGCTCTGACTCACACCTTTAAAGAGGAAAATACAATTGAGCTTTCTAATACCAAATATATCATCACAGGATTGAAAAACAAATAATCATTCAAGGGAAATTCGTCTTTAAAACCCTTTCCTGATGTAGCAGTCCCAAATCATAGGGATTACAAACTTGAGCCATTGAGCCTAGACTGACTGATGTATCCTACCAATAAGCTATGTACATAAACTCATGTCTTCCCACTTCTCAGAACCATGAAATCAATCATTCCTCTCTTTCTTTCATTTATTTTTATTGTTTCTTAACAATACTAGAAGCCAAATTCATTCTTTTCTTAAACCTCTTTTATTCATTATATGACTTCCTAAAACACCCGAAAAAAGGTTATTATTCATCATTTCTTCAATATACACCCTTTGATATCAGGCAACCTACATGAGAGTCATTGGAATTTATGGTGATTCACAGATAATTTTAGCAGTATTAAGTTTTTAAATTAATCTTTAGTACCAAACCTCCCGACTCCATAGCCTGACCACTCTCTCTGGGCAGAAATCAATGCTGCATTGTACCCTCAGGATTGGAAGCCATGAGAGAAAACGTTCCTCAAATCCTAACCAAGATGATTTCCACTCAAGTGGTAAGTGGATACATTTGTAGCATGTCTGTCTGAGGCTGAATCTGAGGGAAAAGGCCTAATACTTACAATCCACTGGTTGGTTTTCCTGCTCTCCTCATTTAACTTTCTTTGGTTTTCTTGAATTTTTGCCCCAAAAGAACTCGTTTGCTTCATTATCATCTCCTATAAAAGAACTATGAATTTGAACATCAGAGAAACAAATCGCTTTGGGGGTCAGACCCCCATTGATAAAGAAATCAAAGGATGAGATATGAAAGAGATTTGGGAAGATCTCAGACTGTAGAACCACAACATGGAACGCAACCAGTTTAATAGGAAAATCATAAGCAGGGCTAATTTACAGATAATGTGGCATCTTGCATCAGAATTGGAATCTACTGACACCATGCCTTGCTAATTCTAGCATATTTTATTCTATTATTTCCAGTGTTGGTAAATAGGTTTCTTATATAGAAGGCTTTTGAACTTGTAGTTTAGATAGCCAGAAACTCTTTCTGATATTGAGCTCTTTACAGTGCCTTGAATATTAAACTAAATAGTCAAATTATTATAATGATTATTAACTTCATCACTCCCTCAGTGAAATGCAAGTTCCAGGAAGGAAGGTATTCTCACAGATTCCATTTAAATTTCTATCATTGATACCTAGGCATTACATGACATCCAATACAGAACAGAATAATCCTCATGCTCTTCATCTTACCCCTAATCTCTTTACTTGTGCCATCCTCCAGCTTTCAAAGTGCTTTCAGAGTCATCACTTACCCAGTGTTCCTTAGTTGCCCCTCACAGTGTCTGGGAGCCCCGTGCTCCTGAGTGTTCCAGAATAGCAAATGAAGCAGGCTCTTATCCACAGCTCCAAATATCTTTTTTTCTCCCTGTAGATCCCACACATTTATTCATTAGAGCTCAGGAATTGCCAGAGACTGGCTTTTCTGGCAATGCACACTGGATTCTTCAGAAGAATATTGGTTTTGATGTCCTCCTGCTGTGACAGTTCCCCGCATGTGGGCAGCAGGTAGGAATTTTGGCTTCTTCCCAGAAAAGGCAGAGACAGGGCCTACAGAAGCTGGGGCCACAGCCTGTGATGATGGGGTCTACGAGTTAGTTCAGACAGAAGAGGCAGATGGGTTCTTTCTGTTAGGCTTGTGTGATGTCTGAGACCATTTTCCTGAAGGAAGGAAATTAGGAAAGGTATGATTAAAACTTCATCTTATGCCTTGGAGAAACAAAGGCCAAAGCAAAATTTGACTCAGGTTGTGACTCAGCGATAAACTTCTGTCTAGAGTAGAACAGGCTTTATTTTGTATAAGACAAAAACCGAACCTGAGGCACAAAGAGAGCTCTTGGATCTATAGGTAAAATTGTTGGGTTCATGCACAACTCATAGGGCACTACATCCTCATCCTACCATTTTGTTTTGCATAGAAAAATGAAACTCAGAGAGGCCAGGTGTGATGGCTCACACCTGTAATGCCAGGAGTGGTGGCACATACCTGTAATCCCAGAAACTTAGGAGACTGGGCAGGAGAATTGCTTGAACCCTGAAGTTGCAGTCAGCTGAGACTGAGCCATGCTCTTCAGCTTGGGCAATAAAGCAAGAAGAAAGAAAGAAAGAATGAGAGAATGAGAGAGAGAAAGAGAAAGAGAGAGAAAAAAGGAAGAAAGAAAGAAAGAAAAGAGTAGAAAAGAAAGAGTAGAAAAGAAAAGAAAGGAAAAGAAAAGAAAAGAAAAGAAAAATCTCAGTTTTGTTGAGTTTTGACTTTACTCCAAAAAACTTCAGGTTT
This sequence comes from Homo sapiens, assembly GCF_000001405.40. Taxonomy (NCBI): domain Eukaryota; kingdom Metazoa; phylum Chordata; class Mammalia; order Primates; family Hominidae; genus Homo; species Homo sapiens. The sequence goes on along the minus strand of NC_000011.10, from coordinate 48,959,307 downwards.
AAGAGTATGAAATTAGGTCCAATTTATACCATTAGATAATGGGTCCTGAATACTCTGAAAATCATTCTTAATGCTCATTGTGACTGGATTAGAAAAGATTGATTCAGTACAAAAGAAAAAAAGTGATTGGTTTAGGAAATGGTATTTAACTGCAATTTTACTGTCATTGTTTCATTCAGATGTCATAATTTTCTCCTTTAAAGTATTTGAAAAAATCTCCATCACAATCCACCACTGCAAAATGATTTCTAAATAACCATTATTTATTTACTGAACATTGTGAGATTTGATGAGATTTCACCCAGAAATGCTGAAGAGGCATTTAGTATACTCTAAAACAATATTGTCCTCAAATTATTCAACACATCTCTTAAGTTGTACATTATGGCACATTCTGTCTTGTGCATAGATTTACGTGCCAACTTTAGAACAGAGGGTATTACATTTATGTACAACATATAAAATAAAATATTCTCAATAAAATTTAGGATATACAACAAGTATGGAATTGCAAGATATCTGAAAACTATTTTCTGTGTTCTTAGAATACACAGGAAGAACTAAGGAATACATAAATGATACAAGTAAAATTAATCTTCACTGTATTTCACAAGTTTGTAGGAAGACAGGATGACAAAATAAGAGTAAAAACGTTTTTACTAAGTAAGCAAATGACATCACTTATAGAAACAAGCTCAGTTTGTTGGAAAATTAAACACAGGGCAGTCTGTTTTGGGTTGGAAAAGTAGCAGGAACTCCTCCTCTGTTAGTTGTGTTCTCACCCTAGAAATATACTTATGGTCTCACTGAAACTTGCTGTAGAAGTAATACTTTAAAGTCTGATCAGGGATCAGGGCCTCACCATATAGTGGTAGTAGCTTTCAGACATCTTCACAGCCAGTTGCAAAGCCACTCTGTGTGTCCCAGAAAAGAATGAGCTTGGCTACTTGTACCTCTTTACATTGAATCTCTGAAAAATCACACCCATTTCAAACAGGTTGTACATTCCTTAGAGTTTGGGATAGCCATTAGGGTTCTTGATTAGGTTTCACCAGAAGAGAGGAAATGATTGATTCAACACCTTGACTAATCTCCATAAACAAACTTTAAACTTCCTCTTACCAAGAACCACTGAGTTTACAACAAATGAACCCTCAAATACCAAATTTGTAGATAATTTTGGAGTCCGTTAATATTTTACTCATCAAAAGATGAGAAAGGATACCATCAATTTATGATTTTAATAAATATCTTCAAAAATCTGGAATAGTTTTCCTCGTTTTTCTTTTTTTTTTTTCTTATGTTTTTGGAAATGTTTTGCCTGAAGTTGGCTTTAATTCTAATAGTCACTGAACTAGACTGGAAATGCACTTTGCTGTTGCTTTTGAAGCTTGATTTCAGGTTTTAATGTATTACTGTCAATTTATATATATATAATATATTTTATATATTATATATTTTTATACACATATAATATATAATATATGTATTTCATATATATTATATATAATAATACATATTTTATTTATATTATGTATATATACTCACACACACATATATATATTCTGGTTCTGTAGCCTAGGCTGGAGTGCGGTGGTGCAATCACAGCTCACAGCAGGCTTAAACTGCTAGGCTCAAGTGATTCTTCTGCCTCATTTTCTCACAGAGCCGAAATTACAGACGTGAGCCACTGCACCAAGCCTATTAATTTATGTTGTTGATAAAAGCATAAGAATTATCTTTATTGTAAATTAAGAAACAGAATATCTTTAAGGAAATATTATATCTTTTAGGAAAAATAAAATCTTCAGTAGTTATAGACTCCTGTGAAAACCGTCGTTACCAATAGCAATTTTGTGTATGTCTATATAACACATACATATGTAAATATATATAATATATACATGAATTTTTTCACATTTGGCAGTCATTTAAGAAATTCTTTTACCATATAAATTCTAATTTATATTGGTAAAAGTGAAATAAGTAAAATTTGCTGTTTAGTGAAAACTTTGTTTAGCAAGTGAAATGAAGCTGCAGAAAGTGTGAATTGGATAATAGATATAAAGCTATGTCATGAAGGCTTCACAGATGGACAAATAGAGGTAAACTAGGAGAGTGATAGTGACATTAGGAGGATGAGAGTATCATGTATGTTCTTTATAAACAGCATAATGTGTGATTGACTGTAGCACACAGTAGAGCTAAGTAGAGAAGAGGACAGTACATATTCAAGGGTATAATGTTTGATAATTTTTTCAGAGTAAGCAAATGAATTGAATTCAGGAAGCCAAACAATCCCCATTTTGGATGTATAAAACATAAATTTACTTTGTTTTGAATGTGTAAAACAATGTATTTTGGCTGATTTTTAGTATTTCTCTGTCTTTGTTGGCTGATTCATTATAATGTGTTTAAGCTTGAAACCACCACCAAAGATGAAGAATCTCTTAAAAGCAGCCAGAATAAACTGTTTCATTTTGAGGGAACACTTAATAGAATGACAACAGACTGCTCCATAATCATAAATGTAAGTATAAGACAGTGGGCTAATATTTGTAAAGTGTCAAAAAATGTGACTGGCAATACAGAGATGAATATGGATTGGAAATACCTTTTACATAAGAGGATAAAAGGAAGATCTTGTCACATAAGTGTAAAAAAAAAATAAAGGGGCTTTATACCCTACTAAGGGCTTCTAGAACAGTACCCATGAGATCTACTTGAAAGATAATTCCCTCTCCCTCTCCCTCTCCCTCTCCCTCTCCCTCTCCCTCTACCTCTCCCCTTTCCACGGCCTCCCTCTGATGCCGAGCCGAGGCTGGACTGTACTGCCGCCATCTTGGCTCACTGCAACCTCCCTGCCTGATTCTCCTGCCTCAGCCTGCCCAGTGCCTGGGATTGCAGGCACGCGCCACCATGCCTGACTGGTTTTTGTATTTTTTGGTGGAGACGAGGTTTCGCCGTGTTGGCCTGGCTGGTCTCCAGCTCCTGACTGCGAGTGATCTGCCCGCCTGGGCCTCTCGAGGTGCCGGGATTGCCAGCGGAGTCTCTCTCACTCAGTGCTCAATCTTGCCCAGGCTGGAGTGCAGTGGCGTGATCTTGGCTCGCTACAACCTCCACCTCCCAGCCGCCTGCCTTGGCCTCCCAAAGTGCTGAGATTGCAGCCTCTGCCTGGCTGCCACCCCATCTGGGAAGTGAGGAGCGTCCCTGCCTGGCTGCCCATCGTCTGGGATGTGAGGAGCCCCTCTGCCCGGCCGCCCAGTCTGGGAAGTGAGGAGTGCCTCTTCTTGGCCGCCATCCCATCTAGGAAGTGAGGAGCTTCTCTGCCCGGCTGCCCATCATCTGAGATGTGGGGAACGCCTCTGCCCCGCCACCCCGTCTGGGATGTGAGGAGCGCCTCTGCCCAGCCGCGACCCTGTCTGGGATCTGAGGAGCGTCTCTGCCCCACTGCCACCCCGTCTGGGAGGTGAGGAGCATCTCTGCCCCGCCGCCCTGTCTGAGAAGTGAGGAGCCCCTCCGCCCAGCAGATGCCCCATCTGGGTAGTGAGGAGCCCCTCCACCCGGCAGCCACCCAGTCTGGGAAGTGAGGAGCCCCTCCGCCCGGCAGCTGCCCCATCTGAGAAGTGAGGAGCCCCTACGCCCGGCAGCTGCCCCTTCTGGGAAGTGAGGAGACCCTCTGCCCAGCACCCGCCCCTTCCGGGAAGTGGGGGGCAGCCCCCGCCCGGCCAGCCACCCCATCCGGGAGGGAGGTGGGGGGCAGCCCCCGTCCGGCCAGCCGCCCAGTTCGGGAGGTGGGGGGCAGCCCCTGCCCGGCAGCCACCCCGTCTGGGAGGTGGGGGGTGCCCCCACCCGGCCACCGCCCCGTCTGGGAGGTGGGGGGCACCTCTGCCTGGCCACCCCATCTGGGATGTAAGGAGCCCCTCTGTCTGGCTGCCACCCCATCTGGGAGATGTACCCAACAGCTCATTGAGAACGGGCCATGATGACGATGGCGGTTTTGTCAAATAGAAAAGGAGGAAATGTGGGGAAAAGAAAGAGAGATCAGATTGTTACTGTGTCTGTGTAGAAAGAAGTGGACATAGGAGACTCCATTTTGTTCTGTACTAGGAAAAATTCTTCTGCCTTGGGATGCTGTTAATCTATAGCCTTATCCCCAACCCTGTGCTCTCTGAAACATGTGCTGTGTCCACTCAGGGTTAAATGGATTAAGGGCGGTGCAAGATGCGCTTTGTTAAACAGATGCTTGAAGGCAGCATGCTCCTAAAGAGTCATCACCACTCCCTAATCTCAAGTACCCAGGGACACAAACACTGCAGAAGTCCTCTGCCTAGGAAAACCAGAGACCCTTGCTCACATGTTTATCTGCTGACCTTCCCTCCACTATTGTCCTATGACCCTGCCAAATCCCCCTCTCTGAGAAACACCCAAGAATGATCAATGAATACAAAAAAAAAAAAAAAAAAAGATAATTCCAACACCTCTGCCACATTTGACTCTGGCTTTATTAATTGCTTTTTCTCTTAACACTGTTTCCTTTATGTATCTTTTCTGTTTTTGTATATGTCTGGTAAGTTTTACTCAAAAAGTGAACTATGTAGAGTAGACTAATATAGAAAGCAAAACCCGCATGTGTTCCCTTTTTCTACCCTGTATGTGTGTGTTTTGAGGGAGAAGGTTGAATCAATCTAGTCAGGAGTTGATTTGGTTTTGAGACTTGTTCTTCTTAGAGTTAATTCCAGTTCACCATAGATTTCCTGCTCATCTAGCATTACTTTGTGTTTTGGATTGGACTGGTTCAGCAGCTTTTCTCACTATCTGCTGTATCCTCAACTTTAAGTTTCCCTCCAAATTCTGCTCAGTCCCCCAGAAGGCACTGCTTTGACCTGTTACTCAACAATTTTTTGCCAAGTTGAGGGTGGTGATGAGGATGGAGAAGCATTCTCTGTCATTCTGATGAAGCTCAGTCACAGGTTGACACTGTTTCTGGGTCTTCATGGCTGGAACCTTCTTAATGATCCTGTCCAACCTTCAGGTGTAGGTCTAAATCCTCCACATATTTTTTTCCTATTTTTTCTTTTCCCCTTTCCAAAGTTCAATTAGTGTTACCAGCATCCCAAGGGCACTGGCATTCCTTATATTTCCCTTTGTAGTTTTAGGTTTTGTTACACAGGGGAGATGGGGAGGTAAATACAGGTCTTAAAATGTGATACTCTGAATCTCTTCACAGACGGTAAAAAAAAATGTATGTGGCACATATACACCGTGGAATACTATGTAGCCATAAAAAGGATGAGTTCATGTCCTTTGCAGGGACATGGATGAAGCTGGAAACCATCATTCTCAGCAAACTAACACAACAACAGAAAACCAAACACTGCATGTTCTCACTCATAAGTGGGAGTTGAACAGTGAGAACACATGTACACAGGGAGGAAAACATCACACACTGGGGCCTGTCTGGGGTGGGGGGCTAGGGGAGGGATATCACTGGGATAACTACCTAATGTAGATGAGGGGTTGATGGGTGCAGCAAACCACCACAGTGCGTGTATACCTATGTAACAAACCTGAACATTCTGCACATGTACCCCAGAACTTAAAGTATGATAATAAAAAAAGTTTTATGTCTTAATGTTGATGTTAAATTATCATAAATTAAATTATATATATATGCATTTGAAAAATTAGGCAAAACATCAAATCATTTATTTCAAACTTATTTTATACGTTAAAATACCATATATATATATACACATATATATATATGATTCTCTTCTGCATGAAAAATGCTTATATTTTCTCTCCTTGATTTCAATGCTTCCTATATCTTATCCTGGTTAATTTTTAAGTTTCCTAACCATTACCTTCCAAAACATTATTCAATATTCTAACTTCTATCATCAATTAATGGAGTTCACAATTTATCTAAATAAAACACTGTAATATAACATTTGTGTGTTTCAATTCTTTTCTTAAACTTCTCTTTGAGATTAATTAATTTGTTGCATTTTGGTGTTATCTCTGTTTTGTAAAATTCTTTTGTATGATGAGATCACAATTTATTTAGCAATTCTACTGTTGATGAATATTTATTTTGTCTCCAATTTTGAGCTACTATAAAAATTGCTGCAATGATCAACATTGCGTTTATCTTGAAATACACATAGGCAGTCTGTGGAATATATTTTAGAATGAGAATATCTAGCCCATAAGGAATGCTCATAGTCAGTTTACCAAAAAGTATTTCAGTTTACATCCCTCCAGCCATGAATAACTTTCATTGATTCTTTATCTTTCACAACACACAATATTATGTGTCTTTACATTTTGCTACTTTTTATGGAGGCCTGTAGTTCAACTTATGGATTAATTTTTATTATTCTGAGGACTAATAAAAGTAATCCCTTTTTCATATTTGTCCAGATATTTATGCCTCCAATTTTATGAAGTGCCTGTTCAAATATTTTCCCAATTTTATATTGGGTTCATTTTCTTTTATTTATTACATTCATTAATCACATGTATTGTATTTTATTGCATATATGTTGGGATAAATATTTTTCTCCACTCTTGGTTTGCATTTTAATTCTTGGATGGTATATTTTGAAACACAGAAGTCATCATTTTTGATATAAACTAACTAAATTTTTCTTCTTAATTGTTCCTTTTTTGTCCTGGTTAGGAAATCTTTCTGTGTGAGAATAATTTACTGTGTTCCCTTCACCTTCAGAACATGAATCCATGTGGAAATGCACTGTGTATGGTTTGAGGTAGGGGTCAGTATTCAGTTATGTCCATTTGAATATTTAATTGATCCAGCATTGTCCTGATCCCCTTGTAAATTTCACTGTAGAACAGCACTCTAATAATGCATGAGCATTTTGTATATAAGATGAGATTTACAAAGATAAGCACAGCATAAGAGGTCAAATAAGATTACCTCAAAGTATAGGTTCATAAATAAAACACATGGAGAAGTATAATATTGTTAGATGAAGAGAAAGAAAATATTTCCAGGTTACCATTGAGTCTTTTTTACTCCAAGTTTTTTCATGAAGCCCAAGATCTCTACTTTCTTCCATTGATTTTAACTTCATTTAGACAACTCTGTCATCTATTATTTCACTTTGTGACATTCAGAAATAATTAAAAACCAGAGAATATATTCTATGCCATACATCATGGGTAATGATTTTCCAAAAATGACTTAAAAAGGAACCAATACACATGGTTGCTATGTTTTCACCATATTTAATAGAAACACTATAAATGAGTTTTGATGACATTAGAATGCAAGTAAAGACATTAAATATAACTTATTTGTCCTGTTTGATGAGGTGTGAAAAAGAGGGCTTTCTGTGATAAACAGGTTCCCAGAGCATATAGACACATTTCTGACTTTTTTCTGCTCAGAAGTGACTACAGCAAAAGATAGGCTAGAGAGGAGGTGAGAAGGAGCAATTAAGGATGGTGTATATCAGGGAACTTTGATCAACATCAACAAAGCTCATGGTTCTACCTTCACAATCCAGGAATAATCCTACTGTGCTGGTAGGTCTTGGAACGTATTGCACCACAAGTGGGGAGGTGGTAAAGAGATTGCAGTGACTGTCCTCCTTAACACATCCAAGAAGAAAGAGTCCCTCCTCTCCATCTATCTTGTCATTCTGTCTCCTCTTTCCAATAATTGTTACAGACACCAAAAGCTCAATTCCAAGAGTCCCCCACGTGAACCTCCCAATAATATTTGCCAGATGTGAAAGCCTGAGCCCCCCATACAAGAAAACATTCAGATTTTGCAGTGATATCGGGATCTTCTTGAGGGTCACATCCAACATTCATGCTTCTCAAATCTCCATGCAGGAAGATATGACTATTGGCTCTTTCAGGCTGCACAGTAAAATCAACAGCAAAAATAATTTTTAAAAAATATAGATACATGTAATTAACAGAAATTAGAATTCTTGAGGGAATAGTAGTTCTACCAAGAGTTTACTTTACCAGGAAATTTGAAGTTACAAGGACAGGAGAATTGTGACTACAACATTTAATAAAGTATAAGGATGATTAATATTCTCTATAAGAAGAACAAAACCCTAAAAACAGACATTGAAAATTTATTGAAATCTTAAAAATCGAGAGTTGAATATAAGACCAGCCTGTTTTTATCCAATCTCCAATGTAAAAGTGAAATATTTTATGCCCTGAATGCCCTTTAGCTATCAAGGTCATTATTATTAAAATATTTCTTGTTCTTAAATACTAGTGATATAATTTTGGCAAGAATGGGAAGATTTTAGCTTACACAAGCACCGCTCTAGATAACTGGATAAAAGTCCATATGTTCAAATTATGAGTGGTAACTGAAGGCAGATTTTTGCAAAATCTTTTACCAGTCACTTTGCGGACATCCCTGCTAGCTCTAGACTCAAACTGAATTTTAGATTTTTACACGTAGCTCTTCAGGTTGTAACTAAACTGAAATTATCATTTCTATTTTTACTTCCTATTTTCATAATAATTTCTTCTTTCTTTTTACATGTTAAGTCCAAATTTTACATTATATCAATAAAATCTATTTATTGTAAGAAAGTACAAATACTCCAACAAACTGCAGTGAACTCTATTCCCCAATGAAATGTTTTTAACAATTCAAATGAAATACAGTAAACAAATGTAAAACTTTTATATAACCTTGGATTATTATGCTTCCTTCTGAGCATTGTTCCATTTATTCAATTTTTTATTTCTTATGTCATTCCTTTTACCCAATATAGAACTCTATACAAGAGCCCAGAACATGTTTGTTTTTCACTATGTTTTACACTTCATGTTATAAATTGGACTATAAATAGAAACACAGATATAAAAGGGTTGCATCGTCATATGGTTCACTTCCTGCTGAAATGAAATAAAGATTTGATGAAGGGTAAAATATTACCCCCATGATTCTAACAAGAAGTAATACACTGTGGGAATTCTGCCAATGGGCTGACACTTACCTTTGAATCCACTGAGCCTGTCCAGCAGTCCAGTGATGGGCCCTGCACTGAGCTCTGGATTCACAGGCTCAGATGCTTGCAGCAACAGGGACTCATACCTGCAAGGAGAAACATACCCTTTCCACATCTGCAGCCAAAAAAAAAATACATAAAAATCACCACTTTTATTTAAAAGACATTTCATGAGAATCCCTTTAACCCACACATTTGCTAATTCCAAAATTATCATTTTCTTTTTCAAATTCATTCTTATTCACAGTTCCTCATTTTCAAACACGATGGAAAAGTCTATCTGACTGAGAATTCATTCAGATCTTTCTTGGTATTGCTCCAAATTAGTAAGGATCATTAGTCTTAAGACTGGGAGAATATTCAAAAATGAAATTCTGGGTTCCAGGCCTCTCCAGAAATTCCTGAAATCACTGTCTGGAAAAGTGGGGTTATTTTTAAGACTGCTGCATCTGTTGCTTCCTTCTCAAGGCCAGAGAGTTGAAACTTGCTCCAGGCAGGGAGATCTGCCTTTTATAGTCGAGGTTCTCTGGAGGCCTACACGGTTCAAACATACCGAATAGTTTGTTTCATCCATTTTTCACAATTATATATTTAAATATAAACTAGAAATCATCAACACTTTTCACTGCTAAAATACTTTCCCCTTTTCTCTCTGGCTTCCCCTGGTTGACTTTGTATGCAAGTAGTAAATGTAATATTTTCTCTTTCAAATATGAAGGCTTTTGAGCAATAAAAAGGAAATTAGGAATAGAGATGCTCACTTCCTTTATTTTTCTTTCATTTATTTATTTTTTGTTTTATTTATTTATTTATTTATTTATTTGGTTTTGCAGAACTTTCATTGAGCTGCTTAATAAAGTCACTGAGTATGGCAACAAAATAGATGACTACATGGGGTGGGGAATGGAGAAAATACAACCAGCACAAGGCAGTATCAGTATGTGAATCAATTATACCTTCAATGTCAAAGTTCCTGCTTGATAGTTGTGGAAACTGAAAGCATCTGCTAAAATCTTGGTATGTACTCACCTGTGTAATATGTCTCCCAAAGCCTGTAAAATAAAAAAAAAAAAAATTGAAAGGCTTAGTGCTTTCCACAAGATGCATCTTCCACTAAGTTCAGTGTGAGATTTGGAGACAGTTTCTGAAGATATTATTTTCCTACAATGTTCCCTCCTGGAAAGCATTTTCTGTTTCTTTTCTCATGAAAATCCCAGTCTATGATATGTCATGAATTAATGTCCTGACAAAGTCTAAGTCTTGAAGACATTCTCTTTTCAAGTGAAGGGAGAGGAGGCCTACAGAGTCTATGCTCTGAGGTAACCATAAAGAAGCTACTCAGTCATCTTCCCTAAACCTTGTTACCAAAGTGAGTGGACCCCAAAATAATATTAGGGTGATCCTAGATTCCCCAACTTCTCCATCCTGCCATGTCTCCAAATTAGCCTAAATGCCAATGGATCACTTCTCATTTTATCCACTTTCAAAAATCCTAAATAAATCACTGACTTTTGATGGGAAATATTTCTTGGGGCTATTTGTTACCTTAGCCATTCTACAAAGTTTTGTTGCTGGTGGATAAAGTAGGAGGGACCTTCGGTCTGGTAGAATCACAAGGAGAGGATACACCCTCCCAACCAAGGAGCATTAGTTATTGAATCATGTTTTTGGAAACAAATCATGGAAGTGAAGGGGGAGATGGATTTCAGGAGAGAGGAAAAACACCCATGTATGTGAATGTTCAACACCATGATACCCCACGGTCAGTCCGTACCTGGAGTAGCTCCACATCTGCTTTATGGCACATTTGCTTCAGATCCTCATACATTCCTCTTAAAAGCTCCCTGGAATGTTTCATTCTGGCTTTGCTTTCATTGAGTTGCTGAAAAATGTCCTCGTCCTCCTTTCGCAGCCTCTCCAAGTGATGTTGCTCTTCTTCATGGAGAAATGCAGGCATCTTCTGATATTCAGCTCTGATTGCTTCTATCCTTAAACTCACATAATCCTGCAGTGACAATTAGTCAAAATAGAAATGTTTTATCCATCTTCTCTTGAATTTCACTGATTCCTCTTAGCATTCTCAACACCCAATATTTTAATCCTCGATCTTGTCAATTCTCAGATTCCACAAAATTTTATTCCTTTCCTTTTTTTCTGTACTACTATCAACATAGTTGTTTCTGCCCAGTTACATTTACTTGATTAATGATAAAATGTTTTCTATGACAGTTATATAAAGATGGATTTCTCTCTTCCACACCACATTTATAGAAAGAAAACACAGTTCTTGCTTAAGAATCAAACTATCGAGTTATATTGACTAGGTAAGAAACCATTATTTCTATTTTGGAGAATTGGGGCAAGTTATGTAAAACCATTATATGACAAATGATGACATGACCCAGACTAGCATTGTCAACTCAATGCATTTCACCCAGCATAACATATTCTAATAAGGTTTCATTTATTCTCTTCCAAACTCACCCTAATCTGCAACATGGACTTCTTTGTGGTTCCTCAAACCCCCAAATAAATGCAAATTAAATATTACTGCACATGCTGTTTTCTATGCCTAGAATTATTTTCATATATATATATATTTCTCATATATGTACTCATATATATATTTCTCAAATATAGGTATATATGATGTATGAGGAATATATACGTGTATCTGTGTGTTTACATATATATTCCTCAAATATATCTATCTATATATATATACCAACACCGACATACACATATATATTCATATATTTATGAGGAAGAGGAAGGCAAACAGGAGGATATATATATTTCCTCCTGATCAAGATTTTGTTTCAGTGTGAATTTTTCCATGAGCCTTTTTTCTGACCACCCTATTTAAAACTCAAACCCTCATCCCCAGTCCCTGGCCTCTGTGCTCCTTTTCTACTTTCCTGCTTGATTCTTCTCCAAAGACACTACTGCACTCTAACACATCATGTACCTCACATATCTGCATGGTGACCATTTGCTTTTCTCATTTCCATTGCAAGATTTGTGTGTTTTCTTTCTTCTTTACTCCTTAATTTTCTAAGTTGATATTTGACCTAGACTAGGTACTCATAGAATATCTTTCAGTGAATTAATATTAGAATAAATTAATGAATTAATATTAGATATCATACCCTCAATATAAACATCCACAAAGAGAAAATCATTTCTAGAATTCTTCTCAAGTCCTTAGAGTTCTCCTTATATTAAATACTAGTTCCCATATTTCTCACATATTTATGTCTTCATCAAGACACAAGTCTACATTTCTCACCACTTTTCCCATTATGTTTTATGACTTATTCAATATTAATTAGTGCTGATATTTAATTTCATGCTTTCCCTAAGGTTGCGCTCTCTCACCTTCTGCCTGAAATTTAGCTCACATTTCAATATACTTGCCCACCAGGATTCAAATTCATACTGACTCAGCCTTAGAAGGGTCACCTGAAATTTCCATGACTGACAAATAACTCTTGTGTCCAGAATTTATCCAGGCAGCCCACTGGGAACAGTGTGAAATGGCCCAGTTTCTTGTATTTGTTGGGGTATTGCTATAGGTTTGTATGGAAACAGATGAGCATGCTAGTGTAAAATCTGTGGTCTGATTAGAAATCCTACCAAAGAGTCACACTAACTTTTATAAAAAATTAGGGTGTTTTTTTCTCAAGTGTTTTCTCCTTCTTTATTGAATTCCAGAAACATTATGGGTTGAGATCAAGTTCCTATTTTAAGAATCACCCATTTGTTCCCTATAAGTTCCTGGAGAAGGTAGAGTAATACGGTACTAACCTTCCAGCTTCTTGTTCTGGTGGTTTCCATGTTCAGGTTTCTGAGATTTTCCCAAGCTTTTTCCCATAAAGACTGCATTTTTTTTAGGAGCTCCTCCTGCAAAAGAGCCATGAATTTAAGCACAAGTGAAGACAATAAAGTATCATTCACACTCTGATATACGAAGGGCCCAAAATGAGAGACAAATTAGCCCACAGAAAAGAGAGTTTGCTGTGTTTCTCCTCATGTTTGTCGAATCTGAGAGGTGTGAAGTCAAGGAAGCTCATAACAGACATGCTTAAGGGGACACAGAGATGGCATCATCCAATCTCCAAGGAAATAGACTTACAAGAATTTCATGTGTCCTGCATAGAAATAGATCTTCAGAGGCATTACTTACCCGGCGTTCCTCTGCAGCCCACTCAATGGGACAGTGTCTGTGATTCCGGTGCTCCTGAGAGTTGGAGCACAGCAAACAGAGCAGGCTCTTGTCCACTTCACAGAACATTTTCTTTGTCTCTCCGTGCATCCCACTTATTTGCTCCTCAGATCTAAGGAATTGCCAGAGGCTAGCTTTTCTAACAAAGGAAGCCATATTCTTCAAACAAATGTCAGTTTTGAGGTTTCTCTGCCGTGTTGTCTTCTTGCATATAGAGCGCTGAGCAAGAACTGCCATGTCTTGCCAGTTGAGGTAGAAACAGGGCCGGCAAAAGCTGTGCCCACATTCTATGGTGACTGGGTCTATGAAGTAGTTCATGCAGATGGGACAGGTGAGTTCCCTCTGGAAGACTTGCAAAATTTCAGAATTCATGTTTCTGAAGAAGAAAGAGCAGCATGTCATTTTGGGGTCTGGGTTGGTGAAAATCTGTGAACATGTGGTGATATGTGATAGCTATATTTTCCTCTTGACAGTGCTCATTAAAGCAGAACAAACTATTTCCTCTGTAACAAAAATGAAAAATTCATACACAAAGAGAGTCTTTAGGCTTTTTAGTAGACACCACTGACTAGATGACTCACAACCTCTTCTACTCCTAGTTCCTGCCCATAACATAATGCAAATCTGTTCAAATACCTATTCCCTGGATGTCGATATGAAACTCGGGTTTTAATCTTAAGTGGTCTAGAATAAAACATGGTCGTCCATATTTCTCTTTCAAATAACTACTGAATGACTATGGGAGAGGAGTAGAAAACCTACATTAGGAAACAAAACATGAGAAGATGGTCAGAGGGCGCTATGGCATATGTTTAGAGAGAGGGACCCAGAAGCCGGCTCTTTAAAACAAAAACAACCCCAGAACAAATCAACAGCCAAGATAAACAAAAAGACAGCAATTAAACCAGTCTAGGATAAATAGGAGATAAAATAAATAATGAAAAATATTGGGTTTATTTTTCTTATGGCTTAAATTAACTTCTTCTTTTGGCTACTCAAACTATGAACTGACATATAGTCAGTTTTTTAAAAACTGAAATATATATAATCATATTACTATGGAATTATGGTTAATTTTAGGTGTTAACTTGACTGGATTAAGTAATACATGGAGAATTGGTAAAGCATTATTTCTGGGTGAGTCTGTGAAGGTGTTTCCAGAGAAACATGTAAGTTGGTGAGCTGAGTGGGGAACAGCAGCCCTCAATGTGGGTGGACACTATACAATCAGCTGGTAGCTCAGACTGAAGATAAAGGGCAGAGAGAAGGCAGTTTCCTCTCTTTCTCCTGAAGCTGATTCTAACTCAGCCAGGATATTGGTATCTTTAGGACATTAGCTTAATGACAGCCTGTGTTCAACTTCTCAGACTCCATAATCAAGGGAACAAATTCTCCTAGTGGACTTCCTCTCCTGTACAGTGTCATGTGTAGAGTGAGGACAGATATATGATCCGAGGGACGCATTAGACAGTCTCGTTATTGTTTGAACATCATAGGGTATACTTACACAAACCTAGATGGTATAGCCTACTACACACCTATGGTATACAGTATAGCATATTGTTCCTAGGCTACAAACCTGTATGGTATACGATAGGCAATTGTACCAGAGTTGTAAGTATTTTTGGTATATATACATATATATATATATATATATATATATATATATATATATATATATATATATATATATAGTTATGTACACATCCTATGGTTCTGTCTCTCTGGAGAACCCTGACCAATACAAACTGGAATCTTTCCCTTGGCAGTTTGAAGTCCTTTACCTGACTCTCTTTTACTAAACACTGCTGAATTTAAGTACCAAAAGTGAAAATTTAAGAATTGCAAATATTTTTCAGAGGTCATCTGAGCCATTTCAAGGAATTTTTCATAGTTTCATCTGAGGTAAGCCTCAATTAAAATGACAACTACTATCAAGTATCAAATCATTCCTTATACAGTTATCTGCTAAACAATTGTGTTTTGATTTCTAAGCTAGGGCATTTTGGAGAGCATTCTTATTTCCTTTAGTATCACCATTTTTAACTCATCATTGCCTCAGTAACTTAAAATCATGTCTAAAAGCTTAATGTTATGAAAGCACAACATTTACAGTATTCAATAATTATCCTTTTTTACTTAATTAAGTGTATTAGTACATGCAGTACACATATATGTTTTAATGTGAATTCCATATATTCATGATGCATACAAATCTATTGCAGCAAACACTAGATATCTAAAATTTTTCAAAAATATATTAAAAACTTTTGGAACACACAAAATGACAACAATTAATAACCTCATGTCATAAAATGAATAGCAATAATATGAGTTACAAATAAGATCA
Source organism: Homo sapiens (assembly GCF_000001405.40). NCBI lineage: Eukaryota > Metazoa > Chordata > Mammalia > Primates > Hominidae > Homo > Homo sapiens. Next base: position 48,943,715 of record NC_000011.10, on the reverse strand, counting down.
TTAAGTAAGTTTAGACAGTTAGATATTTTTATCACTGTAATTTACTCTTTTAAAGGAAGAGAGAAATAATTTTCTCCATATAAGTTGCACTCACCCCAAGGTTCTATGAATGTTTCCTGCAGTAATTCTTCCAAGAAAGAATTCTTTTAAGTACTCCCCAAGATCAGGAGCTCATTCCCTGCACAGTTGACTTTCAGAGGTCACCTGAATGCAGTTAACTCTATGTGCTGTCCTCCTTTGGAGAAATATGAGCTTCTCTCTTCTGCATACTTTTATGTGAATCTTTGAAGACCACACCCACCTCTTCAGAGATATTTAGGGTATTAAGAAAGGTGGAGACAGAGATGATTAGCTTTCTGCAATATTTAGTACATGCCTTTTCATCACTGATTAAATTAGCATCACACTATCATTGTAAAAACCACTGCCTGAATGAGGCATATCTATCATCAATCTTATCAGAGTAAACATATGCTAGAAATTAACTAAAATTGATTAATACTGTTTCTTGAGTTTCTTCCCAAGGTGCAAGCATTCCTCTAAGTGCACATTTATTTATTTATACCAAAGAAAGTTTCTCCATCTGGAGTGCAGTGGCAGAATCTTAGCTCACCGCAGCCTTGAAATCCAGGATTCAAGTAATCCTCCCACTTCAACTTTCAAAGTAAAAAAGACTATAGGTTTATGCCATTGCACCTAGCTAATTTTTCATTTATTCATCAAAAATATTTTTGAAATTCTTAGGTGATTACATGTGTTACAGTGACCAGCTGGATTAGAATTAGATTAGGTTTAAAACGATCAGAGAGTCTGGGAGAGGGGGCAGAGTGTTGGTTGTTAATTAGCACGTGGATCAAAGGAGATTACTGATGTCTTTAGAAGCCACAACGTTGACAGAATAAAAGCCAGAACTAACAATCCAATCGTAAATCTCTTTACCGTGGTATTTTCTGCCATTTCTGCTCCATAAGACACACTTAAACCACTTTGTCATGATATCTGCAGTATTCTATTTTAGTCTAAATAGGATTTTCTCTCAAATGCATTCTATTTCTCTCTAATTCATCTTCCCTCCCTTCTTTCTTCCAGCTTTATTTTATCACTAGAGAAAACTAGTAGAATGTTCTCTCAAATTTCAGATTTCAGATACGCATCTGTAAAATAACCTTATGGAGAAACATTTTAGTTGCCACTGAATACTTGGTTGTTTTCATAAGTTCACAGCATTACTACTGTCCTCCAAAAAACGGTTTGCCATTTCCACAGCTAATCTCATCATTGACTCTCATATTTGCAGCACTTTGAGCCCTACGGTAGAAACGGAAATATCTTCACATAAAAACTAGACAGAAGAATTCTCAGAAACTTCTTTGTTATGTGTGCATTCAACTCACAGAGTTGAACCTTTCTTTTGATAGAGCAGTTTTGAAACACTCTTTTTGTAGAATCTGCAAGTGGATATGTGGACTACTTTGAGGCCTTCATTGGAAACGGGAATATCTTCACATAAATACTAGACAGAAGCATTCTCAGGAACTTCTTTGTTATGTGTGCATTCAAATCACAGAGTTGAACCTTCTTTTTGATAGAGCAGTTTTGAAACACTCTTTTTGTAGAATCTGCAACTGGATATTTGGACTGCTTTGAGGACTTCCCAGGAAAGGGGAATATATTCAAAAAAAAAACTAGACAGAAGCATTCTCAGGATCTTCTTTCTTTTGTGTGCATTCAACTCACAGAGTTGAAACTTCCTTTTGATTGAGGAGTTTTGAAACAATCTTTTTGTAGAATCTGCAAGTGGATATTTGGGCTACTTTGAGGCTTTCCTTGGAAACGGGGATAACTTAACATAAAAACTAGACAGAAGTATTTTCGGAAACTTCCTTGTTATGTGTGCATTCAACTCACAGAGTTGAAACTTCCTTCTGATAGAGCAGTTTTGAAACACTCTTTTTGTAGAATCTGCAAGTGGATATTTGGACTGCTTTGAGGCCTACGCTTGGAAACGGGAATATCTTCACATGAAAACTAGACAGACGCATTCTCAGGAACTTCCTTGTTATGTGTGCATTCAACTCACAGACTTGAACCTTCCTTTTCATTGAGCAATTTTAACACTCTTTGTGTTGAATCTGCAGGTGGATATTTGGAGCAATTTGAGGCCTACGGTTGAAACGGGAATATCTTCACATATAAACTAGACAGAAGCATTCTCAGAAACTTCTTTGTGATGTGTGCATTCAACTCCCAGAGTTGAACCTTTCTTTTGATAGAGCAGTTTTGAAACACTCTTTGTGTAGAATCTGCAAGTGGATATTTGGACTGCTTTGAGGCCTTCGTTGGAAACGGGACTATCTTCAAATAAAAACTAGACAGAAGCATTCTCAGAAACTTCTTTGTTAAGTGGGCATTCAGCTCACCGAGTTGAACATAATTTTTCATACAGCAGCTTTGAGACTCTCTTTTTGTTGAATCTGCAACTGGATATTTGGACTGTTTTGAGGCCTTCTCTGGAAACAGGAATATATTCACATAAAAACTAGACAGAAGCATTCTCAGGAACTTCTTTGTTATGTGTGCATTCAACTCACAGAGTTGAACCTTACTTTTCATAGAGCAATTTTGAAAAACTCTTTTCATAAAATCTGCAAGTGGATATTTTGACTGCTTTGTGGTCTTCATTGAAAATAGGAATATCTCCACATAAAATATACACAGAAGCATTCTCAGAATCTACTTTGTTATGTGTACATTCAACTCACAGAGTTGAACCTTCCTTTTGATAGAGGAGTTTTGAAAAGCTCTTTTTGTAGAATCTGCAAGTGTATACTTGGAATGCTTTGAGGCCTTCATTGGAAACCGGATTATCTTCACATAAAAATAGACAGAAGCATTCTCAGAAATTTCTTTGTGATGTGTGCATTGAACTCGCAGAGTTGAACCTTCCTTTTGATAGAACAGTTATGAAACACTCTTTTTGTAGAATCTGCAAGTGGATATATGGACTGCTTTGGGGCCTTCTTGGAAATGGGAACATCTTCACATAAAAACTAGACAGAAGCCTTCTCAGGAACTACTTTGTTATGTGTCCATTCAACTAACAGAGTTGAACCTTAGTTTTGATAGAGCAGGTTTGAAACACTCTTTTTGTAGAATCTGCAAGTGGATATTTGGAGCGCTTTGAGGCCTATGGTTGAAAAGGAAATATCTATACATAAAAACTGGACAGAAGTATTCTCAGAAACTTCTTTGTGATGATTGCATTCAACTCATAGAGTTGAACATACCTTTTCATAGAGCGGTTTTGAAACAGTTTTTGTAGAATCTGCAAGTGGATATTTGGACTGCTTTGAGGCCTTTGTTGGAAACGGGAACATCTTCACATAAAAACTAGACAGAAGCATTCTCAGAAACTTCTCTGTGATGTATGCATTCAACTCACAGAGTTGAACCTTCCTGTTGATACAGCACTTTTGAAACACTCTTTTTGTAGAATCTGCAAGTGGAAATTTGGAGCACTTTGAGGCCTACAGTTGAAACGGAAATATCTTCACATAAAAGCTAGGCAGAAGCAATCTCAGGAACTCCTTTGTTATGTGTGCATTCAAGTCACAGAGTTGAACCTTCATTTTGATAGAACAGTTTTGAAACACTCTTTTTGTAGAGGCTGCAATTGGATATTTTGACTGCTTTGAGGCCTTCATTGGATACGGGAATATCTTTACATAAAATCTAGATGGAAGCATTCTCAAAAAGTACTTGGTTATGTGTGCATTCAACCCACAGAGTTGAAGCTTCCTTTTGATAGAGCAGTTTTGAAACACTCTTTTTGTAGAATCTGCAAGTGGATATTTGAAGCGCTTTGATGCGTATAGTAGAAAAGGAAATATCTTCACCTAAAAACTAGACAAAAGCATTCTCAGGAACTCCTTTGTTACATGTGCATTCAACTCACGGAGTTGAACCTTTCCTTTGATAGGGCAGTTTTGAAACACTCTTTTTGTAGAATCTGCAAATGGATATTTGGACTACTTTGAGGCCTTCATTGGAAATGGGTATACCTTCACATAAAATCTGGACAGAAGCATTATCAGAAAAAACATTGTTCTGTGGGCATTTAACTCACAGAGTTGAACCTTGCTTTTGACAGAGCAGTTTTGAAACACTCTTTTTGTAGAATCTGCAAGTGGATATTTGGCGTGCTTTGAGGCCTATGGTAGAAAAGGAAATATCTTCACATAAAAAGTAGACAGGAGCATTCTCAGAGACTTCTTTGTTATCTGTGCATTCAACTCACGAAGTTGAACCTTTCTTTTAATAGAGTTGTTTTGACACACTCTTCTGGTAGAATCTGCAAGTGGATATTTGGACTGCTTTGAGGACTTCATTGGTAACGGGAATATCTTCACGTAAAAACCAGACAGAATAATTCTCAGGAACTACTTTGTTATGTGTGCATCCAACTCACAGAGTTGAACCTTTCTTTTGATAGAGCAGTTTTGAAACACTCTTTTTGTAGAATCTGCAAGTGGATATTTGGAGCACTTTGAGGCCTACGGTTAAAACGGGAATATCTTCACATAAAAACTAGACAGAAGCATTGTCTGAAACTTCCTTGTGATGTGTGCTTTCAACTCACAGAGTTGAACCTTCCTCTTGATAGAGCAGTTTGGAAACACAATTTCTTTAGAATCTGCAAGTGGATATGTGGACTGCTTGGAGGCCTTCGTTAGAAACAGGAATATCTTCACATAAATAGTAGACAGAAGCATTCTCCGGAACTTCTTTGTTATGTGTGCATTCAAATCACACAGTTGAACCTTCCTTTTGATAGAGGGGATGTGAAACACTCTTTTTGTAGAATGTGCAAGTGGATATTTGCTCTGCCTTGAGGCCTTCGTTGGAAACAGGAACATCTTCACAAGAAAACAAGACAGAAGCATTCTCAGGAATTTCTTTGGATGTGTGCATTCAACTCACAGATTTGAACCTTCTTTTTGATAGAGCAGTTTTGAAACACTCTTTTTGTAGAATCTGCAAATTTAAATTTGGAGCGCTTTGAGGCCTATGGTAGAAAAGGAAATATCTTCATATAAACACTACACGGAAGGATTCTCAGAAACTTCTTTGTTATATGTGCATTCAACACACAGAGTTGAACTTTTCCTTGGTAGAGCAGTTCTGAAACACTCCTTTTCTAGAATCTGCAAGTGAATATTTGGAGCGCTTTGAGGCCTCAGGTAGAAAATGAAATATCTTCACATAAAAACTACTTAGAAGGATTCTCAGAAACTTCTTTGTGATAATTGCATTCCACTCACAGGGTTGAAAATACCTTTTCATAGAGCGGTTTTGAAACAATCTTTTTGTAGAATCTGCAAGTAGATATTTGTACTGCTTTGAGGCATTTGTTGGAAACGGGAATACCTTCCTTCATGTAAATAGTAGACAGAAGCATTCTCAGGAAATTCTTTGGATGTGTGCTTTCAACTCACAGAGTTGAACCTTCCTTTTGATAGATCCGTTTTCAAACACTCTTTTTGTAGAATCTGCAAGTGGATATTTGGAGCACTTTGAGGCCTTTGGTAGAAAAGGAAATATCTTAATATAAACACTACACTGAATCATTCTTAGAAACTCCTTTGTTATGTGTGCATTCAACTCACAGAGTTGAACTTCTCTTTGATAGAGCAGTTTTGAAACATCTTTTTGTATAATCTGCAAGTGGATATTTGGACTGCTTTGAGGCCTTCTTTGGAAATGGGAATATCCTCACATAAAAACTAGACAGAAGCATTCTCAGAAACTTCTTTGTGATGTGTGAATTCAGCTCACAGAGTTGAACTTTCCTTTTGATAGAGCAGTCTTGAAACACTCCTTTTGTAGAATCTGTAAGTGGATATTTGGAACACTTTGAGGCCTACGGTTGAAACTGGAATATCTTCACATAAAAGCTAGGCAGAAGCATTCTCAGGAACTTCTTCCTGATGTGTGCATTCAATTCACGGAGTTGAACCTTCCTTTTGATAGAGCAGTTTTGAAACGCTCTTTTTGTACAATCTTCAAGTGGGTATTTGGAATGCTTTGAGGCCTTCGTTGGAAACGGGAACGTATTCCTTCACGTAAATACTAGACAGAAGCATTCTCAGGAACTTCTTGGTTATGTGTGCATTCAACTCACAGATTGAACCTTCCTTTTGAGAGAGCAGTTTTGAAACACCCTTTTTGTATAATTTGCAAGTGGATATTTGGATCACTTTAAGGCCTATCGTAGAAAATGGAATATCTTCATATAAAAACTAGACGGAAGCATTCTCTGAAACTTCTTTGTGATGATTGCATTCAACTCACAGAGGTGAACGTCCCTTTTCACAGAGCGGTTTTCAAACACTCTTTTTGTAGAATCTGCAAGTGGAAATTTGGACTGGTTTGTGGCCTTCGTTGGTAATGGGAATATATCTTAACATGAAAACTTGACAGAAGCATTCTAAGGAACTTCTTTCTTATGTGTGCATTTAACCCACAGAGTTGAACATTCCTTTTGATAGAGCAGTTTGGAAAAAATCTCTTTTGAGAATCTGCAAGTGGAAATTTGGAGCACTTTGAGGCCTATGATAGAAAATGAAATACCTTCACATAAAAACTAGACGGAAGCATTCTCAGAAACTTCTCTGTGATGATTGCTTTCAAATCACAGAGTTGAACATACCTTTTTGTAGAGCGGTTTTCAACCACTCTTTTTGTGGAATTTGCAAGTGGATATTTGGGCTGCTTTGAGGCCTTCGTTGAAAACGGGAATATCTTCACATAAAAACTAGACAGAAGCATTCTCAGAAACTTTTTTGTGATATGTGCATTCAACTCACAGATTTGAACCTTCCTTTTGATAGAGCAGTTTTGAAACACTCCTTTTGTAGAATCTGCTAGTGGATATTTGAAGCAATATGAGGCCTACGGTTGAAATGGGAATATCTTCACATAAAAACTAGACAGAAGCATTCTCAGAAACTTGTTTGTTATGTGTGCATTCAACTCACGGAGTTGAACCTTTGTTTTTATAGAGCAGTTTTGAAACATTCTTTCTGTAGATTCTGCAAGTGGATATTTGGAATGCTTTGATTCCTTCGTTGGAAACAGGAATATCTTTATTCACATAAATACTAGACAGAAGCATTCTCAGGAACTTCTTTGGATGTGTGCATTCAACTCACAGAGTTGAACCTTCTTTTTGATAAAGCAGTTTTGAAACACACTTTTTGAAGAATCTGCAAGTGGATATTTGGAGCACTTTGAGACCTAAGGTAGAAAAGGAAATATCTTCATATAAACACTAGACAGAAGCATTCTCAGAAACTACTTTGTGATGTCTGTATTCAACTCACAGAGTTGAACTTTTCATAGAACAGTTTTGAAACACTCCTTTTGTAGAATCTGCAAGTGGATATTTGGAGCACTTTGAGGCCTATGGTTGAAACAGCGATACGTTCTCATAAAAACTAGACAGAAGCATTCTCAGAAACTTCTTTGTTAAGTGTGCATTCAACGCACTGAGTTGAACATTTCCTTTGATAGAGCAGTTTTGAAACACTCTTTTTGTAGAATCTGCAAGTAGATATTGGGACTGCATTGAGGCCTTTGTTGGAAATGAGTATAACTTTTTTCACATAAATAATAGACGGAAGCATTCTCAGGAACTTCTTTGTTATGTGTGCATTCAAATCACAGAGTTGAAACTTCTTTTTGATAAAGCAGTTTTGAAACACTCTTTTTGTACAATCTGTAAGTGGATATTTGGAGTGCTTTGAGGCCTATGGTAGAAAAGGAAATATCTTCACCTGAAAACTAGACAGAAGTATTCTCAGAAACTTCCTTGTGATGATTGCCTTCAACTCACATAGTTCAACCTTCCTTTTGATACAGCAGTTTTCAAACATTCTTTTTGTAGAATCTGCAAGTGGGTATTTGGAATGCTTTGAGGCCTTCTTTGGAAGAGGGAATATCTTCAAATGAAAACTAGATAGAAGCATTTTTAGGAGCTTCTTTGTTATGTGTGCATTCAACTCACAGAGTTGAACTTTGTTTTTGATAGAGCAGTTTTGAAACACTCTTTTTGTAGTATCTGTAAGTGGATATTAGGAGCACTTTGAGGCCTATGGTGGAAAATGAAATATCTTTTCAAAAAACTAGACAGAGGCATTCTCAGAAACTTCTTTGTGATGATGGCTTTCATCTCACAGAGTTGAACATACCTTTTCAAAGAGCGATTTTCAAACACTCTTTTTGTAGAATCCGCAAGTGGATATTTGGACTGCTTTGAGGCCTTCACTGGAAACGGGAATATATTCACGTAAAAACTAGACAGAAGCATTCTCAGAAACTTCTTTGTGATGTGTGCATTCAACTCAGAGAGTTGAACCTTCCTTTTGATAGAGCAGTTTTGAAACACTCCTTTTGTAGTATCTGCAAGTGGATATTTGGAGTACTTTGAAGTCTACGGTTGAAAAGGGGATATCTTCACATAAAAACTAGGCAGGAACATTCTCAGAAACTTCTTTGTTATGTGTGCATTCAACTCACCGAGTTGAACCTTTATTTTGATACAGCAGTTTTGAAACACTCTTTTTGTAGAATCTGCAAGAGTATATTTATACTGCTTTGAGGCCTTCGTTGGAAACGGGAATATCTTCCTTTACATAAATACTAGACCGAAGAATTCTCAGGAACTTCTTTGTTATGTGTGCATTCAACTCACAGAGTTGAACCTTCTTTTTCATAGAGTCGTTTTGAAACACTTTTTTTGTGGAATTTGCAAGTAGATTTTTGGAATGCTTTGAGGTCTATGGTAGAAAAGAAATATCTTCACAAAAAAACTAGACGGAAGCTTTCTCAGAAACTTCTTTGTTATGATTGCCTACAACTCACAGAGTTCAACATACCTTTTCATAGAGCAGTTTTGAAACACTCTTTTTGTAGAATCTGTAACTGGATATTTGGATTGCTTTGAGGACTTCATTGGAAACAGGAATACCTTCACATAAACTACAGACAGAAACATTCCCAGAAACGACCTTCCTATGTGTGCATTCAACTCATAGAGTTGAACCTTCCTTTTGATAGAGCAGTTTTGATACTCTCTTATTGTAGAATCTGCAAGTGGATATTTGGACTGCTGTGAGGCCTTGGTTGGAAACGGGAATATCTTCATATAAAAACTAGACAGAAGCATTCTCAGAAACTTCTTTGTTATTTGTGAATTCAGCTCATAGAGTTGAACCCTCCTTTTGATAGAGCAGTTTTGAAACACTCTTTTTGTAGAATCTGCAAGTGGATATTTGGACTGCTTTGGGGTCTTCATTGGAAACAGGAATATCTTCACATGGAAACTAGACAGAAGCATTCTCAGGAACTTCTTGGTTATGTGTACATTCATATCGCAGAGTAGATCCTTCTTTTTGATACAGCAGTTTAGAAACAGTCCTTTTGAATAATCTTCAAGTGGATATTTGGAGCGCTTTGAGGCCTATGTAGAAAAGGAAATATCCTCACGTAAAAACTAGACAGAACTATTCTATGAAACTTCTTTGTGCTTATTGCCTTCAACTCACAGAATTGAACACACCTTTTTGTAGAGCAGATTTGAAACACAGTTTATTTATAATCTGCAATTGGATATTTGGACTGCTTTGAGGCCTTCATTGGAAACGGGAATATCTTCACATAAATACTAGACAGAAGCATTCTCACGAACTACTTCGTTATGTGTTCATTCAACTCACAGAGTTGAACCTTCCTTTTGATAGAGCTGTTTTGAAACACTCTTTTTGTGGAACCTGCAAGTGGATATTTGGACTGCTTTGAGGCCTTCGTTGGAAATGGGAATATCTTCACATAAAAACTAGACAGAAGCATTCTCAGAAACTTCTTTGTGATGTGTGCATTCAACTCACAGAGTTGAACCTTCTTTTTCATAGAGTCGTTTTGAATCACTTTTTTTGTGGAATCTGCAAGTTGATGTTTGCAACGCTTTGAGGCTTATGGTAGAATAGAAATATCTTCACAAAAAAACTAGACAGAAGCGTTCTCAGAAACTTCTTTGTGATGATTGACTTCAACTAACAGAGTTCAACACACCTTTTCGTAGAGCACTTTTGAAACACTCCTTTTGTAGAATTTGCAACTGGATATTTGGACTGCTTTGAGGCCTTCGCTGGAAACGGTAATATATTCACAAAAAAAGCAGACAAAAGCATTCTCAGGAACTTTGTTGTTATGTGTACATTCAACTCACAGAGTTGAACCTTCCTTTTGATAGAGCAGTTTGGAAACACTCTTTTTCTACAATCTGCAAGTGGATATTTGGACTGCTTTGAGGACTTCGTTGGAAACAGGAATATCTTCACATAAAATACAGACAGAAACATTCTCAGATAGGACTTTGCTATGTGTGCATTCAACTCGTAGAGTTGAAGCTTCCTTTTAATAGAGCAGTTTTGAAACTCTCTTATTGTAGAATCTGCAAGTGGATATTTGGACTGCTGTGAGGCCTTGGTCGGAAACGGGAATATCTTCATATAAAAACTAGACAGAAGCATTCTCAGTAACTTCTTGGTTATGTGTGCGTTCAACTAACAGAGTTGAACCTTCTTTTTGATAGAGCAGTTTTGAAACAGTCTTTTTGAATAATCTTCAAGTGGATATTTGGAGCACTTTGAGACCTATGGTGGAAAAGTAAATATCTTCATCTAGAAACTAGACAGAACTATTCTATGAAACTTCTTTGTGCTGATTGTCTTCAACTCACAGAGTTGAACATACCTTTTTGTAGACCAGATTTCAAACACACCTTTTGTATAATCTGCAAGTGGATATTTGGACTGCTTTGAGGCCTTCATTGGAAACGGGAATATCTTCACATAAATACTAGACAGAAGCATTCTCACGAACTACTTCATTGTGTGTTCATTCAACTCATAGAATTGAACCTTCCTTTTGATTGAGCTATTTTGAAACACTCTTTTGGTGGAATATTCAAGTGGATATTTGGACTGCTTTGAGGCCTTCGTTGGAAATGGGAATATCTCCACATAAAAATTAGACAGAAGCATTCTCAGAAACTTCTTTGTGATGTGTGCATTTAGCTCAGAGTGTTGAACATACCTTTTCATACAGTAGTTTTGAAACACTCTTTTTGTAGAATCTGAACTGGATATTTGGACTACTTTGAGGCCTCTGCTGGAAACAGTAATATATTCACATAAAAACTAGACAGAAGCATTCTCAGGAACTTCTTTGTTATGTGCACATTCAACTCACAGAGTTGAAACTTCCTTTTGATAGATCAGTTTTGAAACCCTCTTTTTGTAGAATCTGCAAGTGGATATTTGGACTGCTTTGAAGCCTTCGTTGGAAATGGAAAAATCTTCACTTGAAACTAGACAGAAGCATTCTCAGGAACTTCTTTGTGATGTGTGCATTCAACTCACAGAATCGAACCTTCTTTTTGACAGAGCAGTTTTGAAACACTCTTTTTGTAGAATCTGCAAGTGGATATTTGGAGCACTTTGAGGCCTATGGTAGAAAATGAAATATCTTCACACAGAAACTACACGGAAGCATTCTCAGAAACTTCTTTGTGATGATTGCATTCAACTCACATAGTTGAACATAACTTTTCATAGAGCGGTTTTCAAACACTCTTTTTGTAGATTCTGCAAGTGGATATTTGGACTGCTTTGAGGCCTTCGTTGGAAACGGGAATATCTTCACTTAAAAACTAGACAAAAGCATTCTCAGAAACTTATTTGTGATGTTTGCATTCAACTCACAGAGTTGAACCTTCCTTTTCACAGAGCAGTTTTGAAACACTCCTTTTGTAGAATCTGCAATTGGATATTTAGAGCACTTTGAGGCCTTCGGTTGAAACGGGAATATCTTCACATAAAAACTAGACAGAAGCCTTCTCAGGAACTTCTTTGTGATGTGTACATTCAACTCACGGAGTTGAGCATACCTTTTTCGTAGAGCAGTTTTGAAACACTCTTTTTGTAGAATCTGAAAGTGGGTATTTGGAGCACTTTGAGGCCTACGCGAATATCTTCACATAAAAAGTAGACAGAAGCATTCTCAGAAGCTTCTTTGTTATTTGTCCATTCAACTCACAGAGTTGCACCTTTCTTTTGATAGAGCAGTTTTGAAACACTCTTTTTGTAGTATCTGCAAGTGGATATTTGGACTGCTTTGTAGCCTTCGCTGGAAACGGGAATATATTCACATAAAAACTAGACAGAAGCATTCTCAGGAATTTCTTTGTTATGTGTGCATTCAACTCACAGAGTTGAACCTTCCTTTTTATAGAGCAGTTTTGAAATACTCTTTTTGTAGAATCTGCAAGTGGATTTGTTGAGTGCTTTCAGGCCTATGGTAGAAAAGAAATTATCTTCATATAAACACTAGACAGAAGCATTCTCAGAAACTACTTTTTGATGGTGCATTCAACTCACAGAGTTGAACTTTTCTTTTGATTGGCAGGTTTTTTTTATTTATTTATTTATTTATTATTATTATACTTTAAGTTTTAGGGTACACGTGCATAATGTGCAGGTTAGTTACATATGTATACATGTGCCATCCTGGTGCCCTGCACCCACTAACTCGTCATCTAGCATTAGGTATATCTCCCAATGCTATCCCTCCCTCCTCCCCCCACCCCACAACCAGTCCCCAGGGTATGATGCTCCCCTTCCTGTGTCCATGTGTTCTCATTGTTCAATTCCCACCTATGAGTGAGAATACTTGGTGTTTGGTTTTTTGTTCTTGCAATAGTTTACTGAGAATGATGATTTCCAATTTCATCCATGTCCCTACAAAGGACATAAACTCATCATTTTTTATGGCTGCATAGTATTCCATAGTGTATATGTGCCACATTTTTTTAATGCAGTCTATCATTGTTGGACATTTGGGTTGGTTCCAAGTCTTTGCTATTGTGAATAATGCCGCAATAAACATAAGTGAGCATGTGTCTTCATAGCAGCATGATTTATAATCCTTTGGGTATATAGCCAGTAATGGGATGGCTGGGTCAAACGGTATTTCCAGTTCTAGATCCCTGAGGAATCACCACACTGACTTCCACAAAGGGTGAATTAGTTTACAGTCCCACCAACAGTGTAAAACTGTTCCTATTTCTCCTCATCCTCTCCAGCACCTGTTGTTTCCTGACTTTTTAATGATTGCCATTCTAACTGGTGTGAGATGCTATCTCATTGTGGTTTTGATTTGCATTACTCTGATGGCCATTGATGATGAGCATTTTTTTCATTTGATTTTTGGTTGCATATATGTCTTCTTTTGAGAAGTGTCTGTTCATGTCATTTGCCCACTTTTTGATGGGATTCTTTTTCTCTTATAAATTTGTTTGAGTTCATTGTATATTCTGGATATTAGCCCTTTGTCAGATGAGTAGGTTGCAAAAAATTTTTCCCATTGTGTAGGTTGCCTGTTCACTCTGATGGTGGTTTTTTTTTGCTGTGCAGATGCTCTTTAGTTTAATTGATCCCATTTGTCAATTTTGGCTTTTGTTGCCTTTGCTTTTGGTGTTTTAGACATGAAGTCCTTGCCCATGCCTATGTCCTGAATGGTAATGCCTAGGTTTTCTTCTAGGGTTTTTATGGTTTTAGGTCTAACGTTTAAGTCTTTAATCCATCTTGAATTGATTTTTGTATAAGGTGTAAGGAAGGGATCCAATTTCAGCTTTCTACATATGGCTAGCCAGTTTTTCCAGCACCATTTATTAAATAGGGAATCCTTTTCCCATTGCTTGTTTTTCTCAGGTTTGTCAAAGATCAGAGAGTTGTAGATATGCGGTGTTATTTCTGAGGGCTCTATTCTGTTCCATTGATCTATATCTCTGTTTTGGTACCAGTACCAGGCTGTTTTGGTTACTGCAGGCTTGTAGTATAATTTGAAGTCAGGTAGTGTGATGCCTCCAGCTTTGTTCTTTTGGCTTAGGACTGACTTGGTGATGCAGGCTCTTTTCTGGTTCCATATGAAATTTAAAGTAGTTTTTTCCAATTCTGTGAAGAAAGACATTGGTAGCTTGATGGGGATGGCATTGAATCTGTAAATTACCTTGAGCAGTATGGCCATTTTCACGATATTGATTCTTCCTACCCATGAGCATGGAATGTTCTTCCATTTATTTGTATCCTCTTTTATTTCCTTGAGCAGTGGTTTGTAGTTCTCCTTGAAGAGGTCCTTCACATCCCTTGTAAGTTGGATTCCTAGGTATTTTATCCTCTTTGAAGCAATTGTGAATGGGAGTTCACTCATGATTTGGCTCTCTGTTTGTCTGTTGTTGGTGCATAAGAATGCTTGTGATTTTTGTACATTGATTTTGTATCCTGAGACTTTGCTGAAGTTGCTTATCAGCTTAAGGAGATTTTGGGCTGAGACAATGAGGTTTTCTGATATACAATCATGTCATCTGCGAACAGGGACAATTTGACTTCTTCTTTTCCTAATTGAATACCCTTTATTTCCTTCTCCTGCCTAATTGCCCTGGCCAGAACTTCCAACACTATGTTGAATAGGAGTGGTGAGAGAGGGCATCCCTGTCTTGTGCCAGTTTTCAAAGGGAATGGTTCCAGTTTTTGCCCATTCAGTATGATATTGGCTGTGGGTTTGTCATAGATAGCTCTTATTATTTTGAAATACGTCCCATCAATACCTAATTTATTGAGTTTTTAACATGAAGGGTTGTTGAATTTTGTCAAAGGCTTTTTCTGCATCTATTGAGATAATCATGTGGTTTTTGTCTTTGGCTCTGTTTATATGCTGGATTACATTTATTGATTTGCGTATATTGAACCAGCCTTGCATCCCAGGGATGAAGCCCACTTGATCATGGTGGATAAGCTTCTTGATGTGCTGCTGGATTCGTTTTGCCAGTATTTTATTGAGGATTTTTGCATCAAAGTTCATCAAGGATATTGGTCTAAAATTCTCTTTTTTTGTTGTGTCTCTGTGCGGCTTTGGTATCAGAATGATGCTGGCCTCATAAAATGAGTTAGGGAGTATTCCCTCTTTTTCTATTGATTGGAATAGTTTCAGAAGGAATGGTACGATTTGCTCCTTGTACCTCTGGTAGAATTCGGCTGTGAATCCATCTAGTCCTGGACTCTTTTTGGTTGGTAAGCTATTGATTATTGCCACAATTTCAGCTCCTGTTATTGATCTATTCAGAGATTCAACTTCTTCCTGGTTTAGTCTTGGGAGAGTGCGTGTGTCGAGGAATTTATCCATTTCTTCTAGATTTTCTAGTTTATTTGCATAGAGGTGTTTGTAGCATTCTCTGATGGTAGTTTCCATTTCTGTGGGATTGGTGGTGATATCCCCTTTATCATTTCCACCACACCACACCTGTTCCAAAATTGACCACATACTTGGAAGTAAAGCTCTCCTCAGCAAATGTAAAGGAACAGAAATTATAACAAACTATCTCTCAGACCACAGTGCAATCAAACTAGAACTCAGGATTAAGAATCTCACTCAAAACCGCTCAACTACATGGAAACTGAACAACCTGCTCCTGAATGACTACTGGGTACATAAAGAAATGAAGGCAGAAATAAATATGTTCTTTGAAACCAACGAGAACAAAGACATAACATTCCAGATTCTCTGGGACGCATTCAAAGCAGTGTGCAGCGGGAAATTTATAGCACTAAATGCCCACAAGAGAAAGCAGGAAAGATCCAAAATTGAGACCCTAACATCACAATTAAAGAACTAGAAAAGCAAGAGGAAACACATTCAAAAGCTAGCAGAAGGCAAGAAATAACTAAAATCAGAGCAGAACTGAAGGAAATAGACACACAAAAACCCTTCAAAAAATTAATGAATACAGGAGCTGGTTTTTTGAAAGGACCAACAAAATTGATAGACCTCTAGCAAGACTAATAAAGAAAAAAAGAGAGAAGAAACAAACAGACGCAATAAAAAATGATTGAGCAGTTCTGAAACACTCCTTTTGTAGAACCTGCAAGTGGATATTTGGAGCACTTTGAGGCCTACGGTTGAAACGGGAATATCTTCACATAAAAACTAGACAGAAGCATTCTCAAAACTTCTTTGTGATGTGTGCATTCAATTCACGGAGTTGAACCTTTCTTTTGATAGACCAGTTTTGAAACACTCTTTTTGTAGAATCTGCAAGTGGATATTTGGACTGCTTTAAGGCCTTCGTTGGAAACGGGAATATCTTCACATAAATATTAGACAGAAGCATTCCCAGAAACTACTTAGTTATGTTTTCATTCAGCTCACAGAGTTGAACCTTTCTTTTGATAGAGGAGTTTTAAAACACTCTTTTGTAGAATCTGCAAGTGAATATTTGGACTGCTTTGATACCTTCGTTGGAAACGGGAATATCTTCACATAAAAACTAGACAGAAGCATTCTCAGAAACTTCTTTGTGATGTGTGCATTGAGCTCACAGTATTCAACATACCTTTTCATGCAGCAGTTTTGAAACACTCTTTTTGTAGAATCTGTAACTGGATATTTGGACTGTTTTGAGGCCTTTGCTGGAAACAGGAATATATTCACATAAAAACTAGACAAAAACATTCTCAGGAACTTCTTTGTTATGAGTGCATTCAACTCACAGAGTTGAACCTTCCTTTTGATAGAGCAATTTTGAAACACGCTTTTTGTAGAATCTGCAAGTGGATATTAGGACTGCTTTGAGGCCTTCATTGGAAACGGGAATATCTTCACATAAAAACTAGACAGAAGCATTCTCAGAAACTTCTTTGTGATGTGTGCATTCAACTCACAGAGTTGAACGTTCCCTTTGATAAAGCAGTTTTGAAACACTCTTTTTGTAGAATCTGCAAGTGGATATTTGGACTTGTTTGAGGCCTTCGTTGGAAACAGGAATATCTTCACATGAAAACTAGACAGAAGCATTCACAGAAACTTCTTTGTGATGTGTGCATTCAACTCACAGATTTGAATCTTCTTTTTGATAGAGCAGTATTGAAACACTATTTTTGTAGTATCTCTAAGTGTATATTTGGAGTGCTTTGTGGCCTATGGTAGAAAATGAAATATCCTCACATAAAAACTAGACAGAAGCATTCTCAGAAACTTCTTTGTGATGATAGCATTCAACTCACAGGGTTGAACATACGTTTTCATAGAGCGGTTTTCAAACACTCTTCTTGTAGAATCTGCAAGTGGATATTTGGACTGCTTTGAGGCCTTCGTTGGAAACAGAAATATCTTCACATAAAAGCTAGACAGAAGCATTCTCAGAAACTTCTTCGTGATGTGTGCATCCAACTCACAGAGTTTAACCTTCCCTTTGATAGAACAGTTTTGAAACACTCCTTTTGTAGAATCTGCAAGTGGATATTTGGATCACTTTGATGTCAACGGTTGAAAGGAGAATATGTTCACATAAAAACTAGACAGAAGCCTTCTCAGAAACCTTTTTGTTACGTGTGCATTCAACTCATGGAATTGAACTTTTCTTTTGATAGAGCAGTTTTGAAACACTCTTTTTGTAGAATATGCAAGTGGATATTTGTACTGCTTTGAGACCTTCGTTGGACACGGGAATATCTTCCTTCACATAAATACTAGACAGAAGCATTATCAGTAACTTCTTTGTTATGTGTGCATTCAAATCACAGAGTTGGAGCTTCTTTTCGATAGGGCAGTTTTGCAACACTCTTTTTGTAGAATCTGCAAGTGGATATTGTGACTGCTTTGAGGTCTTCATTGGAAACGGTAATATCCACACATAAATACCAGACAGAAGCATTCACAGAAACCACTTTGTTATGTGTGTATTCAAATCACAGAGTTGACACTTCTTTTTGATAGAGCAGTTTTGAAACACTCTTTTTGTCGCATCTACATTTGGATATTTGGACTGCTCGGAGGCCTTCACTGGAAACGGGAATATCTTCACATAAAAACTAGACAGAAGCACTCTTAGGAACTTTTTGTTATGTGTGCAATCAACTCAAAGAGTTCAAACCTCCTTTTGATAGAGCAGTTTTGAAACCCTCGTTTTGTAGAATCTGCAAGTGGATATTTGCAGCGTTTTGAGGCCTATGGTAGAAAAGGTAGTACCTTCATATAAACACTAGACAGAATCATTCTCAGAAACTACTTTGTGATGTGTGCTTTCAACTCACAGAGTTGAACTTCTCTTTTGATAGAGCAGTTTTGAAACACTCCTTTTGTAGAATCTGCAAGTGGATATTTGCAGCGTTTTGAGGCCTATGGTAGAAAAGGTAGTACCTTCATATAAACACTAGACAGAATCATTCTCAGAAACTACTTTGTGATGTGTGCTTTCAACTCACAGAGTTGAACTTCTCTTTTGATAGAGCAGTTTTGAAACACTCCTTTTGTAGAATCTGCAAGTGGATATTTGGACTGCTTTGGGGCCTTCGTTGGAAACGGGAATATCTTCCTTCACATAAATACTAGACACAAGAATTCTCAGGAACTTCCTTGTTATGTGTGCATTCAAATCACAGAATTGAACCTTCTTTTTGATAGACCAATTTGAAACACTCTTTTTGTAGAATCTGCAAGTGGATATTTGGAGCGCTTTGAGGCCTATGGTAGAAAATGAAATATCTTCACATAAAAACTAGACAGAAGCATCCTCAGAAACTTCTTTGTGATGATTGCATTCAACTCACAGAGTTGAACATACCTTTTCATAGAGCGGTTTTCAAACTCTCTTCTTGTGGAGTCTGCAATTGGATATTTGGACTGCTTTGAGGCCTTCGTTGGAAACGGGAATATCTTCACATAAAAACAAGACAGAAGCATTCTCAGAAACTTCTTTGTGATGTGTGCATTCAACTCACAGATTTGAACCATCCTTTTGATAGAGCAGTTTTGAAACACTCCTTTTATAGAATCTGCAAGTCGATATTTGGAGCACTCTGAGGCCTACGGTTGAAAAGGGTGTATCTTCACATAAAAACTAGACAGAAGTATTCTCAGAAACTTCTTTGTTATGTGTGCATTCAACTCACGGAGTTGAACCTTTCTTTTGATAGAGCAGTTTTGAAACACTCTTTTTGTAGTATCTGCCAGTGGATATTTGGACTGCTTCGAGGCCTTCATTGGAAACGGGAAAATCTTCCTTCACATATATACAAAACAGAAACATTCTCAGGAACTTCTTTGTTATGTGTGGATTCAACTCACAGAGTTGAACCTTCTTTTTGATAGAGCAGTTTTGAAACACTCTTTTTGTATAATCTTCAAATGGATATTTGGAGTACTTTCAGGCCTATGGTAGAAAAGGAAATATCTTCACATAAAAGCTAGACTGAAATATTCTCAGAAACTTCTTTGGGATGATTGCCTTCAACTCACAAATTTGAACATACCTTTTCTCAGAGCAGTTTTGTAAAATTCTTTTTGTAGAATCTGCAAGTGGATATTTGGATCGCTTTGAGGCCTTCGTTGGAAACGGGAATATATTTACATAAACACTAGACAGAAGCATTCTCAGGAACTTCTTTGTCAGTGTGCATTCAACTCACACTGTTGAACCTTACTTTTGAAAGAGCAGTTTTGAAACTCTCTTTATGTAGAACCTGCAAGTGGATATTTGGAGTGCAGTTAGGCATTCATTGGAAAAGGCAATATATTCACATAAACACTAGACAGAAGCATTCTCAGAAACTTCTTTGTTAAGTGTGCATTCAACTCACAGAGTTGAACCTTCCTTTTGATAGAGCAGTTTTGAAAGACTCTTTTTGTAGAATCTGCAAGTAGATATTGGGACTGCTTTGAGGAATTCGTTGGAAACCAGAATATCTTCACATAAAAACTGGACAGAAGCATTCTCAGGAACTACTTGGTTATGTGTGCATTAAACTCACAGAGTTGAACCTTTTTTTTGATAGAGCAGTTTTGAAACACTCTTTTTGTAGAATCTGCAAGTGGATATTTGGAGTACTTTCAGGCCTATGGTAGAAAAGGAAATATCTTCACATAAAAACCAGATAGAAGCATTCTCAGAAACTTCTTTGTGATGATGGCATTCAACTCACAGACTTGAACATACCTTTTCATAGAGCGGTTTTCACACACTTTTTGTGGAATCTGCACTGCTTTGAGGCCTTCGTTGGAAACAGGAATAACTTCCTTCACATAAATACTAGACAGTAGCATTCTCAGGAACTTCTTTCTTATGTGTGCATTCAAATCACAGAGTTGAAACTTCTTTTTGATAGAGCAGTTTTGAAACACTCTTTTTGTAGCATCTACATGTGGATATTTGGACTGCTGGGAGGCCTTCACTGGAAATGGGAATATCTTCACATAAAAACTAGACAGAAGCATTCTCAGAAACTTTTTGTTATGTGTGCAGTCAACTCAAAGAGTTCAAACCTCCTTTTGATAGAGCAGTTTTGAAACACTCTTTTTGTACAATCTGCAAGTGGATATTTGGACTGCTTTGAGAGCTTCGTTGCAAAAAGGAATATCTTCATATGAAAACTAGACAGAAGCATTCTCAGGAACTTGTTTATTATGTGTGCATTCAACTCACAGTGTTGAACCTTCTTTTTGATAGAGCAGTTTTGAAACACTCTTTTTGTAGAATCTGCAAGTAGATATTTGGAGCTCTTTGAGGCCTATGGTAGAAAATGGAATATCTTCACATAAAACTAGACAGAAGCATTCTCAGAAACTTCCTTGTGGCGATTACCTTCAACTCACAGAGTTGAACATACCTTTTCATAGAACAGTTTTGAAAAGCTCTTTTTGTAGAATCTCCAATTGGATATTTGGGCTGCTTTGAGGCCTTCGCTGGGAACAGTAATATATTCACATAAAATCTAGATAGAAGCATTCTCAGAAACTTCTTTGTTATGTGTGCATTCAACTCACAGAATAGAACCTTACTTTTGATAGAGAAGTTTCGAAACACTCTTTTTGTAACAATCTGCAAGTGGATATTTGGACTGCTTTGAGGCCTTCGTTGGAAACAGGAATATCTTCACATAAAATATAGACAGAAGCATTCTCAGAAACTACTTTGTTATGTGTGCATTCAACTCACAAAGTTGAACCTTCCTTTTGATAGAGCAGTTTTGAAATAATCTTCTTGTAGATTCTGCAAGTGGATATTTGGACTGCTTTGAGGCCTTTGTTGGAAACGGGAATATCTTCACATGAAAACTAGACAGAAGCATTCTCAGGAACTTGTTTGTTATGTGTGTATTCAACTCACAGAGTTGAACCTTCCTTTTGATAGAGCTGGTTTCATACACTCTTTTTGTAGAATCTGCAAGTGGATATTTGGAGTGCATTGAGGAGTATGGTAGAAAATGAAATATCTTCACATAAAAACTAGACAGAAGAATTCTCAGAAATTTCTTTGGGATGATTGCATTCAACTCGCCGAAGTGAACATACCTTTTCATAGAGCAGTTTTCAAACACTCTTTTTATAGAATATGTAAGTGGATATTTGGACGGCTTTGAGGCTTTCGTTGGAAACGAGAATATCTTCACCTAAAAACTAGACAGAAGCATTCACAGAAACTGCTTTTTGATGTGTGCATTCAACTCACAGATTTGAACTTTCCTTTTCATACAGCAGTTTTGAAAGACTCGTTTTGTAGAATCTGCAAGTGGATATTTGGAGCACTTTGAGACCTACAGTTGAAACGGGAATATCTTCACAGGAAAACTAGACAGAACTATTCTCAGAAACTTCTTTGTTATGTGTGCATTCAACTCACGGAGGTGAACCTGCCTTTTGATTGAATAGTTTTGAGACACTCTTTTTGTAGAATCTGCAAGTGGATATTTGGACTGCTTTGAGGCCTTCATTGAAATGGGGAATATCTCCACATAAAAACTAGACAGAAGCATTCTCAGGAACTTCCTTGTTATGGGTGCATTCAAATCACATACTTGAACCTTCTTTTTTATAGAGCATTTTTTAAACACTGTTTTTGTAGAATCTACAAATGGATATTTGGAGCGCTTTGAGGCCTGTGGTAGAAAATGAAATATCTTCACATAAAAACAAGACAGAAGTATTCTCAGAAACTGCTTTGGAATGATTACATTCAACTCATGGAGTTGAACATACGTTTTCATAGAGCGGTTTTCAGACACTCTTTTTGAAGAATCTGCAAGTGGATGTTTGGACTGCTTTGAGGCCCTCATTGGAAACAGGAATATCGTCACATAAAAACTAGACAGAAACATTCTCTGAAACTTCTTTGTGATGTGTGCATTCAACTCACAGAGTGAAACCTTCCTTTTGATAGAGCAGTTTTGAAACACTCCTTTTGTAGAATCTGCAAGTGGATATTTGGAGCACTTTGAGTCCTATGATTGAAACAGGAATATCGTCACATAAAAAGTAGACAGAAGCATTCTCAGGAACTTCTTTGTGATGATTGCATTCAGCTCACAGAGTTGAACGTACCTCTTCATACAGCGGTTTTCAAACACCCTTTTTGTAGAGTCTGCAAGTGGGTATTTGGACTGCTTTGTGGTCTTCGTTGGAAACGGGAATAACTTCACATAAAAACTAGACGGAAGCATTCTCAAAAACTTCTCTATTATGTGTGCATTCAACTCACAGAGTTGAAGCTTTCTTTTGATAGAGCAGTTTTGAAACACTCTTTTTGTAGAATCTGCAAGTGGTTATTAGGACTGCTTTGAGGCCGTCGTTGTATACCGGAATATCTTCACATAAATACTAGACAGAAGCATTCTCAGGATCGACTTTGTTATGTGTGCATTCAACTCACAGTGTTGAACATACCTTTTCATACAGCAGTTTTGAAACACTCTTTTTGTAGAATCTCCAAGTGGATATTTGGACTGCTTTGAGGTCTTCGCTGGAAACGGGAATATATTCACATAAAAACTGGACAGATGCATTCTCAGGAACTTCTTTCTTATGTGTGCATTCAACTCACAGAGTTGAACCTTACTTTTGATACAGCAGTTTTGAAACACTCTTTTTGTTTAAACTGCAAGTGAATATTTGGACTTCTTTGGGGCCTTCGTTGCAAACGGGAATATCTTCACATAAAAACTGGACAGAAGGATTCTCAGAAAATTCTTGATGATTGAATTCAACTCACGAAGTTGAATCTTGCTTTTGATAGAGCAGTTTTGTAACACTCTCTTTCTAGAATCTGCAAGTGGATATTTGGAGCACTTTGAGGCCTGTGGTTGAAATGAGAATATCTTCACATAAATACTAGACAGATGTATTCTCTGGAACTTCTTTTTTATGTGTGCATTCAAATCACAGAGGTGAACCTTCTTTTTGATAGAGCAGTTTTGGAAAACTCTTTTTGTAGAATCTGCGAGTGGATATTTAGACTGCTTTGAGGCCTTCGTTGGAAACTTGAATATCTTTACAAACAAACTACACAGAAGCATTCTCATAAACTTCTTTGTTATGTCTGCATTCCACTCACGAAGTTGAACATTTCTTTTGATAGAGCATTTTTGAAACTCTCTTTTTGTAGAATCTGCAAGTGGATATTTGGAGCACTTTGAGGCCTATTGTAGCAAAGGAAATATCTTCACATTAAAACTAGACGGCAGCATTCTCAGAAACTTCTTTGTGATGTGTGCATTCAAATCACAGAGTTGAACATTCCTTTGATAGAGCAGTTTTGAAACACTCTTTTTGTAGAATCTGAAAGTGGATATTTGGACTGCTTTGAGACCTTCGTTGGAAACGAGAGTATCTCCACATAAAATCTAGACAGAAGCATTCTCTGAAACTACTTTGTTATGTGTGCAATCAACTCACAGAGTTGAACCTTCCTTTTGATAGAGGAGTTTGGAAACACTCTTTTTGTAGAATCTGCAAGTGGATATTTGGACTGCTTTCAGGCCTTCGTTGGAAACTTGAATATCTTCACATAAAAATTAGACAGAAGCATTCTCAGAAACTTCTTTTTTTTGTGTGCTTTCAACTCACAGAGTTGAACATAACTTTTCACAGGGCAGTTTTGAAACACTCTTTTTGTAGAATCTGCAACTGCATATTTGGACTGCTTTGAGGCCCTCGCTGGAATCGGGAATATATTCACATAAAAACTGGACAGAAGCATTCTCAGGAATTTCTTCTTATGTGTGCATTCAAAACCCAGACTTGAACCTTGCTTTTGAAAGAGCAGTTTTGAAACTCTCTTTTTGTACAATCTGCAAGTGGATATTTTGACTGATTTTAGGACTTCATTGGAAACAGGATTATCATCACATAAAATCTAGACAGAAGCATTCTCAGAAACTACTTTGTTATGTGTGCATTCAACTCACAAATTTGAACCTTCCTTTTGATAGAGCAATTTTGAAAAACCCTTTTTGTAGAAACTGCAAGTGGATATTTTGAGCACTTTGAGGCCTATGGTAGAAAAGGAAATATCTTCACACAAAAACTAGACAGAGGCATTCTCAGAAACTTCTCTGAGATGATTGCATTCAACTCACAGAGTTGAATGTTCCTTTTGATAGAGGAGTTTTGAAACACTCTTTTTGTAGAATCCGCAAGTGGATATTTGGAGCACTTTGAGGCCTATGTTTGAAATGGGCATATCTTCACATAAAAACTAGACAGAAGCATTCTCAGAAACTGCTTTGTGATGTGAGCATTCAACTCAGAGAGTTGAAACTTCCTTTTGATAGAGCAGTTTTGAAACACTCTTTTGGTAGAATCTGCAAAGTGGAAATGTGGACTCCTTTGAGGCCTTCGTTGGAAACGGGAATATCTTCAAATAAATACTAGCAGAAGCTTTCTCAGGAAATTCTTTGTTATGTGTGCATTCAAGTCACTGAATTGAACCTTCTTTTTGATAGAGCAGTTTTGAAACACTCTTTTTGTAGAATCTGCAAGTGGATAGTTGGACTGTCTTAAGGCCTTCGTTGGAAACTGGAATATCGTCACATAAAATCTAGAGAGAAGCATTGTCAGGAACTACTTTGTTCTGTGTGCATTCAACTCACAGTGTTGAACCTTCCTTTTGATAAAGCAGTTTTGAAAGACTCTTTTTGTAGAATCTGCAAGGGGATATTTGGAGCACTTTGAGGCTTATGGTAGAAAAGGAAATATCTTCACATAAAAACTAGACAGAAGCATTCTCCAAAATTTCTTTATGATGATGACATTCAACTCACAGATTTGAATCTTCCTTTTGATAGAGTAGTTTTGAAAAACTGTTTTTGCAGAATCTGCATTTGAATATTTGGACGGCTTTGAGGCCTTTGATGGAAACAGGAATACCTTCACATAAAAACTAGACAGAAGCATTCTCAGAAACTTCTTTTTGATGTGTGCATTCAAATCACAGAGTTGAACCTTCCTTTTCATAGAGTAGTTTTGAAACACTCCTTTTGTAGAATCCGCAAGTGGATATTTGGAGTAGTTTGAGGCCTACGGTTGAAAAGGGATTATCTTCACTTAAAAACTAAACAGAAGGACTCTCAGAAACTTCTTTGTTATGTGTGCATTCAACTCACGGAGTTGAACATACGTTTTCACAGAGCAGCTTTGAAACTCTCTTTTTGTAGAAACTGCATCTGCATATTTGGACTGCTTTGAGGCCTTCGCTGGAAATGGGAATATATTCACATAAAAACTAGACAGAAGCATTCTCAGGAATTTCTTTGTAATGTGTGCATTCAACTCACAGATTTGAACCTTACTTTTGATAGAGCAGTTTTGAAACACTCTTTTTGTACAATCTGCAAGTAGATATTTGGACTGATTTGATGACTTCGTTGGAAACAGGATTATCTTCACATAAAATCTGGACAAAAGCATTCTCAGAAACTACTTTTTTATGTGTCCATTCAACTCACAGACTTGAACCTTCCTTTTGATAGAGCAGTTTTTAAACAATCTTTTTGTAGAATATGCAAGTGGATATTTGGACTCCTTTGAGGCCTTCATTGGAAACGGAAATATCTACACATAAAAACTAGACAGAGTCATTCTCAGAAACTTCTTTGTTATGTGTGCATTCAGCTCACAGAGTTGAACCTTCCTTTTGATAGAGCAGTTTTGAAAAACTCTTTTTGTAGAATGTGCAAGTGTACATTGGGACTGCTTTGAGGCCTTCGATGGAAAGGGGAATATCTTCACATGCAAATGAGACAGAAGCATTCTCAGGAACACCTTTGTTATGTGTGCATTCAACTCACAGATTTGAACCTTCCTTTTGATAGAGCATTTTTGAAACATTCTTTTTGTAGAAACTGCAAGTGGATATTTGGAGTGCTTTGAGGCCTATGGTAGATAAGGAAATATTTTCACATAAAAAGTAGACAGAAGCATTCTCAGAAACTTCTTTGTGATGATTGCATTCAACTCACAGAGTTGAACATACCTTTTCTTAGAGCGGTTTCCAAACACTCTTTTTGTAGAATCTGCAAGTGGAAATTTGGACTGCTTTGAGTCCTCCATTGGAAATGGGAATATCTTCACATAAAAACTAGACAGAAGCATTCTCAGAAACTTCTTTGTTATGTGTGCATTCAAGTCACAGAGCTGAACCTTCCTTTTGATAGAGCAGTTTTGAAACACTCCTTTTGTAGAATCTGCAAGTGGATATTTGGAGCACTTTGAGGCCTACGGTTGAAACGGGATTTCTTCACATAAAAAGTAGACAGAAGGATTCTCAGAAACTTCTTTGTTATTTGTGCATTTATCTCATGGAGTTGAACCTTTCTGTTGATAGAGCAGTTTTGATACACTCTTTTTGTACAATCTGCAAGTGGATATTTTGACTGTTTTGAGGCCTTCGTTGGAAGCAGGAATTTCTTCCCATAAACTCTAGACAGACGCATTCTCAGGAACTTCTTTGTTATGTGTGCATTCCACTCACAGAGTGGAACCTTCTTTTTGATAGAGCAGTTTTGAAACAATCTTTTTGTAGTATCTCCAGGTGGATATTTGGACTGCTTTGAGGCCTTCATTGGGAATGGGAATATCTTCACATAAAAACTAGACAGAAGCATTCTCGAAAACTACTTTGTTCTGTGTGCATTCAACTCACGGAGTTGAACATTCCTTTTGACAGAGCAGTTTTGAAACACTCTTTTTGTCGGATCTGCAAGTGGATATTTGGAGCGCTTTGTGGCCTCTGTTAGAAAAGCAAGTATTTTCACATAAGAAATAGAAGCATTCTCAGAAACTTCTCTGTGATAATTGCATTCAACTCACAGAGTTGAATGTTCCTTTTGATAGAGCAGTTTTGAAATACTCTTTTTGTGAAATCTACAAATGGATATTTGGAGCAATTTGAGGCCTACGGTTGAAACGGGCATATCTTCACATAAAAACTAGACAGAAGCATTCTCAGAAACTCCTTTGTGATGTGTGCATTCAGCTCACGGAGTTGAACCTTCCTTTTGATGGAGCACTTTCAAAACACACTTTTGGTAGAATGTACAAGTGGATATGTGGACTCCTTTGAGGACTTCGTTGGAAACGGGAATGTCTTCACATAAATACTAGACAGAAGCATTCTCAGGAACATCTTTGTTATGTGTGCATTCAAGCCACAGAGTTGAAACTTCTTTTTGATAGAGCAGTTTTGAAAAACTCTTTTTGTAGAATCTGCAAGAGAATATTTGGACTGCTTTGAGGCCTTCGTTGAAGCATTCCCGGAAACTACTTGTTATGTGTGCATTCAACTCACAGAGTTGAACATAACTTTTCACAGAGCAGTTTTGAAACACTCTTTTTGTAGAATATGCAACTGCATATTTGGACTGCTTTGAGGCCTTATCTGGAAACGGTAATATATTCACATAAAAACTAGACAAAAGCATTCTCCGGAACTTCTTTGTTGTGTGTTCATTCAACTCACGGAATTGAACCTTACTTTTGATATAGCAGTTTTGGAACACTCTTTTTGTACAATTTTCAAATGTATATTTTGACTGGTATGAGGCCTTCGTTGGAAACAGCAATATCTTCACATAAAATATAGACAGAAGCATTCTCAGAAACTCCTTTTTCTATATGTGCATTCAACACACAGATTTGAACTTTACTTTTTTAGAGCAGTTTTAAAACTCTCCTTTGTAGAATCTGCAGGTGAATATTTGGAGCGCTTTGAGACCTATGGTAGAAAAGGACATATCTTCACATAAAAACTAGACAGAAGCATTCTCAGAAACTTCTTTGTGATGATTGCATTCAACTCACAGAGTTGAACATACCTTTTCATAGAGCGGTTTTGAAACACTATTTTTGTAGAATCTGCAAGTGGATATGTGGACTGCTTTGAGTCCTTCGCTGGAAACGGAAATATCTTCACATAAATACTAGACAGAAGCATTCTCAGAAACTTCTTTGTTATGTCTGCATTCAACTCACAGAGTTGAACGTTCCTTTTGATAGAGCACTTTTGAAACACTCTTTTTGTAGGATCTGCAAGTGGATATTTGGAGCGCTTTGAGGCCTGTGGTAGAAAAGGAAATATCTTCACATAAAAACCAGACAGAAGTATTGTTAGAAACTTCCTTAGGATGACTGCATTCAACTCACAAAGTTGAACATACCTTTTAATAGAGCAGTTTTGAAACACTCTTTTTGTAAAATCTGCAAGTGGGTATTTGGACTGCTGTGAGGCCTTCGTTGGAAAAGGAATATCTTCACAGAAAAAATAGACAGAAGCATTCTCAGAAACTTCTTTAGATGTGTGCATTTAACTCACAGAGTTGAACCTTCCTTTTGATAGAGCAGTTTTGAAACACTCTTTTTGTAGAAACTGCCAGTGGTTATTTGAAGCATTTTGAGGCCTAGGGTTGAAACGGGAATATCCTCACATAAAAACTAGACAGAAACATTCTCAGAAACTTTTTTGTTACGTGAGCATTCAACTCATGGAATTGAATCTTTCTGTTGATAGAGCAGTTTTGAAACACTCTCTTTGTAGAATCTGCAAGTGGATATTTGTACTGCTTTGAGGCCATCTTTGGAAACGGGAATATCATCACATAAAATCTAGACAGAAGCATTCTCAAAAACTACTTTGTTATGTGTGCATTCAACGCACGGTGTTAAACCATCCTTTTGGTAGAGCAGTTTTGAAACACTATTTTTGTAGAATCTGCAAGTGGATATCTTGATTGCTTTGGGGCCTTCTTTGGAAACGGAAATATCTTCACATAAAAACTAGACTGAAGCATTCTCAGGAACTTCTTTGTTATGTGTGTATTCAACTCACAGAGTTGAACCTTCATTTTGATACAGCAGTTTTGAAACACTCTTTTTGTAGAATCTGCAAGTGGATATTTGGAGCACTTTGAGGCCTATAGTAGAAAAGGAAATATCTTCACATAAAAACCGGACAGAAGCATTCTCAGAAACTTCTTTGTGATGATTGCATCCAACTCACAGAGTTGAACACACCTTTTCATAGATCGGTTTTGAAACACCCTTTTTGAAGAATCTGCAAGTGGATATTTGGAATGCTTTGAGGCCTTCGTTGGAAAAGGGAATATCCTAACATTAAAACTAGACAGAAGCGTTCTCAGAAAGTACTTTGTTATGTATGCATTCAACTCACAGAGTTGAACCTTCCTTTTGATAGAGCACTTTTGAACCAGTCTTTTTGTGGAATCTGCAAGTGGATATTTGGAGCACTTTGAGGCCTACGGTTGAAATGGGAATATCTTCACATAAAAACTAGACAGAATCATTATCTTCACATAAAAACTAGACAGAATCATTATCGGAAACTTCTTTGTTCTGTGTGGTCAACTCACTGACTTGAACCTTACTTTTGATATAATAGTTTTGAAACACTCCTTTTGTACCATCTGCAAGTGGCTATTTCGACTGCTTTGAGGCCTTTGTTGGAAACGGGAATATCTTCACATGAAAACTAGACAGAAGCATTCTCAGGAACTTCTTTGTTATGTGTGCATTCAACTCACAGAGTTGAACCTTCCTTTTGATAGAGAAGTTTTGAAACACTCTTTTTGTAGAATCTGCAAGTGGATATTTGGAGCACTTTGAGGCCTAATGTTGAAACGGGAATATCTTCACATAAAAACTAGACAGAAGCACTCTCAGAAACTTCTTTGTTATGTGTGCACTGAACTCACGGAGTTGAACCTCTCTTTTGATAGAGCAGTTTTGAAACACTTTTTAGGAAAATCTGCAAGTGGATACTTGGACTGCTTTAAGGCCTTCGTTGGAAACGGGAATATCTTCACATAAAAACTAGACAGAAGCATTCTCAGGAACTTCTTTGTTATGTGTGCATTCAAGTCACAGAGTTGAACCTTCTTTTTGATAGAGCAGTTTAGAAACACTCTTTTTGTAGAATCTGCAAGTGGATATTTGGAGTTTTTGAGGCCTTCGTTGGAAACTTCAGTATCTTCACATAAAAACTAGACAAGTATTCTCAAAAACTTCTTTGTTATGTGTGCATTCAACTGACAGATTTGAACATAACTTTTCACAGAGCAGTTTTGACACAGTCTTTTTATAGAATCTGCAACTGCGTATTTGGACGGCTTTGAGGCCTTCGCTGGAAACGGGGATATATTCACATGAAAACCAGAAAGAATCATTCTCAGAAACTTCTTTGTGATGATTGCATTCAACTCACAGAGTTGAACCTTCCTTTTGATAGAGCAGTTTTGAAACTCTCTTTTTGTACAATCTGCAAGTGGATATTTGGAGTTTTTGAGGCCTTCGTTGGAAACTTCAGTATCTTCACATAAAAACTAGACAGAAGTATTCTCAAAAACTTCTTTGTTATGTGTGCATTCAACTGACAGATTTGAACATAACTTTTCACAGAGCAGTTTTGACACAGTCTTTTTATAGAATCTGCAACTGCGTATTTGGACGGCTTTGAGGCCTTCGCTGGAAACGGGGATATATTCACATGAAAACCAGAAAGAATCATTCTCAGAAACTTCTTTGTGATGATTGCATTCAACTCACAGAGTTGAACCTTCCTTTTGATAGAGCAGTTTTGAAACTCTCTTTTTGTACAATCTGCAAGTGGATATCTCGACTGCTCTGGTGCCTTCTTTGGAAATCGGAATATCTTCACATAAAGACTAGAAAGAACCATTCTCAGAAACTTCTTTGTTATGTGTGCATTCAACTCTGTGAGTTGAATCTTCCTTTTGATAAAGCCATTTTGAAACACTCTTTTTGTAGAATCTTCAAGTGAATATTTGGAGCACTTTGAGGCCTATGGTTGAAACGGCAATATCTTCACATAAAAAACTAGACAGTAGCATTCTCTGAAACTTCTTTGTGATGTGTGCATTCAACTCACAGAGTTGAACCTTCCTTTTGATAGAGTAGTTTTGAAACACTCTCTTTGTAGTATCTGCAAGTGGATATGTGGACTTCTTGGAGGCCTTCATTGGAAACGGTAATATCTTCACACAAATACTAGACGGAAGCATTCTCAGGAACTTCTTTGTTATGTGTGCATTCAAATCCCAGAGTTGAACCTTCTTTTTGATAGAGCAGTTTTGAAACACTCTTTTGGTAGAATCTGCTACTGGATATTTGTACTGCTTTGAGGCCTTCACTCGAAAAGGGAATATATTCACATAAAAAGTAGACAGAAGCATTCTCAGGAACTTCTTTGATATGTGTGCATTCAACTCACAGAGTTGAACCTCACTTTTGATAGGGCAGTTTTGAAACACTCTTTTCGTTCAATCTGCAAGTGGATATTTGGACTGCTTTGAGGACTTCGTTGGAAACAGGAATATCTTCACATAAAATATAGACAGAAGCATTCTCAGAAACTACTTTGTTATGTGTGCATTCAACTCACAGATTTGAACCTTCCTTTTGATAGAGCAGTTTTGAACCTCTCTTCTTGTAGAATCTGAAAGTGGATATTTGGACTGCTTTGAGGTCTTCGTTGGAAACGGGAATATCTTCACATGAAACTAGACAGAAGCATTCTCAGAAACTTCTTTGCGATGTGTGTATTCAACTCACATAGTTGAACATACCTTTTCATAGACCGGTTTCCAAACACTCTTTTTGTAGAATCTGCAGGCGGAAATTTGGACTGCTTTGAGGCCTCCTTTGCGAACGGGAATATCTTCACATAAAATCTAGACTGAAGCATTCTCGGAAACTTCTTTGTTATGTGTGCATTCAACTCACAGAGTTGAACCTTCCTTTTGATAGAGCAGTTTTGAAATGCTCCTTTTGTAGAATCTGCAAGTGGATATTTGGAGCACTTTGGGGCTTACGGTAGAAACGGGAATTCTTCACATAAAAACTAGACGGAAGCATTCTCAGAAACTTCTTTGTTATTTGTGCATTCATCTCACGGAGTTGAACCTTTCTGTTGATAGAGCAGTTTTGATGCACTGTTTTTGTACAATCTGCAAGTGGATATTTTGACTGCTTTGAGGCCTTCTTTGAAAATGGGAATTTCTTCCTATAAACTCTAGACAGAAGCATTCTCAGGAACTTCTTTGTTATGTGTGCATTCCACTCACAGAGTGGAACCTTCTTTTTGATAGAGCAGTTTTGAAACAATCTTTTTGTAGTATGTGCAAGTGGGTATTTGGACTGCTTTGAGGCCTTAATTGGAAACGAGAATATCTTCACATAAAAACTAGATAGAACCATTCTCCAAATCTACTTTGTTCTGTGTGCATTCAACTCACAGAACTGAACCTTCCTTTTGACAGAGCAGTTTTGAAACACTCTTTTTGTAGGATCTGCAAGTGGATATTTGGAGCGCTTTGTGGCCTCTGTTAGAAAAGCAAGTATTTTCACAAAAGATATAGACGGAAGCATTCTCAGAAACTTCTTTGTGATAATTGCATTCAACTCACAGAGTTGTATGTTCCTTTTGATAGAGCAGTTTTGAAATACTCTTTTTGTAGAATCTGCAATTGGATATTTGGAGCAATTTGAGGCCTACAGCTGAAACGGGCATATCTTCACATAAAAACTAGACAGAAGCATTCTCAGAAACTCCTTTGTGATGTGTGCATTCAACTCACGGAGTTGAACCTTCCTTTTGATGGAGCAGTTTTGAAACACTCTTTTGGTAGAATGTGCAAGTGGATATATGGACTCCTTTGAGGACTTCGTTGGAAACGGGAATATCTTCACATAAATACTAGACAGAAGCATTCTCAGGAACAACTTTGTTATGTGTGCATTCAAACCACAGAGTTGCAACTTCTTTTTGATAGAGCAGTTTTGAAAAACTCTTTTTGTAGAATCTGCAAGAGAATATTTGGACTGCTTTGAGGCGTTCGTTGGAAACGGGAATATTTTAACATAAAATTTATACAGAAGCATTCCCGGAAACTTCTTGTTATGTGTGCATTCAACTCAGAGAGTTGAACATAACTTTTCACAGAGCAGGTTTGAAACACTCTTTTTGTAGAATATGCAACTGCATATTTGGACTGCTTTGAGGCCTTGGCTGGAAACGGCTATATATTCATATAAAAACTAGACAAAAGCATTCTCCGGAACTTCTTTGTTTTGTGTTCATTCAACTCACGGAGTTGAACCTCACTTTTGATATAGCAGTTTTGGAATGCTCTTTTTGTACAATTTTCAAATATATATTTCGACTAGCTTGAGTCCTTCATTGGAAACAGCAATATCTTCACATAAAATATAGACAGAAGCATTCTCAGAAACTCCTTTTTTATATGTGCATTCAACACCCAGATTTGAACTTTCCTTTTTTAGAGCAGTTTTGAAACTCTCTTTTGTAGAATCTGCAAGTGAATATTTGGAGCGCTTTGAGACCTATGGTAGAAAACGACATATCTTCACATAAAAACTAGACAGAAGCATTCTCAGAAACTTCTTTGTGATGATTGCATCCAACTCACAAAGTTAAATCTTCCTTTTGATAGAGCAGTTTTGAAACACTCTTTTTGTAGAATCTGCAAGTGGATATTTGCCATCCAAGTTTATTCTATGCCACTCTGGAAGAATCTGGAAAAATACTTAAAATACATCTTAAGTATTCATCATGCACATTTATTGTATTTTATTTTATATGTGTTCGGGTGAATATCTTTCTCTGCTAATTGTTTTCATTTCAATTCTTGTATCATGTTTTTTGAAACACAGAAGTCGTCATTAATGTAAACCAACTAATTTTTTTAATTGTCAATTTTTGTCCTGGTTAAGAAATCCTTATGAGAATATTGTATCATGTTCCCCTTACCTTCAGGACTTGAATCTATTTGGAAATGATTGTGTGTGTTCTGAGGTAGGAATCAATATTTAGTTATTTTTAAAAATTCAATTAATCCAGCATTGTTCTGAGCACCTTGTGTATTTCAATGTAGAAGAGCACACTAATAATGCAGGATTATTTATCTATGTGGTGAGAATTCCAAAATGAAGCCCAGCATGGAAGGTCAAATAATATTAACTCACAGGATAGATTAGTAAAATGAAATGTGATGGGTAAGTGCGATATAGTTAGGTAAAGAGAAAGAAAAACATTTCCCAGCTGTCATTAAGACTTCACTCCAAGCTTTTGCGTGAAGCAAAAGATCCCGACTCTCTTCCATTGATTTTAACTCCATTCAGACATGTCTGTCATCTATTATTTCACTCAGTGGCAGTCAGAAATAAACAAAATATATATATATATATTTTATGCCATGATCATGAATAAAGATTTTTCAAAAATTAATAAAGAACCAATACATGTACTTTTAGTGTTTTTACCATTTTTAATAGTAACACAATACATGAGTTTTAATAACATTAGGAGGCAATTCAAGACATAAAACAGAACCTATTTGTCCTGTTTGATAAGGCATAAGGAAGAGGGCTTCCTGGAATAAAGGGGTTCTCACAGCAGATGAACACATTTCTGATTGATCTCTGGTCAGAGGTGAACACACCGAAAGACAGGCCTGAGAGGAATGTGAGAAGGCGCAATTAGGGATGGTGTATATAGGGCAGCTTTGATTAACATCAACGAAGCTCACAGTTCTAGCTTCACAATCCAGGAATAATCCTATGCGGCTGGAAGGTCTTGGGACATATTGCAGTGTAAGTGGGGAGGTGGTAAAGAGACTGCACTCCATGTCATTCCTGACGCATCCAAGACTAAAGAGTCCCTCCTCTCCATATATATTGTCATTCTGATTCTTCCCTTTCCAATACTTATTACAGACACCAAAAGCCCAATTCCAAGAGTCCCCCACATGGACCTCCCAGTAATATTTGCTGGAGGTGAAAGTCTGAGCACCCCATGCAAGAAAACTTGTAGGTGTTGCAGTGATATGTGGCGGATTTTGACGGTCAGATCCAATACAAATGTTTCTCAAATCTCCACATCGAAAGATACGACTGTTGGCTCATCATGATTCAGATTAATATCCACTGCAAAAATAAATAAATAAATAAAAGAGAAAGAAACAAAACATACATAGACATGTGTCAATAAGCAAAAATTGTTCTATCGAGAAGTTAATTTACCAGGAAATGTAAAGTCACAAGGACGATTTCGCTTGTAACTTCTAATAAAACATGGAGATGATTAATTTAACTAAAAGACAAACAAAACACTAACCACCGATATTAAAAATGCTTTGAAATCTTACATATTGAGAGCCAAATGTAAGACCAACTTCTTTCAATCCAATTTTCCAAGCAAAACTTGCACATTAAATGCCCTAAATAGTATGCTGTTATCAAGATCATTATTTAGAAATGTTTCTTATTCTTAAAAACTAGTGCTATCATTTTGGAAAGAATGTGAAGATTTTCAGTTACTCAAGAACTGCTGTTGATGACTGGATAAAAATCCGTAAGTACATGTCATAAGTGACAATTTAAAGCAGATTTCTGTAAAATCTTTTACCAGTCTCTCTGTGGTCCTCCATGCTAGCTTGGGGCTGAAGCTGGATTTTAAACTTAACCTGTAGCTTTTCATATTGCAATTAACCTGAACTTCTTTTTGTTTGTAATTTTACTTGTATTCGCAAAATGATTTCTTCTTTTTATGTTTACCCATTAACTAATTTTTTTTGCAATTCATGATACATATCCATTTAAAAAATTAAAAACCCCCAGCAATCCCCAGTAAACCATAATCCCCAAAAGAACAATTCTTAGCTGTTCAAATGAATACACTAAGGAAATGTAAAATTTTGTATTTAACATTAAATAACTCACCTTCATTCTGAGCATTGTTCCATTTGCTCCTTTTTAAAATTTGCTACACTACTCCTTTTTCCCATTACATTACTCAGTACATAATAGGCCAAAATGTATTTGTTTTTCACTATCTTTCAAACTTAATGCTATAAATCTGACTATACAGACACAGATACAAAAGGGTTGCATGATTATGTTGTTCACTTATGTCTATAAGGAAGTAAAATATTTGATAAAGGGTGAAATATTACCTATGTGGTCCTAACAATAATAATATTTAGATAGTGGGAGCACTGGCTATGGGTGGAGACTTACCTCAGAATTGGTTGAGCCTGTCCCTCAGTCCAGTGATGAGCCCTGCACTAAGCTCTAGATTCAGAGGCTGGGGCATGTGCAGCAGCACAGACTCACTCCTGCAAGGAAAAACCTGCAGTTATAACACCTACAGCCATAAAATAAATAAAAATCACTATTCCTATTTAAAAGACAGTTCATGAGAATCCTTTGAATCCACAAATTTGATTATTCAAAAATTATTACTTCCTTTTCGGAATTAATTTCTATTTACAGTTTCCAAATTTTAAAGCATAGTGGGAGAGTCTGAGTCAGAATTCAGTCTGATCTTTCTTTTTTTCTGCCCCACATGTGTAAGGTTCCTTAGCCTTATGGCCTTGAGAATATTTGGAAATGAAATTCTGAGTTCCACTTCTTGGCAGACTCCCCTGACATCTTTGTCTGAAATAGCAGGGTTCTGGGGAGACTGCTGCATCTGCTGTTTCCTTTTCAAGATAAAGAATGTGAAACTTGTTCTAGGCAGCTAGACCTGCCTTTTAGAAACAAGCTTCCCTAGAGACTTATACAGTTCTAACACTCCACAGTTTTTTCAACTTATTTTTCAGGACTGTTAACTGATATGTATGTAGGTATGAACAACAAATCATCAATTTTTCACTGCTAAAATATTTCCCCCACTTCTCTCCTGCTTCCTCTGGTGACTTTCTCACCATCCACAAAACAAAACTTTATCTTTCACCTATGCAGGCCTTTAAGCAATAAAACAAAATCAGGAATAAACATTTCTTTATTTCACTATTTATTTATTTATTTATTTATTTATTTATTTATTTAGTGTTCTTGTCTTTTCTGGTGTAAGAGTGAAAGCAGATGCAAAAAAAAGGTAGTATCAATATCTTAATCATTTATGTCATGACTTTGGTAGAGCCTGCTTTGACATTCATGGAAACTGAAAGAATATATGCTAAAATCTAGGTAAACTCTCACCTGTGTAATATGTCTCCAAAACCCTGTAAAAAAATAGAAATATGTGGGACATTTCACAAGATGCATCTTTCACCAAGTTCAGTGTGAAATTTGGAGTCAGTTTCTAAAGATATTATTTCCCTACCATCTAGAAAGCATTTTCTATTTCTTCTGTAATGAAAAACCCAGTTTTAGTCATTTTGTCATTAATTAATGTCCTGGTAAAGTCTGAGTCTTGAAGACATTCTCTCCAGAAGTGAAGGGAGAAGAGGCCCAGAGAGTCTATGCTCTATGGTAACTTCAAATAACCTACTCAGTCATCTTTCCCAGAAAGTGTTACACAAATGAGTGGACCTCAAAGTAATATCAATGTGAGCTTAGATTCCCAAAACTTCTGATCTTGCCATGTCCTCAAATTAACCTAAATGTAAATGAATCACTCACTATTTTATACATGTTAAACAACCCAAAATAGATTATTGACTTAGAAATGATTCAGTAGGTGCATTTCTCCAACATGTTTGTGCCAATATAGGAGTTGGCCAAGAAGAAGACTGACATCTTCAACAAGTGAATTTTACCTCTGTGTGCAGGAAACTCCCATTTATTGCTGTGTCCCATGCAGCAGGAAAGCTGGAAAAAAGTAGGAGGGACAAGAGTATTTGGCTTTAAGGAAATCACCTGGTGTTTCTCACAATGCTTTTATTCCCGCCCTATAGGTTCAAAATTAGGCAGATGAGACACCAAGTTGTAATGTATCTGGGAATGATGTTTACACTCTAAACCATATTAATTCTTATCATTTGATTCAGAAAACAAATTAAATGACTGGCACAACTGAAAATAACCCAAGAGATTTGTTCAATGAAACATAGCTGAACCTCAACCAAATAGATAAGCTGCTGCCTAAGGTTAGCACCAGTTCTTAGTTATTCAAGAGTGAGTAAACCCTGCTTTTTACCACTGTCGAGGTGTCCAGTGTCATCCTTTTTAGAGCCTGGCTAGCTGAGGGTTATGTGGCAAGAAACATCTTATTTGTATTTTAGTCCCTTAAATGAATGATTTGGATAGGAATGATTCTCCAAATTTTGAAAATACTTATCAGAAATATTCTCTTATTCCTTCACTCTATGCCATGTAGACTATAATAAACTGTCTCTCTTCTGCCTCCACATATTTCATGCAGAACATTAGGGGTTAGCAGAGAGAAATCTTATCACCAGTTTCTTTGGACTTGCTGCTTTTTTCCAAGTGATCTGAGATGATAAAATTCCTCACCTCAGGGCTCTAACCCAGCACTCCTTTTTGATTTTCACCTATGTTTTGTGAGCTTTTCTGTTGATGCTAAAACTCTATGCAACAGTCAAAGCCTCATCATTTAATTACATTATTTCTTGCTAGATTTCAAGGAAAAATTTATTCCTGACATTCTTCTAATTTAGCTCAGATTCACTTTGGCAGAAAGACAGAATTAGCTACTTTACAATCATTTAGTATTTGACTCTGATTTTGGAAGATGAAGCAGTTTTTGTGTCAATTTACCATATGCTCTTAGCCATTTAAAAAAGATAATCTTATTGTGTTGATTTTCCTAGAGATACTTACTTTATTTATTCTCTTCACCTATCATAATTTATGTTAGAGTATTACCAAGACTTACTTACAATTGAAATAAATCAGAGAGACCACTAAGAACATTGCCAATCATTAATACATAAATCTTGAACTTCCTGAGATTTTTATCCCTAAAATAATTATTTATCAATAGCCTGGTTACCGTTTTTTTAATACAAGAATTTACACCCTTCCATAGAACAAAAAGTAAAAATTGATAAAGAGGATAACTTGGAAAAAAATTAATCTAACAAAACAGAGACACATTCTTGACTAGCACTTTATTTCTGTACTAAATTTAGGAGACATGTAAATGGTAGGTTTCCTAAGTGAAATAAGACAGACACACAGAGAAAAATACCTCATGGTCCCACTCATATTTGAAATCTATTTTTATAAGTTTCATGCATTCAAAAAGGTGGTTACATTGGTGGGAAGAAAATAGGTAAATGAAGGGCAAAAGTTGTAAAGGTGCAGTAATGTAGAATAAATGAATCTGATGTACAACCTGTAGGTATATTAGATAATCTTGTATTGTTTTTGGGAAATATACTGAAGGACTAGATTTTTGATGTTCTTATCATCAAAAAGAAGCAGAACTAAGTGATATGATAGATTTGTTAATTTTCTTCATTATAGAAATCATTTCCTGATGCACATGTATCTCAAAACGACATATTGTGCACCTTGAAAATATAAAATAAAACAAATTAAAAAATAAAGGTAATTTTGTTCCTGCATGTAAGCTGAAAATAAGTGAAGACTGGGTCAGTAATAACATTGCTTTGCTGAATTAAGAGAATTCTAATGAAATATTTTTAGTTGGGAAGCTATCTGTATTAAATAAAATTGATCTAAAGCTGGTTACAGTGGCCATACTTATAATCTCAGTGCTTTGGCAGGCCAAGGCAGAAAAATCACTGGAGGCCAGGAGTTTGAGATCAGCCTGGGCAATTGGGTAGCTTATCTCTACCAAAAAATAAACAGAAAATTAGCCTTGAGTGGTGGTGTGCACCTGTTGTCCCAGCTTCTCAGGAGGCTGAGTTGGGAGGATTGCTTGAGTCCAGGAGTATAAATCTGCAGTGAGTTCTGTTTGTGCCATTGCACTCCAGCCTGAGTGACAGAGTGAGAACTTGTCTCAAAAACAGCAACTAATTATTTTTGGTGGCCATTTTACTTGAAAGGTATAATTCTTTCTTCTACAATTAATAAATCTGCATATGTCTAGGCCAGCTATATCAGGTAGAGCTTGTCCTCTAGTGCTTATATCTACAAAACAAGTAAGACAATTATAAGGAGGCTCTAAGCAAAACAATTTTTTCTCATTCTGGACTTTGAGGTCTTAATTCTTTAGACTCATTTTCTGTCTCAATAGTGGATATCACCCTGACGCTTAATTTGTCCAAACACCTCACATAACCTGAGATTTTACATAACATATAGTTCATAGTATCAGTACGTTCTTATGCCTTAAAATTCTCCAGGCATTCAAGGATACTTCTATGTGGAAACTCAGACCTTCTACTGCATTACTGAAGAGCACATTTGAGACTCACAGCTCTGGTTGCAGGAGTCTGTTAACAGGTCTGGACAATGAGTAATGTCAGTCCAGATAATTCTGAGGAAGGCTTTCTGCCTTGTTATGGGGAGGATAATCAATGGAGACTCCAGACAAGTTCCCAGTCACCATTCCAGCATTTAGTTGCTGTTTTTGTAATCCCAGCATTTGGGAGGCCTAGGCAGGTGGATCACTTGAGGTCAAGAGTTCAAGACTGGCCTGTTCAACATGGTAAAACTTTGTCTTTACTTCAAATACAAAATTAGCGGGGGGCGGGGGGCGGGGAATATGCATTAGAAGAGAAGGAGAACATACTTAACATACCATTGGAAGGTGAAATTCCTAATACTTGAGAATATTTTTGAGAACTGTCTAATTCTCACTATAGAAAGATGTACCCTTTGAATGACATTAAAAATTCACTAGAAGAGTGAAGAATAATAGTTAAAATGTCACGTAAGTAACAAGAGTCTCAAAACATAAAGCGTTCTCAAAGGTTAAAGTACGTATTTGAGATAGAGGAGAGAATAAATAAGAGTTAATTAATTAGACTTTATTGTGTGAAAATACTTTTCTGAAATCCTCCGTAATAATTGAAGATATAATTACAATAATTAAAATATACAAAAAATAAAAGCATGAAAATAGTGAAAAATTTTAAAAAGGGTAAACTTGAAAATTATTTAATTTTTAATCTCAAAAATCAGAAAGTGATTTTATCAATGTCCTAAAAAATTAAAATAAAAACAAACTTAATAATGTAAAAGAAGGGAGGTTTCCACCGGGCTGGCTGCCAGAGCTAGGGCTTCCCTGGGGATGCAGAAGCAAGAAGCAGGGACCTTGACGCGCAACAGACTTTCCCAGACAGAGCCTCGGCCCCCCGCGCAAGCCTCCAGCCACCAGCATGGTGCTGCTGGCTGGGACCCAGCCACAGGGTGGCGGGGTGCGCTGCATGACCCCGCCACCGCCGTCCCCACTCCTAGGCACCCAGGTCGAGGAGGACCGTGCTGACTGCAAAGAGTTCCAGGACTTCTCCAGTCTGCCCGACACCTGCAGCATCGCCTGGGACGACTCTTTCTACCCTTTCCAGGAGGAGGAGGAGCATGGTGTTGAGGGCTTGGAGAGCGTCCTGGAGGAGGGCGTCCTGGAGGAGGTCGTATTGGAGGCGTGGGGCTGCTGCAGACGTTGGTGCGGCGGGGGGTGAGCGTTGAGAAGACGCAGGAGACTGACCACAATGGCTAGACCGGCCTTGATGTCGCCTGCTACCACGGCTTTGTGAATATACCCTGGTGGCCTTAGCTGAGTGCCACCACATCGAAGTCAACTGGCAGGACAGGGAGGGGAACGCAACCCTAATCATAGCTGCACAGGCAGGAGCTGCCCCTGGCCCCATGGGCACAGTTGCCTTAGACACTGGCTCTCAGCCTTGCGCTTCCTGCGTCAGCATCACCTGGGCTGGTTCTTTTGAGCTTTAACACAGATCTGGTGGAAACACAGGCTGCCAAACCCGGCTGCTGGAGTCTTTCTTTGAATAGGCCTGGGGTGGGGCCCAAGAATGAGCAGAAGAACAGGTTTCCTGGTGAGGCTGATGCCGCTTGCCCAGGGATCCCACGTTGAGGACGGAGGGCTTTGTGGTTTTCATGCCTGATGATGGCCAGGAACCCTTCTCAGTAGGCATTGAAGACCAGCAGAGTCCCAGACCCCAGGAGAGATGTTGTCAGACAGACACAGAGGCATCACGGAATTAAAGTGAAAATGAGGAAAGGAGCTGAACATCTTCTTCATGACTTTCCTGCGCTGTTTTACTAAAGAGGCTGTTCTGGCCCAGTCAGGGCATGCTATCATCACCAACTACTTGTTGAACTACGTCCTGGGTCTTGACCTTGAAGGATGGACGCGTTCGGGTTGAAAGCCGCCATGCAGGGTGGAACCAGTGGCATCCGAGCCCTGAGCTGGCAGGGGCGGGTGTCCACGCGAGGGCCCCCGCCGTGGGATGCTGCCAGAGGAGTAGCCACTTACACGTCCGCCTCATTCAGAGGCTCCTGGAGCGCCCCTGCCAGCAGCGGTTGGGGAAAAAGTACCAGCTTGAGCTGCCTCCGCTCCACGAGAGGGCGCCAATGATCGAGGGCTCGAAGAACTGCCTGCAGAGGGTCAGGGACTGCGAGCTGTCCGCGCTGACGCGGCGCTCCACCTGTGGCCCGGAGGACCGGGGCGCCCTGGACCACATGGTCAGGATGACCACCAGCCTCTAACAGCCCC
This sequence comes from Homo sapiens, assembly GCF_000001405.40. NCBI lineage: Eukaryota > Metazoa > Chordata > Mammalia > Primates > Hominidae > Homo > Homo sapiens. Next base: position 48,900,826 of record NC_000011.10, on the reverse strand, counting down.
GCCGTGGCCCTCGCGTGCCAGACTGTGTGCCCCCAGAGCTCCCTGGGCGTGGGGAAGAGGCGACTGGCGGTGCAGGAAATCCAGACGGCTCAGGAAATTCTGGCGACGCGGCGGGGGGTGGGGAGGCAGGCGCAGGAGGCAGGAGAAGCGGAGGGCGCAGAGTAGCACAAGCGGCCCTACCCAGAGGCCGCGGGTTCCCGGGAGGGCTCCCCAAGAGCCGGCCTCCCACCTGTCCCGCTGCCAGGGTCCTGGGGCTCTGCCGACCCCGCCCCACGGAAGGCCAGTCTCCTGCCCCTGCAGCGCCTGCGGCGGAGCAGCTTATGGCCCGGCGTGGTGGTGCCCCGGATCCGCCTCTGCAAGGCGCCCGCGCCCACCTTCCAGCCCCAGAGGCCGGCGTGGAAGGGCAGCACCAAGGACAGTGGCCACCTGCGGATACCCAAGTGGCCTTACAAGGTGGCCACGGAGAAGAAACCGGAGGCTGAGGAGGCCGAGAAGAAGCGCCAGGCCAAGGTGCAGGAGAAGGGCCCGCCGCCCTGGAAGAAGAGGACGTGAGAATCCGCGGGTGCTTGAAACGGGGTTCGAGGGCAGGGTGAGGCCGCGGGGCTGGGCACCATGGCCGCTCCGGGGACCACCAGGCGGCGCGCGTTTCCACGCTGTCTTTCCAGAATGCTCCCAGGAAGGGGCTGGGGGAGCCACAGCGATTCGCCTGACACCAGCCACCCTAGCAATCAGTACACCTAGCGGGCGTGTTGCCTAAAAGGCTCCCTTTAGAGAACCTCAATTAAGATGTTTTTAAAGATCGATTTATTAGGCCGGGCGCGGTGGCTCACGCCTGTAATCCCAGCACTTTGGGAGGCCGAGGCGGGCAGATCACCTGAGGTTAGGAGTCTGAAAGTAGCCTGACCAACATGGAGAAAACCCGTCTCTACTAAAAATACAAAATTAGCCGAGCATGGTGGCACATGCCTGTAATCCCAGCTACTCAGGAGGCTGAGGCAGGAGAATCGCTCGCACCCAGGAGGCAGAGGTGGCAGGGAGCCAAGATCGCGCCATTGCACTCCGGCCTGGGCAACAAGAGCCAAACTCTGACTCAATCAACAAAACCTCAATTTATTAAAGAGTATTTTCTCTGTGATTTTGTATTTTTAATTGTTATCCAATTTGTCAAGTTTTACAAGTGATAGGGCCCCTTGTATCCAAGACAGTTTTACTACACTTGCCTGAAGACCCTGTATTTAAAATACTGTTTCTAGCAATACATATTTATAATATCTATAGGAGTTTACACAGAAATCATGGGATTCTCTCCTTTTTGGCTGTTTGTTTTGGTCTTTTCTTCCCATTGTGGGTGCACATGCACACTGCATGTTTTTATTAATTAGATTAAGTGATGCCAGATATTTCTGTTTGATGGAGGGATTGACTCATTCAGCCACATGATCAAGTGAGAAAGAGATATCATATTTTATTGTATCTTTTTAGAAAGTACTATCCATACATATTGGGGAAAAACATTTATCGTCAAATTATAAAACAATGCAGATATAAGCATGTATGTATTGCTAGAATTAAACTCTTTTTAATCAAGGAGTTTTAGATAAACTGGATAGAAAATCTTTAACATATTAAAAATAGATATCAGGGAAAAGTGTCATTTGATAAAATGGGGGAAATGTAATAGATGATTACCAGAAATACAAAATTAAGCCGTATATGCTCTTAAGTAAATCGAATCCAGACATCTTTAAAATATAAAAAAAGGATGCAACAAGAGTAAGATGCAAATTAAAGGAATTGGGGGAGGTGATGTTTAGAACAAGCAAAGAGAATGCAATGGGAAGCAAACATATTTTAGGCAAATTCTCCTGGAGTGGACCAGACAGCCCTCTTTTCCAGACTCAGTTCCAAAGAGTCCCTTATGTGGGTATTTCTTTTATTTTTCCTTTGAGGACTGCACTTGGTGTTTAGTTCAACCTCATGCGGACCTCATGGAATTTCCAAGACGTAGGTCCTTGGCATTGTGGCACCTTCCTGCCACACGCACATAATTCACAGCATTACCAAGTCACCATGAGCTCCACGCTCACCTCTGTCAGCCCAGGACCCAGCCAGGCAGTGTCACATGGTCTCCCAGGCATGCCTTTCCAAGCCGGCTATCCCTGCTGCGAAAGTTGTGAAGGCACTGGTCTGGGGAGCTGAGCCCTGGGCCTGTCCTAAAGCTCCATAGGTGACTGCACTGCATCCCACATGGAGAGCTGCAGCTCTAACAGAGGGATTTTGAGAGGCCTCAGTCGCCTTTAAGTGGCACTTCCAGGACACCCATCTTGAGCTCTCACAAATGGCTCCACCTTCTCAAGAATGTCTAATTGTCATTGGAACAGCCAGTGTCTGGCAGCTTCGCTCGGGCTGATGTGGCATCTGACCCTTGGTGGGTGGCCAGACATTCCTTCCTGTTTCTGCCATGGGAAGTTGACACTGGGAATGGTATGGAGCCCCCACTTCTACACTAAGCCTTGGGTGTCTGCTGCTTCCAGGTCACAAATGGATATTTCTGGTCCTGACCAGCCACTACCACACTGTAACCGATGCTCATAGTCTCCAGGGATGTGCAGAACAGCAATGGCAGGACAGCAAACAACTGGCGATTTCCCCAGGTCCCACGCTGTTCCGGAGTGGGCGTGTTGGGTCCCTGTTCCCAATGTGTTCCATCCTTACCCAGGTGCACAGGGTACCTTGGGGCCAGCACAGGGCTTGTCAAGTAATGCTCCTGGTGTCCACAAAACAGCTCCAGAGATACCTGCATTTTGAAAAGCCTGCCAAGCCAACAAGTATGGGGCAGGACCCAGATTGCTTTGGCAAATATGAAGGTGAGCTGGCCACTTGCCTGGTGAGTAGAAGCTGCCTTTACCTGGCCAGTGTATGCAACTTGAGAGAAAATGACAATTTCACGGGGGGGTTCTGGTGGGACTGGGAAGCCTGACCTTCCCCGGAGCTTTGGTATGGCCCCAGTGGAAAGACTGGATTTTGAAAACCCACCAGAGCCAACTGAAAGAAGGGTCATCCCTGATGAGATCCCAGACTCCCCCTGGTCTCTCTGGACTCACTTTAGGCGTGCCTTGCCTGTTGGCATCCCTTCCCTTTGGCCCATGAGGCAGGTCCAGGTAGCTTCTGCAGCTGTGTGCCTGGGTACTGGCCCAGCACTTCTCATTTTTGCCATGTGGAAGCAGATTTGCTAGTAGAGGAATTTTCCAAGTCAAAGGAAGTGTCACCGAGACTCTTTCCTCCACCTATCGAGAACCCATGATCTTGGTTTCTTATTATCTTTGGAGTGGGCAGCAGAGGAGACAAGCAGGCCTCCAGCCAGGCTCAGGGAGTGTGGGAAGGCAGGGAGAAAAGTCTAGAAGATGGGGAAGTAGAGCCACCTTGAGGGGGTGTCCTGGGGTCAGTGTCGAGGTGATCAGATGAGCCAGTTTATATTTAAGCAACATTATTATGTTCAATTATTTTGGGTAAGGGATTCCTCAGGGGAGGTGTGGTCATCTGGTCCCAGAGGTGGAGTGCAATGCCCACTCATCTTCCTGAGCCATTTGGAAGCCCTTTCTTCTAGCCCTAGGTACTGGTGACACAGGCTCCTCGGTCTCAGGAGGTGCACAGGGCTGGGGGTGGTGCAGGCTTCTTGTCACTTACATACTCAGCACGATTGGGCATCAGGCATTCAGAGATCTTAGAGTGGCCTCTCTAAAAACCTGGTGTCCTAGGAGAACATTTATTATTTTTGTCTATTTTTGTTTCTTTGAACTGCTGCATTCACTCACTGAGGGCTCGCCCTCCGTGCACCCCTCATGTTGTTCAGGAAGGAGGGGACTGACAAGCATGGACCCCTTTCTCCCCTTCTGTCAGTTGCCACCACACTGTCCCCACTGGCTTTATCACCATGTTCTCCCACCCCTGTTGCCTCATCTCTTCTTCCTCATTCACCCTTCCTTCCTTTGCCTGTTTTCTTCCCCAAGTTGGTTAAGTTCTTTATCATCCCTGGCACCACCTACCCTGAGGTCTACCAAGGACAGAAAAGCAGGGGCCTCTGTGAGGCAATGTGGTGTTATCATGGTGGGACCTCCAGACCCCCAGAGTGAGTGAACAGCAGGCCTGCCAGCATCTGTGCTGATGGCTAAGAATTCCTACACCGCCGTGCCCCTCCCACCCCCTCCTCTTTGCTCAGAAGGGAGACCAGGTTTGCTCTCTTGCAATGACAGCCCAGCCCCTGCTGTGCACAGGGATGGGGCTCAGGGTCCCTCCCTGCACTCTGATGATAATTAACTGTAGATAGTGAATTTCAAGTTGACAGCTACCTTCTCAGGAATTTATATATAAATATAGTTAAAGGAAAAGCTAAAGTCTATTTTACTACTTTTTAGTGTTTGTGAACTTTAAGCTTAAACTGGACAGAATAAATATTTCTCAGACAATGTCGATGCTTCTGATTACAAGTCCCTTGGTGGAGAATTTTTTTGGTGATTAGAGATTGGGGACTCTGGCAGCAGAAATGGCTTTGCGGTGGGTGTGAATTCACTTCTGTCCCTCGGAGAGCCTCCTGTGGATGTGAAAGCATGTATTAACACCAGTGAAATCCACCTCCATGTGCATGGAGGTGGCTGATGAGAACACAAATGAGCCAGTCCTGGCACTTCCCTGCAGAACCGGTCACTCCTGGTCTGACATTGAAGCATGTGAATTAAGAGTGACATTTTTTTCTACTTGCTTCTGTGAATAAAGTATTCTACAGTCAGCCAGCACTAAACTCACTAGAAAGGAGGAGGGAAGAGCGTGGAGCCAATCATCTAGAATTACCTCGGTGTGCAGAGGCTGTCCCTTGGCTGCACTTGGGAAAAGCAGTGTGAAACATCCTGTGCCTCTTTCTTCTGGAGCTCCTCCTGACAGTCTCCTGGCAACACTAGAGACCTCAACACTATGGAGATCAGAATTTCAATAGCTTTGTCATCTCAGCATTGACCACTCCTGAGACCCGAGGCTCCTCCTGGGAGCAGGAGACCGCGAGTTCTTGATGTTCGTTGGAAAATAGGATTTATGAATGCAGGAGGGCCGTGCTGGACTCCTCTGCCTTCTTCTCTCCCTGCTGTCAGCAGTGACCAGGTCTCCAGTGTGGACGCGAGTCTGTTGTGGGTGAAAGAGAAGCCCCTGGGGTAAGGCCAGACCCCAGGCCTGAAAAGGATGCAAAGCCTGCTGTTTCAGGCTGTCAGGAAGAATCGTGGGTACAAAGTGAATATGATGAAATGCATCCCAGAGAGGAAATGAATGTGCCCTCACTAAGAAGTGGGTCTGGCTGCCAGGTCTCTGGCAGCCCACCGGCAAGAGGACTACAACCCCTGCAGCCCTGCCATCCACACTACATGATGTGGGGAGTCTGTCTCTTCACTCTTACCCTGGGGACCCAAGCCTGCTTTGAGGAGTGAGTCACAGCCCTGATGTGTGCCTTGCATTACTCTTTCCCCAGGTGTGCCCGGAGACTCACGCTTGCTCATTTCTGTCCTGACACATCTCGCTGGTCCTGCGGTGGTCAGAGTCCTCGTGTTCTGTGTCAGCTCCTAGACATCATTAGTCTTTCACGTGATAAAGTATGAGCACTTTTCTCTTTTACTGTATTTGGGGAAATTCTAACACTCTCCCCAGGGATTTGCACAGGTCCCTCTGTCTCCCATGGTGGGTAATTCTATGGATTCTGCACCTGGCAGTCAGCACTCCCCCTTGCAAGCCCCTGGGGTCCCTGTTTCTGTGGGCCTGGTCCTTGGTTTCTACCCCAGTACTTTTTTGCTGGGACCTGCCTAGAACCGCCTGGAGGGCCATGGTCTAGGGAAGGACAGGTAGAACCCTGACCACAACAGATCCTTCTAAAACAACAAAGTCACCTTGATGACCACGACTGCAGTGGGGTGAATGCCATCGCAGCGGGCATGCTAGGAGGCGCCAGGGGCTTACCGCAAAAGCAGTTCTTCCCAAGGCACCCTTTGCATCTTCCCCTCCTCACCTCTCAGTGCATTTGGAACTGGCTTATGCGTTGGAATGACTTAAATCAACTGCTCGTTTCTGTGACCCCGCACTCACAGGTTCCTTCATTAACATTTTAAATAAGTGGCTAAAAAAACTCCTCTGGAGATTGCTTTTGAAAGCAGGAAAAAGAAAAACACATACTACCTGAAATGATTTTACTAATTTTTGAGTGACTCAGTTGAAAGTCAGTGTTGCATACAAAATTTCCTCATGCTGAGCCAGCTTGAAATAAGACTTGATAAAAGACACGGCCCTCAGTAGCAGGCGGTGCCACTGTGGACAGTGTACACTGTGGTGTGAGGGTATGCACAGGTGAGTGTAAGTGTGTTTACACATACACACGGATAAACTGAAAGGACACCGTGCTTCATGCTGGCAAAGGTTATGATGCTGCTGTAGCTTGTTATGGACCCCGGGCCGTGTCTGATGGGAAATGCTTTGATGGCATGCATGTTGTTCAATGTATATAATGGGGTCTCCCATGGCCCAAGGACCCACTATGAGCACTCCGCCCACTGTGGTGGAGAACGCGGCTGGAGTCATCACAGCCCAGGTCTTTATTGAAAGGCAGTGTTGACCCAGAAGGTTCCTGTAGAACCCATTTGGCCAGGTGTGGACCATCTCTCTCCATCTGACCTGCCTTGGCTGCACAGAGGGACACAGACCCAAAAGGCCCAGACTCAAGAGGAAACTGAATGACGTTTACCATTACACCAGCTTTCATTTATTTTTTCCATACGATCATGAGAACTGTTATTACTAAGTGTGCTTATAAATGCTATTTACAGTCTGTTCCCTTTTATTAGATGAAAGAATGATAAAGAACAATAAATTGCCTGTAGTAAAACCATGCCTAAGACCAAGAGTGGTGGCTCATGCATGTAATCCCAGCAATTTGGGAGGCCACGACGGGCAAATCACCTGAGGTCAGGAGTCCAAGACCAGCCTGGAAAACGTGGCAAAACCCCAGCTCTAAAAAATCCAAAAAAAAAAAAAATTAGCTGGGCATGATGGTGGTTGCCTGTTATTCCAGCTACTTGGGTGGCTGAGACAGGAGAATCGCTTGAACCTGGGAGGTGGAGGTTGCAGTGAGCCGAGATTGCACCATTGCCCTCCAGCGTTGGTGAAAGAGAGAGAGAGAGGGAGGGAGGGAGAGAGAGAGAGAGGGCGGAGAGAGGGTGGGGGGAGAGAGAGAGAGAAAGAAGAAAGAAAGAAAGAAAGAAAGAAAGAAAGAAAGAAAGAAAGAAAGAAAGAAAGAAAGAAGAAAGAAAGAAGAAAGAAAGAAGAAAGAAAGAAAGAAAGAAAGAAAGAAAGAAAGAAAGAAAGAAAGAAAGAAAGAAAGAAAGAAAGAAAGAAAGCCATGCCTGAAAGGCACTGTGTGGTCATCACTTCAGCAGGTTGACACTCACCTGGAGGTCATGAAATCTGTTCTTTAGTCGAGTGATGGGTTGAGCACTGAGCTCTGAGCTCACACACTGGGGCATGTGCCGCTGCTCTGACTCACTCCTTTAAAGAGGAAAATACAATTGAGCTTTCTAATACCAAATATTTCATCACAGGATTTAAAAACAAATAATCATTCAAGGGAAATTCGTCTTTAAAACCCTTTTCTGATGTAGCAGTCCCAAATCATAGGGATTACGAACTTGAGCCACTGAGCCTAGACTGACTGATGTATCCTACCAATAAGCTATGTACATAAACTCATGTCTTCCCACTTCTCAGAACCATGAAATCAATCATTCCTCCTTTTCCTTCATTTATTTTTATTGTATCTTAACAGTACTAGAAGCCAAATTCATTCTTTTCTTAAACCTCTTTTATTCATTATATGACTTCCTAAAACACCTGAAGAAAGGTTATTATTCATCATTTCTTCAATATACACCCTTTGATATCGGACAGCTTACATGAGAGTCATTGGAATTTATGGTGATTCACAGATAATTTTTTGCAGTATTAAGTTTTTAAATTAGTCTTTAATACCAAACCTCCCTACTCCATAGCCTGACCACTCTCTCTGAGCAGTAATCAATGCTGCATTGTACCCTCAGGATAGGAAGCCATGAGAAAAAACCTTCCTCAAGTCCTAAGCAACATGATTTCCACTCAAGTGGTAAGTGGATACATTTGTAGCATGTCTGTCTGAGGATGAATCTGAGGGAAAAGGCCTAATACTTACAATCCACTGGTTGGTTTTCCTGCTCTCCTCATTTAACTTTCTTTGGTTTTCTTGAATTTTTGCCCCAAAAGAACTCGTTTGCTTCATTATCATCTCCTATAAAAGAACTATGAATTTGAACATCAGAGAAACAAATCGCTTTGGGTGTCAAACCCCCATTGATAAACAAATCAAGGGATGAGATATGAAAGAGATTTGGGAAGACCTCAGACTGTAGAACCACAACATGGAACGCAACCAGTTTAATAGGAAAATCATAAGCAGGGCTAATTTACAGATAATGTGGCATCTTGCATCAGAATTGGAATCTACTGACACCGTGCCTTGCTAATTCTAGCATATTTTATTCTATTATTTGCAGCGTTGGTAAAGAGGTTTCTTATATAGAAGGCTTTTGAACTTGTAGTTTAGATAGCCAGAAACTCTTTCTGATATTGAGCTCTTTACAGTGTGGTTTCAATCTTAAACACATCATAATGAATCAGCCAACAGAGACAGAGAAATACTAAAAATCAGCCAAAATGTATTGTTTTACACATGCAAAACAAAGTAAATTTATGTTTTATACATCCAAAATGGGGATTTTTTGGCTTCCTGAATTCATTTGCTTACTCTGAAAAAATTATCAAACATTACACCCTTGAATATGTTCTCTCCTCATCTTCTCTACTTAGCTCTACTGTGTGCTACAGTCACTCACACATTATGCTGTTTATAGGACATACATGATACTCTCATCCTCCTTAGGTCACTATCACTCTCCTAGTTTACCTCTATTTGTCCATGTGTGAAGCCTTCATGACATATCTTTATATCTATTATCCAATTCACACTTTCTACAGCTTCATTTAACTTGCTAAACAAAGTTTTCACTAAACAGCAAATTTTACTTATTTCACTTTTACCAATATAAATTAGATTTTATATGGTAAAAGAAGTTCTTAAATGACTGCCAAATGTGAAAAAAATCATGTATATATTATATATATTTACTTATGTATGTGTTATATAGACATACACAAAATTGCTATTGGTAACGGCGGTTTTCACAAGAGTCTATAACTACTGAAGATTTTATTTTTCCTAAAAGATATAATATTTCCTTAAAGATATTCTGTTTCTTAATTTATAATAAAGATAATTCTTATGCTTTTATCAACAACATGAATTAATAGACTGGGTGCAGTGGCTCACATCTGTAATTTTGGCTCTATGAGAAAATGAGGCAAAAGAATCACTTGAGCCTAGCAGTTTAATGCTGCTGTGAGCTGTGATTGCACCACCGCACTCCAGCCTAGGCTACAGAACCAGACTATCCATCAATCTATATATATATGTATATACATATATATATGTGTGTGTGTGTATACATAATATATATAAAATACATATTATAATATATAATATATATAAAATACATATATATTATATATGTATAAAAATATATATTATATAAAATACATTATATATATATATAAATTGACAGTAATACATTAAAACCTGAAATCAAGCTTCAAAAGCAACAGCAAAGTGCATTTCAAGTCTACTTCAGTGACTATTAGAATTAAAGCCAACTTCAGGCAAAACATTTCCAAAAACATAAGAAAAAAAACAAAAAGAAAAAGGAGAAAAACGATTCCAGACTTTTGAAGACATTTATTAAAATCATAAATTGATGGTATCCTCTTTCTCATCTTTTGATGATTAAAATATTAAGGGACTCCAAAATTATCTACAAATTTGGTATTTGAGGGTTCGTTTGTTGTAAACTCAGTGGTTCTTGATAACAAGAAGTTTAAAGTTTGTTTATGGAGATTAGCCAAGTTGTTGAATCAATCATTTCCTCTCTTCTGGTGAAACCTAATCAAGAACCCTAATGGCTATCCCAAACTCCAAGAACTGTACAACCTGTTTGAAATGGGTGTGATTTTTCAGAGATTCAATATAAAGAGGTACAAGTAGTCAAGCTCATTCTTTGCTGGGACAAACAGCGAGGCTTTGGAACTGGCTGCGAAGATGTCTGAAAGCTACTACCACTATATGGTGAGGCCCTGATCCCTGATCAGATTTTATAGTATTACTTCTACAGCAAGTTTCAGTGAGACCATAAGTACATTTTTAGGGTGAGAACACAACTAACAGAGGAGGAGTTCCTGCGACTTTTCCAACCCAAAACAGACTGCCCTGTGTTTAATTTTCCAACAAACTGAGCTTGTTCCTATAAGTGATGTCATTTGCTTACTTAGTAAAAACATTTTTACTCTTATTTTATCATCCTGTCTTCCTACATACTTGTGAAATACAGTGAAGATTAATTTTACTTGTATCATTTATGTATTCCTTAGTTGTTCCTAAGTATTCTAAGAACACAGAAAATAGTTTTCAGATATCTTGCAATTTCATACTTGTTGTATATCCTAAATTTTATTGAGAATATTTTATTTTATATGTTGTACATAAATGTAATACCCTCTGTTCTAAACTTGGCACAAAAATATATGCACAAGACAGAATATTCTATAATATACAACTTAGGGAATGTGTTGAATAATTTGAGGATAATATTGTTTTAGTGTATACTAAATGCCTCTTCAGCATTTCTGGGTGAAATCTGATCAAATTTCACAATGTTCAGTAAATAAATAATGGTTCTTTAGAAATCATTTTGCAGTGGTGGATTGTGACGGAGATTTTTTGAAATACTTTAAAGGAGAAAATTATGACATCTAAGTGAAACAATGAGAGTAAAATTGCAGTTAAATACCATTTCCTAAACCAATCACTTTTTTTCTTTTGCACTGAATCAATCTTTTCTAATCCAATCACAATGAGCATTAAGAATGGTTTTCAGAGTATTCAGGACCCATCATCTAATGGTATAAATTGGTCCTAATTTCATACTCTTAAACCTGAAGTTTTTTGGAGTAAAGTCAAAACTCAACAAAACTGAGGTTTCTTTTCTTTTCTTTCTTTATTTCTTTCTTCCTTTTTCTCTCTTTTTCTCTCTCTCTCTCTCATTCTCTCTTTCTTTCTTTCTTTCTTTCTTTCTTTCTTTCTTTCTTTCTTTCTTTCTTTCTTTCTTTCTTTCTTTCTTTCTTCTTGCTTTATTGCCCAGGCTGAAGAGTAGTGGCTCAATCTCAGCTGACTGAAAATTCAGGGTTCAAGCAATTCTCCTGCCCAGTCTCCTAAGTTTCTGGGATTACAGGTATGTTCCACCACTCCTGGCTGATTGTTGTGTTTTTAGTAGAGACAGGGTTTCACATATTGGCCAGGCTGGTCTCCAACCTGATCTACCAGCCTTGGCATCCCAAAGTGCTGGGATTACAGGTGTGAGCCATCACACCTCTCCTCTCTGAGGTTCATTTTTCTATGCAAAACAAAATAGTAGGATGAGGATGTAGTGCCCTGTGAGTTGTGCACGAACCCAACAATTTTACCTACAGATCCAAGAGCTCTCTTTGTGCCTCAGGTTCGATTTTTGTCTTATACAAAATAAAGCCTGTTCTACTCTAGACAGAAGTTTATCGCTGAGTCACAACCTGAGTCAAATTTTGCTTTGGCCTTTGTTTCTCCAAGGCATAAGATGAAGTTTTAATCATACCTTTCCTAATTTCCTTCCTTCAGGAAAATGGTCTCAGATATCACACAAGCCTAACAGAAAGAACCCATCTGCCTCTTCTGTCTGAACTAACTCGTAGACCCCATCATCACAGGCTGCGGCCCCAGCTTCTGTAGGCCCTTTCCCTGCCTTTCCTGGGAAGAAACCAAAATTTCTACCTGCTGCCCACATGGGGGGAACTGTCACAGCAGGAGGACATCAAAACCAATATTCTTCTGAAGAATCCAGTGTGCATTGCCAGAAAAGCCAGTCTCTGGCAATTCCTGAGCTCTAATGAATAAATGTGTGGGATCCACAGGGAGAAAAAAAGATATTTGGAGCGGTGGATAAGAGCCTGCTTCATTTGCTGTTCTGGAACACTCAGGAGCACGGGGCTCCCAGACACTGTGAGGGGCAACTAAGGAACACTGGGTAAGTGATGGCTCAGAGAGCACTTTGAAAGCTAGAGGGTGGCACAGGTAAAGAAATTAGGGGGAAGATGAAGAGCATGAGGATTATTCTGTTCTGTACTGGATGTCTTGTTGTGCCTAGGCATCAATGTTAGAAATTTAAATAGAATCTGTGTAAATACCTTCCTTCCTGGAACTTGCCTTTCACTGAGGGAGTGATGAAGTTAATAATCATTATAATAATTTGACTATTTAGTTTAAAGTTCAAGGCACTGTAAAGAGCTCAATATCAGAAAGAGTTTCTGGCTATCTAAACTACAAGTTCAAAAGCCTTCTATATAAGAAACCTCTTTACCAACGCTGCAAATAATAGAATAAAATATGCTAGAATTAGCAAGGCACGGTGTCAGTAGATTCCAATTCTGATGCAAGATGCCACATTATCTGTAAATTAGCCCTGCTTATGATTTTCCTATTAAACTGGTTGCGTTCCATGTTGTGGTTCTACAGTCTGAGGTCTTCCCAAATCTCTTTCATATCTCATCCCTTGATTTGTTTATCAATGGGGGTTTGACACCCAAAGCGATTTGTTTCTCTGATGTTCAAATTCATAGTTCTTTTATAGGAGATGATAATGAAGCAAACGAGTTCTTTTGGGGCAAAAATTCAAGAAAACCAAAGAAAGTTAAATGAGGAGAGCAGGAAAACCAACCAGTGGATTGTAAGTATTAGGCCTTTTCCCTCAGATTCATCCTCAGACAGACATGCTACAAATGTATCCACTTACCACTTGAGTGGAAATCATGTTGCTTAGGACTTGAGGAAGGTTTTTTCTCATGGCTTCCTATCCTGAGGGTACAATGCAGCATTGATTACTGCTCAGAGAGAGTGGTCAGGCTATGGAGTAGGGAGGTTTGGTATTAAAGACTAATTTAAAAACTTAATACTGCAAAAAATTATCTGTGAATCACCATAAATTCCAATGACTCTCATGTAAGCTGTCCGATATCAAAGGGTGTATATTGAAGAAATGATGAATAATAACCTTTCTTCAGGTGTTTTAGGAAGTCATATAATGAATAAAAGAGGTTTAAGAAAAGAATGAATTTGGCTTCTAGTACTGTTAAGATACAATAAAAATAAATGAAGGAAAAGGAGGAATGATTGATTTCATGGTTCTGAGAAGTGGGAAGACATGAGTTTATGTACATAGCTTATTGGTAGGATACATCAGTCAGTCTAGGCTCAGTGGCTCAAGTTCGTAATCCCTATGATTTGGGACTGCTACATCAGAAAAGGGTTTTAAAGACGAATTTCCCTTGAATGATTATTTGTTTTTAAATCCTGTGATGAAATATTTGGTATTAGAAAGCTCAATTGTATTTTCCTCTTTAAAGGAGTGAGTCAGAGCAGCGGCACATGCCCCAGTGTGTGAGCTCAGAGCTCAGTGCTCAACCCATCACTCGACTAAAGAACAGATTTCATGACCTCCAGGTGAGTGTCAACCTGCTGAAGTGATGACCACACAGTGCCTTTCAGGCATGGCTTTCTTTCTTTCTTTCTTTCTTTCTTTCTTTCTTTCTTTCTTTCTTTCTTTCTTTCTTTCTTTCTTTCTTTCTTCTTTCTTTCTTCTTTCTTTCTTCTTTCTTTCTTTCTTTCTTTCTTTCTTTCTTTCTTTCTTTCTTTCTTTCTTTCTTTCTTCTTTCTCTCTCTCTCTCCCCCCACCCTCTCTCCGCCCTCTCTCTCTCTCTCCCTCCCTCCCTCTCTCTCTCTCTTTCACCAACGCTGGAGGGCAATGGTGCAATCTCGGCTCACTGCAACCTCCACCTCCCAGGTTCAAGCGATTCTCCTGTCTCAGCCACCCAAGTAGCTGGAATAACAGGCAACCACCATCATGCCCAGCTAATTTTTTTTTTTTTTGGATTTTTTAGAGCTGGGGTTTTGCCACGTTTTCCAGGCTGGTCTTGGACTCCTGACCTCAGGTGATTTGCCCGTCGTGGCCTCCCAAATTGCTGGGATTACATGCATGAGCCACCACTCTTGGTCTTAGGCATGGTTTTACTACAGGCAATTTATTGTTCTTTATCATTCTTTCATCTAATAAAAGGGAACAGACTGTAAATAGCATTTATAAGCACACTTAGTAATAACAGTTCTCATGATCGTATGGAAAAAATAAATGAAAGCTGGTGTAATGGTAAACGTCATTCAGTTTCCTCTTGAGTCTGGGCCTTTTGGGTCTGTGTCCCTCTGTGCAGCCAAGGCAGGTCAGATGGAGAGAGATGGTCCACACCTGGCCAAATGGGTTCTACAGGAACCTTCTGGGTCAACACTGCCTTTCAATAAAGACCTGGGCTGTGATGACTCCAGCCGCGTTCTCCACCACAGTGGGCGGAGTGCTCATAGTGGGTCCTTGGGCCATGGGAGACCCCATTATATACATTGAACAACATGCATGCCATCAAAGCATTTCCCATCAGACACGGCCCGGGGTCCATAACAAGCTACAGCAGCATCATAACCTTTGCCAGCATGAAGCACGGTGTCCTTTCAGTTTATCCGTGTGTATGTGTAAACACACTTACACTCACCTGTGCATACCCTCACACCACAGTGTACACTGTCCACAGTGGCACCGCCTGCTACTGAGGGCCGTGTCTTTTATCAAGTCTTATTTCAAGCTGGCTCAGCATGAGGAAATTTTGTATGCAACACTGACTTTCAACTGAGTCACTCAAAAATTAGTAAAATCATTTCAGGTAGTATGTGTTTTTCTTTTTCCTGCTTTCAAAAGCAATCTCCAGAGGAGTTTTTTTAGCCACTTATTTAAAATGTTAATGAAGGAACCTGTGAGTGCGGGGTCACAGAAACGAGCAGTTGATTTAAGTCATTCCAACGCATAAGCCAGTTCCAAATGCACTGAGAGGTGAGGAGGGGAAGATGCAAAGGGTGCCTTGGGAAGAACTGCTTTTGCGGTAAGCCCCTGGCGCCTCCTAGCATGCCCGCTGCGATGGCATTCACCCCACTGCAGTCGTGGTCATCAAGGTGACTTTGTTGTTTTAGAAGGATCTGTTGTGGTCAGGGTTCTACCTGTCCTTCCCTAGACCATGGCCCTCCAGGCGGTTCTAGGCAGGTCCCAGCAAAAAAGTACTGGGGTAGAAACCAAGGACCAGGCCCACAGAAACAGGGACCCCAGGGGCTTGCAAGGGGGAGTGCTGACTGCCAGGTGCAGAATCCATAGAATTACCCACCATGGGAGACAGAGGGACCTGTGCAAATCCCTGGGGAGAGTGTTAGAATTTCCCCAAATACAGTAAAAGAGAAAAGTGCTCATACTTTATCACGTGAAAGACTAATGATGTCTAGGAGCTGACACAGAACACGAGGACTCTGACCACCGCAGGACCAGCGAGATGTGTCAGGACAGAAATGAGCAAGCGTGAGTCTCCGGGCACACCTGGGGAAAGAGTAATGCAAGGCACACATCAGGGCTGTGACTCACTCCTCAAAGCAGGCTTGGGTCCCCAGGGTAAGAGTGAAGAGACAGACTCCCCACATCATGTAGTGTGGATGGCAGGGCTGCAGGGGTTGTAGTCCTCTTGCCGGTGGGCTGCCAGAGACCTGGCAGCCAGACCCACTTCTTAGTGAGGGCACATTCATTTCCTCTCTGGGATGCATTTCATCATATTCACTTTGTACCCACGATTCTTCCTGACAGCCTGAAACAGCAGGCTTTGCATCCTTTTCAGGCCTGGGGTCTGGCCTTACCCCAGGGGCTTCTCTTTCACCCACAACAGACTCGCGTCCACACTGGAGACCTGGTCACTGCTGACAGCAGGGAGAGAAGAAGGCAGAGGAGTCCAGCACGGCCCTCCTGCATTCATAAATCCTATTTTCCAACGAACATCAAGAACTCGCGGTCTCCTGCTCCCAGGAGGAGCCTCGGGTCTCAGGAGTGGTCAATGCTGAGATGACAAAGCTATTGAAATTCTGATCTCCATAGTGTTGAGGTCTCTAGTGTTGCCAGGAGACTGTCAGGAGGAGCTCCAGAAGAAAGAGGCACAGGATGTTTCACACTGCTTTTCCCAAGTGCAGCCAAGGGACAGCCTCTGCACACCGAGGTAATTCTAGATGATTGGCTCCACGCTCTTCCCTCCTCCTTTCTAGTGAGTTTAGTGCTGGCTGACTGTAGAATACTTTATTCACAGAAGCAAGTAGAAAAAAATGTCACTCTTAATTCACATGCTTCAATGTCAGACCAGGAGTGACCGGTTCTGCAGGGAAGTGCCAGGACTGGCTCATTTGTGTTCTCATCAGCCACCTCCATGCACATGGAGGTGGATTTCACTGGTGTTAATACATGCTTTCACATCCACAGGAGGCTCTCCGAGGGACAGAAGTGAATTCACACCCACCGCAAAGCCATTTCTGCTGCCAGAGTCCCCAATCTCTAATCACCAAAAAAATTCTCCACCAAGGGACTTGTAATCAGAAGCATCGACATTGTCTGAGAAATATTTATTCTGTCCAGTTTAAGCTTAAAGTTCACAAACACTAAAAAGTAGTAAAATAGACTTTAGCTTTTCCTTTAACTATATTTATATATAAATTCCTGAGAAGGTAGCTGTCAACTTGAAATTCACTATCTACAGTTAATTATCATCAGAGTGCAGGGAGGGACCCTGAGCCCCATCCCTGTGCACAGCAGGGGCTGGGCTGTCATTGCAAGAGAGCAAACCTGGTCTCCCTTCTGAGCAAAGAGGAGGGGGTGGGAGGGGCACGGCGGTGTAGGAATTCTTAGCCATCAGCACAGATGCTGGCAGGCCTGCTGTTCACTCACTCTGGGGGTCTGGAGGTCCCACCATGATAACACCACATTGCCTCACAGAGGCCCCTGCTTTTCTGTCCTTGGTAGACCTCAGGGTAGGTGGTGCCAGGGATGATAAAGAACTTAACCAACTTGGGGAAGAAAACAGGCAAAGGAAGGAAGGGTGAATGAGGAAGAAGAGATGAGGCAACAGGGGTGGGAGAACATGGTGATAAAGCCAGTGGGGACAGTGTGGTGGCAACTGACAGAAGGGGAGAAAGGGGTCCATGCTTGTCAGTCCCCTCCTTCCTGAACAACATGAGGGGTGCACGGAGGGCGAGCCCTCAGTGAGTGAATGCAGCAGTTCAAAGAAACAAAAATAGACAAAAATAATAAATGTTCTCCTAGGACACCAGGTTTTTAGAGAGGCCACTCTAAGATCTCTGAATGCCTGATGCCCAATCGTGCTGAGTATGTAAGTGACAAGAAGCCTGCACCACCCCCAGCCCTGTGCACCTCCTGAGACCGAGGAGCCTGTGTCACCAGTACCTAGGGCTAGAAGAAAGGGCTTCCAAATGGCTCAGGAAGATGAGTGGGCATTGCACTCCACCTCTGGGACCAGATGACCACACCTCCCCTGAGGAATCCCTTACCCAAAATAATTGAACATAATAATGTTGCTTAAATATAAACTGGCTCATCTGATCACCTCGACACTGACCCCAGGACACCCCCTCAAGGTGGCTCTACTTCCCCATCTTCTAGACTTTTCTCCCTGCCTTCCCACACTCCCTGAGCCTGGCTGGAGGCCTGCTTGTCTCCTCTGCTGCCCACTCCAAAGATAATAAGAAACCAAGATCATGGGTTCTCGATAGGTGGAGGAAAGAGTCTCGGTGACACTTCCTTTGACTTGGAAAATTCCTCTACTAGCAAATCTGCTTCCACATGGCAAAAATGAGAAGTGCTGGGCCAGTACCCAGGCACACAGCTGCAGAAGCTACCTGGACCTGCCTCATGGGCCAAAGGGAAGGGATGCCAACAGGCAAGGCACGCCTAAAGTGAGTCCAGAGAGACCAGGGGGAGTCTGGGATCTCATCAGGGATGACCCTTCTTTCAGTTGGCTCTGGTGGGTTTTCAAAATCCAGTCTTTCCACTGGGGCCATACCAAAGCTCCGGGGAAGGTCAGGCTTCCCAGTCCCACCAGAACCCCCCCGTGAAATTGTCATTTTCTCTCAAGTTGCATACACTGGCCAGGTAAAGGCAGCTTCTACTCACCAGGCAAGTGGCCAGCTCACCTTCATATTTGCCAAAGCAATCTGGGTCCTGCCCCATACTTGTTGGCTTGGCAGGCTTTTCAAAATGCAGGTATCTCTGGAGCTGTTTTGTGGACACCAGGAGCATTACTTGACAAGCCCTGTGCTGGCCCCAAGGTACCCTGTGCACCTGGGTAAGGATGGAACACATTGGGAACAGGGACCCAACACGCCCACTCCGGAACAGCGTGGGACCTGGGGAAATCGCCAGTTGTTTGCTGTCCTGCCATTGCTGTTCTGCACATCCCTGGAGACTATGAGCATCGGTTACAGTGTGGTAGTGGCTGGTCAGGACCAGAAATATCCATTTGTGACCTGGAAGCAGCAGACACCCAAGGCTTAGTGTAGAAGTGGGGGCTCCATACCATTCCCAGTGTCAACTTCCCATGGCAGAAACAGGAAGGAATGTCTGGCCACCCACCAAGGGTCAGATGCCACATCAGCCCGAGCGAAGCTGCCAGACACTGGCTGTTCCAATGACAATTAGACATTCTTGAGAAGGTGGAGCCATTTGTGAGAGCTCAAGATGGGTGTCCTGGAAGTGCCACTTAAAGGCGACTGAGGCCTCTCAAAATCCCTCTGTTAGAGCTGCAGCTCTCCATGTGGGATGCAGTGCAGTCACCTATGGAGCTTTAGGACAGGCCCAGGGCTCAGCTCCCCAGACCAGTGCCTTCACAACTTTCGCAGCAGGGATAGCCGGCTTGGAAAGGCATGCCTGGGAGACCATGTGACACTGCCTGGCTGGGTCCTGGGCTGACAGAGGTGAGCGTGGAGCTCATGGTGACTTGGTAATGCTGTGAATTATGTGCGTGTGGCAGGAAGGTGCCACAATGCCAAGGACCTACGTCTTGGAAATTCCATGAGGTCCGCATGAGGTTGAACTAAACACCAAGTGCAGTCCTCAAAGGAAAAATAAAAGAAATACCCACATAAGGGACTCTTTGGAACTGAGTCTGGAAAAGAGGGCTGTCTGGTCCACTCCAGGAGAATTTGCCTAAAATATGTTTGCTTCCCATTGCATTCTCTTTGCTTGTTCTAAACATCACCTCCCCCAATTCCTTTAATTTGCATCTTACTCTTGTTGCATCCTTTTTTTATATTTTAAAGATGTCTGGATTCGATTTACTTAAGAGCATATACGGCTTAATTTTGTATTTCTGGTAATCATCTATTACATTTCCCCCATTTTATCAAATGACACTTTTCCCTGATATCTATTTTTAATATGTTAAAGATTTTCTATCCAGTTTATCTAAAACTCCTTGATTAAAAAGAGTTTAATTCTAGCAATACATACATGCTTATATCTGCATTGTTTTATAATTTGACGATAAATGTTTTTCCCCAATATGTATGGATAGTACTTTCTAAAAAGATACAATAAAATATGATATCTCTTTCTCACTTGATCATGTGGCTGAATGAGTCAATCCCTCCATCAAACAGAAATATCTGGCATCACTTAATCTAATTAATAAAAACATGCAGTGTGCATGTGCACCCACAATGGGAAGAAAAGACCAAAACAAACAGCCAAAAAGGAGAGAATCCCATGATTTCTGTGTAAACTCCTATAGATATTATAAATATGTATTGCTAGAAACAGTATTTTAAATACAGGGTCTTCAGGCAAGTGTAGTAAAACTGTCTTGGATACAAGGGGCCCTATCACTTGTAAAACTTGACAAATTGGATAACAATTAAAAATACAAAATCACAGAGAAAATACTCTTTAATAAATTGAGGTTTTGTTGATTGAGTCAGAGTTTGGCTCTTGTTGCCCAGGCCGGAGTGCAATGGCGCGATCTTGGCTCCCTGCCACCTCTGCCTCCTGGGTGCGAGCGATTCTCCTGCCTCAGCCTCCTGAGTAGCTGGGATTACAGGCATGTGCCACCATGCTCGGCTAATTTTGTATTTTTAGTAGAGACGGGTTTTCTCCATGTTGGTCAGGCTACTTTCAGACTCCCAACCTCAGGTGATCTGCAGGCGACATCAAGGCCGGTCTAGCCATTGTGGTCAGCTCCTACGTCTTCTCAATGCTCACCCCCTGCCGCACCAAAGTCTGCAGCAGCCCCATGCCTCCAATACGACCTCCTCTAGGACGCCCTCCTCCAGTACGCTCTCCACGCCCTGGACGCCGTGCTCCTCCTCCTCCTGGAAAGTGTAGAAAGAGTCGTCCCAGGTGATGCTGCGGGTGTCGGGCAGACTGGAGAAGTCCTGGAACTCTTTGCAGTCAGCGCGGTCCTCCTCGACCTGTGTGCCTAGGAGTGGGGACGGCGGTGGCAGGGTCACGCAGCGCTCCCCGCCACCCTGTGGCTGGGTCCCAGCCAGCAGCACCATGCCGGGGGCCTGAGGCGTGGGCGGGGGGCTTAGGCTCTGTCAGGAGGGAAAGTCTGGTGCGTGCCAAGGTCCCTGCTTCTTGCTTCTGCGTCCTCAGGGAAGCCCTAGCTCTGGCACCCAGCCCGGTGGAAACTTCCCATCTTTTACATTATTAAGTTGGTTTTTATTTTAATTTTTTAAGACATTGATAAAATCACTTTCTGATTTTTGAGATTAAAAATTAAATAATTTTCAAGTTTACTCTTTTTAAATTTTTTCACTATTTTAATGCTTTTATTTTTTGTATATTTTAATTATTGTAATTAATATCTTCTATTATTACGGAAGATTTTAGAAAAGTCTTTTCACCTAATGAAGTCTAATTAATTAACTCTTATTTATTCTCTCCTCTATCTCAAATACGTACTTTAACCTTTGAGAACACTTTATGTTTTGACACTCTTGTTACTTATGTGACATTTTAACTATTATTCTTCACTCTTCTGGTGAATTTTTAATGTCATTCAAAGGGGACATCTTTCTACAGTGAGAATTAAACAGTTCTCAAAAATATTCTCAAGTATTAGGAGTTCCACCTTCCAATGGTATGTTAAGTATGTTCTCCTTCCATTCTAATGCATATTCTCCGCCCCCCGCCCCCAGCTAATTTTGTAATTTAAGTAAAGACAACCATCAAAAGGAAGTTTCAACCCTGTGAGTTGAATGCACACTTAACAAAGAAGTTCCTGAGAATGCTTCTGTCCAGTTTCTATAAAGATATTCCCTATTCAAATGAAGGCCTCAAAGCAGTTCAGATATTCCCTTGCAGATTCTGCAAAAATCGTGTTTCAAATCTGCTGTATCAAAAGGAAGGTTCAACTCTGTGAGTTGCATGCACACATCACAAAGAAGTTTCTGAGAATGCTTCTATCTAGTTTTTATGTGAAGATATTCCCATTTCAACCAAAGGCCTCAAAGTGCTCCAAATATCCACTTGCAGATCTACAAAAAGAGTATTTCAAAACTGCTCTATCAACAAGAAAGTTCAACTATGTGAGTTGAATGTACTCATCACAAAGAAGTTTCTGAAAATGCTTCTGTCTAGCTTTTATGTGAAGATATTCCTGTTTCCAACGAATGCCTCAAAACGGTCCCAATATCCACTTGCAGATTCTACAAAAAGAGTGTTTCAAAACTGCTCTATCAAAGGGAACGTTCAACTCTGTGAGTTGAATGCACACATCACAAAGAAGTTTCTGAGTATGCTTCTGTCTAGCTTTTACGTGAAGATACTTCCTTTTCCACCATAACCCTCAAAGCGCTATAAATGTCCACTGGCATATTCTACAAAAAGAGTGTTTCAAAACTGCTCTATCAAAAGAAAATTTCAACTCTGTGAATTGAATGCACACATCACAAATTAGTTTCTGTGAATGTTTCTATCTAGTTTTTATGTGAAGATATTCCCGTTTCAACCGTAGGCCTCAAAGCGCTCCAAATATCCACTTGCAGATTCTACAAAAAGAGTGTTTCAAAACTGCCCTATCAAAAGGAAGGTTCAACACCGTGTGTTGAAGGCACACATAACAAAGAAGTTTCTGAGAATTCTTCTGTCTAGTTTTTATGTGAAGATATTCCCGTTTCCAATGAAGGCCTCAAAGCCGTCCAAATATTCACTTTCAGATTCTCCAAAAAGAGTGTTTCAAAACCGATCTATCAAAAGGAAGGTTCAACCCTTTGAGTTGAATGCCCACATAACAAACTAGTTTCTGAGAATGCTTGTGTCTAGATTTTATGTGAAGATATTTTCGTTTCAACCGTAGGCCTCAAAGTGCCCCAAATATCCACCTGCATATCCTACAAAAAGAGTGTTTAAAAACTGATCTATCAAAAGGAAAGTTCAACTGTTTGAATTGAATGCCCACATGACAAAGTAGTTTCTGAGAATGCTTCTTTCTAGATTTTATGTGAAGATATTTTAGTTTCAACCATAGGCCTCAAAGTGCCCCAAATATGCACCTGCATACTATAGAAAAAGAGTGTTTCAACACTGATCTATCTAAAGGAAGGTTCAATTCAGTGCGTTGAGCACACATCACTAAGAAGTTTCTCAGAATGTTTGTCTAGTTTTTATGTGAAGTTATTTTCGTTTCCAACGAAGGTTTCAAAGCAGTCGAAATATCCACTTTCAGATTCCACAAAAAGCGTTTCAAAACTGCTCTATGTAAAGGTATGTTCAACTCTGTGAGATGAATGCAATCATCGCAAAGAAGTTTCTGATAATGCTTCTGTATAGTTTTTATGTGAAGATACTCCCGTTTCATCCATAGGCCTCAAAGCGGTCCAAATATCCGCTTGCAGATTCTACAAAAGGATTGTTTGAAAACCGCTCTATTAAAAGGAAGGTTCAACTCTGTTAGTTGAATGCACACATCACAAGGAAGTTTCTGAGAATGCTTCTGTCTAGTTTTTATATGAAGATATTCCCGTTTCCACCGAAGGCCTCCAAGCTGTCCAAATATCCACTTGCAGATTCTACAGAAAGAGTGTTTCAAAACTCCTCTATGAAAAGGTATGTTCAAGTCTGTGAGTTGAATGCAAACATCACAAAGAAGTTCCTGAGAATGCTTCTGTCTAGTTCTTAGGTGAAGATATTCCTTTTTCCACCAAAGGCCTCAAAGAACTTCAAATATCCTCTTGCAGATTGTACAAAAAGAGTGTTTCAAAACTGCTCTATGAAAAAGTGTGTTCAACTCAGGGAGTTGAATACAATCTTCAGAAAGAAGTTTCTGAGAATGCTTCTGTCTAGTTTTTATGTGAAGATACTTCCTTTTCGACCATAGCCCTCAAAGCACTCAAAATGTCCACTTGCAGATTCCACAAAAGAGTGTTTCAAAACTGCTCTATCAAAGAAAAATTCAACTCTGTGAGTTGAATGAACACACCACAAAGAAGTTCCTGAGAATGCTTCTGTCTAGTTTTTATGTGAAGATATCCCCGTTTCAAACATAGGCCTCAAAGCGTTCCAAATATCCACTTGCTGATTCTAGAAAAAGAGTGTTTTAAAATAGCTCTATTAAAACGAAGGTTCAACTCTGTGAGTTCAATGCACACATCACAAAAATGTTTCTGAGAATGCTTCTGTCAAATTTTCATCTGAAGATATTCCAGTTTCCAACGAAGGCCTCAAAGCAGTCCTAATATCCACTTTCAGAATCTACAAAAAGAGTGTTTCAAAACTGCTCTATGAAAAACAAGTTTCAACCCAGTGAGTTGAATGCACACATATTAAAGAATTTCCTGAGAATGCCTTTTTCTACTTTTTATGTGAAGATATTCCATTTCTAGTGAAGGCCTCATAGCAGTCCAAATATCCACTTGGAGATTCTACAAAAAGAGTGTTTCAAAAATGCTCTGTCAAAAGGAAGCTTCAACTCCGTGAGTTGAATGCATACATAACAAAAAAGTTTCTGAGAATGCTTCTTTCTAATTTTCATGTGAAGATATTCCCGTTTCAAACGCAGGCCTCAAAGTTCTCCAAATATCACCTTGCAGATTCTACAAAAAGAGTGTCTCAAAGCTGCTTTATGAAAAGGTAGGTTCAACTCTGTGAGTTGAATGCAATCATCCCAAAGAAGTTTCTGAGAAAGCTTCTGTCTAGTTTTTATGTGAAGATATCCCTCTTTCAATCGAAGGCCTCAAAGCATTCCAAATATCCACTTGCAGATCCCACAAAAAGAGTGTTTCAAAACTTCTCTATCAAAAGGAAGGTTCACCTCTATGAGTTGTATGCACACATAAGAAAGAAGTTTCTGAGAATACTTCTGTCTAGTTTTCATGTGAAGATATTCCAGTTTCCAATGCAGTCCTCAAAGCAGTCCAAATATCCACTGGCAGATTCTACAAAAATAGTGTTTCAAAACTGCTCTATCAAAAGCAATGTTCAACTCCATGAGTTCAATGCACACATAAAAAAGAATTTCCTGAGAAAGCTTCTGTCTAGTTTTTATGTGAAGATATTCCGATTCCAATGAGTGCCTCAATGAGGGCCAAATATCCACTTGCAGATTCTACAAAAAGAGTTTTTCATAAGTGCTCTATGAAAAGGTATGTTCAACTCTGTGCATTGAATGCAATCATCAAAAAGAAGTTTCTGATAATGCTTCTGTCTAGTTTTTACATGAAGATATTCCGGTTTCAACCATATGCCTGAAATTGCTCCAAATATCCATTTGCAGATACTACAAAAAGAATGTTTCAAAACTACACTATCAAACGGAAGGTTCAAGTCTCTAAGTTGAATGCACTCAACACAAAGTAGTTTCTGAGAAGGATTCTGTTTAGTTTTTATGTGAAGATATTCCCATTTCAACCGTAGGCCTCAAAGCAGTCCAAATATCCACTTGCAGATTCTACAAAAAGAGTGTTTCAAAACTGCTCTATGAAAAGGTATGTTCAACTCTGTGAGTTGAACACAATCATCACAAAGTAGTTTCTGAGAATGCTTCTGTCTAGTTTTTATATGAAGATATTCCCGTTTCAACCACAGGCCTCAAAGTTCTCCAAATATCCACTTGCAGATTCTACGAAAAGTGTTGCAAAACTGCTCTCTCAATAGGAAGGTTTAACTCTGTGAATTGAATGCACACATAACAAAGTAGTTCCTGAGAATGCTTCTGTCTA
The DNA here is from genome assembly GCF_000001405.40 of Homo sapiens. Classification (NCBI taxonomy): domain Eukaryota; kingdom Metazoa; phylum Chordata; class Mammalia; order Primates; family Hominidae; genus Homo; species Homo sapiens. The sequence continues at coordinate 48,875,448 of NC_000011.10, read as the reverse complement.
GTTTATATGTGGAGGTATTCCCGTTTCCAACGAAGGCACCAAAGCAGTACAAATATCCACTTGCAGATTCCACAAAAAGAGTGTTTCAAAACTGCTATATCAAAAGGAAGGTTCAACTCTGTGACTTCAATACACACATCACAAAGAAGTTTCTGAGAATGCTTCTGTCTAGTTTTTATGTGAACATGTTCCTGTTTCCAACGAAGGCCTCAAAGCTCTCCAAATATCCACTTGCAGATTCTACAAAAAGAGTGTTTCAAAACTGCTCTACCAAAACGAAGGTTCAACTCAATGAGCAAAATGCAGACATCACAAAGAAGTTTCTGAATATGCTTCTGTCTAGTTTTTATGTGAAGATATTCCCGTTTCCAACGAAGGCCTCAAAGCGGTCCCAATATCCACTTGCAGATACTACAAAAAGAGTGTTTCAAAACTGCCCTATCAAAAGGATTGTTCAATTCTGTGAGTTGAATGCACACATCACAAAGAAGTTTCTGAGAATGCTTCTGTCTAGTTTTTATGTGAAGATATTCCCGTTTCCAATGCAGGCCTCAAAGCAGTCCAAATATCCACTTGCAGATTCTACAAAAAGAGTGTTTCAAAACTGCTCTATCAAAACAAAAGGTCAACTCTTTCAGCTGAATGCACACATGACAAAGAAGTTCCTGAGACTGGTTCTGTCTAGTTTTTATGTGAAGATATCCCTGTTTCAACCTTAGGCCTCAAAGCGCTCCAAATATCCATTTGCAGATTCTACAAAAAGAGTGTTTCAAAACTGCTCCATCAGAAGGAAGGTTCAACTCTGTGAGTTGAATGTGCACATCACAAAGAAGATTCTGAGAATGCTTCTGTCTAGATTTTATGTGAAGATAGTCCCATTTCCAACGAAGGTCTCAAAGTGTTCCCAATATCCACTTGCAGATTCTACAAAAAGGGTGTTTCACAACTGCTCTATGAAAAGGTGTGTTCAACTCTGTGAGTTGAAGGCAATCATAACAAAGAAGTTTCTGAGAATGCTTCTGTCTAGTTTTTATGTGGAGATACTTCCTTTTCCACCATTGTCCTCAGAGCACTCCAAATGTCAACTTGCAGATTCTAGAAGAAGAGTGTTTCAAAACTGCTCTATCAAAAGAAAAATTAAACTCTGTGAGTTGAATGCACACATAAAAAGAAGTTTCTGAGAATGCTTCTGTGTAGTTTTTATGTGCAGATATTCCCATTTCCAACAAAGGCCTCAAAGCAGTCCAAATATCTACTAGCAGATTCTACAAAAAGAGTGTTTCAAAACTGTTTTATCAAAAGAAAGGTTGACTTCTGTGAGTTGAATGCACACAAAAAATGAAGTTACTGAATATGCTTCTATCTAGTTTTTATGTGAAGATATTCCCGTTTCAACTGTAGGACTCAACGTGCTCTAAATATCCACTTTCAGAGTCTACAAAAAGCGTGTTTCAAAACTGCTCTATCAAAAGAAAGGTTCAACTCTGTGAGATGAATGCACACATCACAAGAAGTTTCTGAGAATACATCTGTCTCATTTTTAAATGAAGATATTCTCCTTTCCAAAGAAGGTCTCAAAGCGGTCCAAATATCCACTTGCAGATTCTACAAAAAGAGTGTTTCAAAACTGCTCTATGGAAAGGTATGTATAACTCTGTTAGTTGAATGCAATCTTCACAAGAAGTTTCTGAGAATGCTTCTGTCTAGTTTTTATGTGAAGATATTCCCATTTAAACCGTGGGCCTCAAAATGCACCAAATATCCACACTCATATTCTACAAAACAAATGTTTCAAAAATGCTCTATCAAAGGGAAGGTTCATCTCTGTTAGTTGAATGCACACATCACAAACTAGTTTCTGAGAATGCTTCTGTCTAGTTTTTATATGAAGATATTTCCTTTTCTACCATAGGCCTCACATCGCTCCAAATATCCACTTGCAGATTCTGCAAAAAGAGTGTTTGAAAACTGCTCTATCAAAAGGAAGGTTCAACTCTGTCAGTTGAATGCCCACATTACAAAGAAGTTTCTGAGAATTCTTCATATAGTTTTTATGTGAAGATATTCCCGTTTCCAACGAAGGCCACAAAGCAATCCAAATATCCAATTGCAGATTCTACAAAAACAGTTTATCAAAACTGCTTTAAGAAAAGGTATGTTCAACTCTGTGACTTGAATGCAAACATCACAAAGAAGTTTCTGAGAATGCTTCTCTCTAGTTTTTAGGTGAAGATATTTCCTTTTCCACCGTAGGCCTCAAAGGGTTCCAAATGTCCACTTGCAGATCCTACTAAAACAGTGTTTCAGAATTGCTCTAACAAAAGAAAGGTTCAACCCTGTGAGTTGAATGCACACATCAGAAGGAAGATTCTGAGAATGCTTCTGTCTAGATTTTATGTGAAGATATTCCAGTTTCAACCATAGTCCTCAAAGCGGTCCAAATATCCACTTACAGATTCTACAAAAAGAGTGTGTGAATACTGCTCTATCAAAAGAAAGGTTCAATTCTGTGAGTTGAATGCACACATCACAAAGAAGTTTCTGAGAATGCTTCTGTCTAGTTTTTATGTGAAGATATTCCCGTTTCCACTGTAGGACTCAAAGCTCTCCAAATATCCACTTGCAGATTCTACAAAAAGAGTGTTTCAATACTGCTCTATCAATACGAAGGTTCAACTCTGTGAGTTGAATGCACACATCACAAAGAAGTTTCTGAGAATGCTTCTGTCTAGTTTTTATGGGAAGATATTCCCGTTTCCTACGAAGGCCTAAAAGCAGTCCAAATATCCACTTGCACATTCTACAAAAAGAGTGTTTCATAACTGTTCTATCAAAAGGAATGTTCAACTCTGTGAATTGAATGCACACATAACAAAGAAGTTCCTGAGAATGCTTCTGTCTAGTTTTTATGTGAAGATATTCCCGTTTCCAAAGAGGGGCTCCAAGCAGTGCAAATACCCACTTGAGGATTCTACAAAAAGTGTGTTTCCAAACTGCTCTTTCAAAAGGACACTTTAATTTTGTGAATTGAATGCACAAATAACAAAGAAGTTTCTGAGAATGCTTCTGTATAGTTTTTATGTGAAGATATTCCCGTTTCTAATGAATGCCTCAAAGCATCCAAATATCCACTTGCAGATTGTACAAAAACAGTGTTTCAAAACTGCTCTATCAAAAGAAGGGTTCAAATCCGTCAGTTGAATGCACACATAACAAAGGAGTTTCTGAGAATGATTCAGTCTATTTTTTATGTGAAGATATTCCCTTTTCAACCGTAGGACTCAAAGTGCTCCAAATATCCACTGGCAGATTCTACAAAAAGTGTGTTTCAAACCTGATCGATCAAAAGGAAGGTTCAGCCCTGTGAGTTGAATGCACACATCACAAAGAAGTTTCTGAGAATGCTTCTGTCTAGTTTTTATGTGAAGATATTCCAATTTCCAACAAAGGCCTCAAAGCGGTACAAATATCCACTTGCAGATCCTACAAAAAGAGTGTTTAAAAACTGCTCTCTGGAAAGGTATGTTCAACTCTGTTAGTTGAATTTTATCATCACAAAGAAGTTTCTGAGAATGCTTCTGTCTAGATTTTATGTGAAGATATTCCCGTTTCATCCGTAGGCCTCAAAATGCACCAAATATCCACATGCAGATTCTACAAAAAGAGTGTTTCAAAACTGCTCTATCAAAAGCAACGTTCAACTCTGTGAGTTGAATGCACACATCACAAAGTAGTTTCTGAGAATGCGTCTGTCTAGTTTTTATGTGAAGATATCCTGATTTCCAATGAAGGCCTCAAAGCAGTCCTAATATCCTTTGGCAGATTCTACAAAAAGAGTGTTTAAAAACCACTCTATGAAAAGGCATGTTAAACAATCTGAATTGAATGCAATCATCACAAAGAAGTTTCTGAGAATGCTTTTTTCTGGTTTTTATGTGAAGATATTCCCCTTTCAACCATAGGCCTCAAAGCGGTCCAAATATCCACTTGGAGATTCTACAAAAAGAGTGTTTCAAAACTGCTCTATCAAAAGTAAGGTTCAACTCTGTGACATGAATGCATGCATCACAAAGAACTTTCTGAGAATGCTTCTGTCTAATTTTTATGTGAAGATATTCCCGTTTCAGCTGTAGGCTTCATAGTGCTGCAAATATCCACTTGCAGATTCTACAAAAAGAGTGTTTCAAATCTGCTCTATCAATAGGAAGATTCAACTCTGTGAGTTGAATGCACACATCACAAAGAAGTTTCTGAGAATGCTTTTGTCTAGTTTTTATGTGAAGATATTCCCGATTCCAATGAAGGCCTCAAAGCACTCCAAATATCCACTTGCAGATTCTACAAAAAGGGTGCTTCAACACTGCTCTATGAAAAGGAATGTTCAACTTCGTGAGTTGAATTCAATTATCACAAAGAAGTTTCTGGGAATGCTTCTTTCTAGTTTTTATGTGAAGATACTTCCTTTTCCAGCATAGCCCTTAAAGCACTCCAAATGTCAACTTGCAGATTCTAGAAAAAGAGTGTTTCAAAACTGCTCTATTAAAAGGAAGGTTCAACTCGGTGAGTTGAATATACACATCACAAGGATGTTTCTGAGTATGCTTCTGTCTAGATCTTATGTGAAGATATCCCTTTTCTAACAAAGGCCTCGAAGCAGTCCAAATATCCACTTGCAGATACTACAAGAAGAGTGTTTCAAAACTGCTCTATCAAAAAAAAGGTTCAACTCTGTGAGTTGAATGTACACATCACAAAGAAGTTTCTGAGATTGCTTCTGTCTCACTTTTATGTGAATATATTCCCGTTTCCAATGAAGGCCTCAAAGCGGTCGCAATATTCACTTGTAGATTCTACAAAAAGAGTGTTTCAAAACTGTTCTATGAAAAGGTATGTTCAACTCTCTGAGTTGAATGCAATCATCGCAAAGAAATTTCTGAGAACGATTCTGTCTAGTTTTTATGTGGAGATATTCCCGTTTCAACCACATGCCTCAAAGCTCTCCAAATATCCAACTGTAGAGGCTACAAAAAGAGTATTTCAAAACTGATTTATGAAAAGGTATGTTCAACTCTGTAAGTTGAATGCCATCATCACAGAGAAGTTTCTGGCAATGCTGCTCTCTACTTTTTATATGAAGATATTCTCGATTCCAATGAAAGCCTCAAAGCAGTCCTAATATCAACTTGCAGATGCTATAAAAAGAGTGTTTCAAAACTGCTCTATCAAAAGGAAGGTTCAACTCTGTGAGGTGAATGCCCACATAACAAAGAAGTTTCTGAGAATTCTTCTGTCTAGATTTTATGTGAAGATACTCCCGTTTCCAACGAAGGCCTCAAAGCCATCCAAATATGCACTTGGAGGTTCTGCAAAAACAGAGTTTCAATACTTCTATATCAAAAGGAAGGTTCAACTCTGTGAGTTGAATGCACACGTAACAAAGAAGTTTCTTAGAATGCTTCTGTCTTCTTTTTAGGTGACGATATTCCCATTTCCAGCGAAGGCCTCAAAGCAGTCCAAATATAAACATGCAGGTTCTACAAAAAGTGTGTTTCAAAACTGCTTTATAGAAAGGAAGGTTCAACTCTGTGATTTCAATGCAAACATACGAAGGAGTTCCTGAGAATGCTTCTGTCTACTTTTTATGTGAGGATATTCCCGTTTCCAACAAACACCTCAAAGCAGACCTAATATCCACTTGCAGATTCTACAAAAAGAGTCTTTCAAAACTGCTCTACCAAAAGAAAGTTTCAACTCCGTTAGTCGAATGCACACATAAGAAAGAAGTTTGTGAGAATGCTTCTGTCTAATTTTTATGTGAAGATATTCCCGTTTCAAATGTAGTCCACAAAGTGCTCCAAATATTCACTTGCAGATTCAACAAAAAGAGTGTTTCAAAACTGCTCAATCAAAAGGAAGGTTCAACTCTGTGATTTGAATGCACACATCACAAAGAAGTTTCTGAGAATTCTTCTCTCTAGTTTTCATGTGAAGATATTCCCGTTTCCAAAGAAGGCCCCAAAGCAGTCCCAATATCCTCTAGCAGATTCTACAAAAAGAGTTTTTGAAAACTACTCTATGAAAAGATATCTTCAACTCTGTGAGTTGAATGCAATCATCATAAAGATGTTTCTGAGAATGCTTCTGTCTAGTTTTTATGTGAATATATGCCCGTTTCAACCTTAGGCCTCAAAGCGGTCAAAATATCCACTTGCAGATTCTTTAAAAAGAGTGTTTCAAAACTGCTCTATCAAAGGGAAGTTTCAAAACTGTGAGGTGAATGCACACATCACAGAAAAGATTCTGAGAATGCTGCTGTCTAGTTTTTATGTGAAGATATTTCCTTTTTCACCATAGGCCTCAATGTGCTCCAAATATCCACTTGTAGATTGTACAAAAAAAGTGTTTCAAAACTGCTCTATGAAAAGGTACGTTCAACTCTGTGAACTGAATGCACACATCACAAAGAAGTTTCTGAGAATGGTTCTGTCTAGTTTTTATGTGAATATATTCCCGTTTCCAACGAAGGCCTCAAAGCAGTCCCAATATCCACTAGCAGATTCTACAAAAGAGAGATTCAAAACTGCTCTGTGAAAAGATATGTTCAACTCTGTGAGTTGAATGCAATAATCACAAGGAATTTCCAGAGAATGCTTCTGTCTAGCTTTTATGTGAATATACTACCTTTTCCATCATAGCCCTAAAAGCGCTCCAAATGTCCACTTGCAGATTCTACAAAAAGAGTGTTTCAAAACTACTCTATCAAAAGAAAAATTCAACTCTGTGAGTTGAATGCACACATCACAAAGTAGTTTCTGAGAATGCTTCTGTCTAGTTTTTATATGAAGATATTTGCATTTCTACCATAAGCCTGAAAGCGCTCCAAATATTCACCTGCAGATTCTACAAAAAGAGTGTTCCAAAACTGCTCTATCAAAAGGAAGGTTCAACTCTGTGAGTTGAATGCACACATTACAAAGAAGTTTCTGAGAATGCATCTGTCTAGTTTTTATGTGAAGATATTCCCGTTTCAACCATAGGCCTCAAAGTGCTCCAAATATCCACTTGCAGATTCTACAAAAAGAATGCTTCAAAACTGCTCTATCAAAATCAAGGTTCAATTGTGTGAGTTGAATGCACACATACAAGGAATTTTCTGAGAATGCTTCTGTCTAGTTTTTATGTGAAGATATTCCCGTTTCAACCGTTGGCCTCAATATGCTCCAAATATCCACTTGTAGATTCTACAAAAAGAGTGTTCCAATAGCGCTCTATCAAAAGGAAGGTTCAACTCTGTGAGTTGAATGCACACATCATAAAGAACTTTCTGAGAATGCTTCTTTCTAGTTTTCATGTGAAGACATTCCCTTTTTCAATGAAGGGCTCAAAGGGGTCCCAATATCCACTTGCAGATTGTACAAAAAGATTGTTTCAAAACAGCTCTATGAAAAGGTATGTTCAACTCTGTGAGCTGAATGGAATCATCACAAACAAGTGTCTGAGAATGCTTCTGTCTAATTTTTATGTGAGGATACTTCCTTTTCCACCATAGCCCTGAAAGCCCTCCAAATATCAACTTCATTTTCTACAAAAAGAGTGTTTCAAAACTGCTCTATCAAAAGGAAAGGTCAACTCTGAGTTGAATGCACATATCACAGATTAGATTCTGAGAATGTTTCTGTCTAGTTTTTATATGGAGATATTTGGTTTTCCACCATAGGCCTCAAAGCGCTTCAAATATCCACTTGCAGATTTTACAAAAATAGTGTTTCAAAACTGCTCTATCAAAAGAAAGGTTCAACTCTGTGCGTTGAATGCACACATCACAAAGTAGTTTCTTAGAATGCTTCTTCTAGTCTTTGTGTGAAGGTAATCCCGTTACAAGAGTAGGCCTCAAAGTGCTCCAAATATCCACTTGCAGATTCTACAAAAAATGTGTTTCAAAACTGCTCTTTTAAAAGGAAGGGTCAACTCTGTGAGTTGAATGCACACATAACAAAGAAGTTTCTGTGAATGCTTCTGTCTAGTTTTTATGTGAAGTTATTCCCATTTCCAAGGAAGGCCTCAAAGCAGTCCAAATATCCACTTGCAGACTCTACAAAAAGAGTGTTTTAAAACTGCTCTATCAAAAGGAAGGTTCCAATCTGTGAATTGAATGCACCCATAACAAAGTAGTTTCTGAGAATTCTTCTGTTTACATTTTATGTGAAGATATTCCCGTTTCCTAGAAGGCCTCAAAGCATTCCAAATATCCCCTTGCAGATACTACAAAAAGAATGTTTCAAAACTGCTCTATCAAAAGGAAGGTTCAATTCTGTGAATTGAATGCAACCATGACAAAGAAGTTCCTGAGAATAATTCTGTCTAGTTTTTAAGTGAAGATATTCCGGTTTCCAATGAAAGCCTCAAATCAATCCAAATATCCACTTGCAGATTCTACAAAAAGAGTGTTTCACAACTGCTCTATCAAAAGGGAGTTTCAACTCTGTGAGTTGAATGCACACACCACAAAGGAGTTTCTGAGAATGATTCTGTCTAGTTTTTATGTGAAGATATTTCCGTTTCAACCGTAGGCTTCAAAATACTCCAAATATCCACTTGCAGATTCTACAAAAAGAGTGTTGCAAAACTGCTCTCTCAAAAGGAAGGTTCAACTCTGTGAGTTGAATGCACACATCGTAAAGAAGTTTCTGAGAATGCTTCTGTCCAGTTTTAATGTGAAGATTTTCCCGTTTCCAATGAAGGCCTCAAAGCAGTCCAAATGTCCACTTGCAGATTCTACAAAAAGAGTGTTTCGAAACTGCTCTATCATAAGGAAGGTTCAATTCTATGAGTTTAGTGCTCACTTAACAAAGAAGTTCCTGAGAATGCTTCTGTCTAGTTTTCATGTGGAGATATTCCTGTTTCCAACAAAGACCTCAGAGTAGTCCAAATATCCACATGCAGATTCTACAAAAAGACTGTTTCAAAACTGCTCTATCAAAAGGAAGGTTCAACTCTGTGAGTTCAATGCACACATAACAAAATAGTTTCTGAGAATTCTTCTGTCTACATTTTACGTGAAGATATTCCTATTTGCAACGAAGGCCTAAAAGCAGTCTAAATATCCAATTGCAGATTCTACAAAAAGAGTGTTTCAAAACTGCGCTATGAAAAGGAAGGTTCAAATCTGTGAATTGAATGCAAACATCACAACGAAGTTCCTGAGAATGCTTCTGTCTAGTTTTTATGTGAAGATATTCCCATTTCCAAAGAAACCCTCAAAGCAGTCCTAATATCCACTTGCAGATTCTACAAAAAGAGTATTTCAAAACTGCTCTATGAAAAGGTATGTTCAACTCTGTGAGTTGAATTCAGTCATCACAAAGAAGTTTCTGAGAATGCTTCTGTCTGGTTTTTATGTGAAGATACTACCGTTTCAACCTTAGGCCGCAAAGTGGTCCCAATATCCATTTGCAGATTCTATAAAAAGAGAGTTTCAAAAATGCTCTATCAAAAGGAACGTTCATCTCTGTGAGTTCAATGCGCACATCACAAAGAAGTTTCCGAGAATGCTTCTGCCTAGTTTTAAGGTGAAGTTATTCCCGTTTCCACTGAATGCCTCAAAGCAGTCCAAATATCCACTTGCAGATTCTACCAAAAGAGTGTTTCAAAACTGCTCTATCAAAAGGAAGGTTCAACACTGTGAGTTTAATGCACACATAACAAAGACTTTCCTGAGAATGCTTCTGTCTAGTTTTTATGCAGAGATATTCCCGTTTCCAACGAAAGCCTCAATGCAGTCCAAATATCCACTTGCAGATTTTACAAAAATAGTGTTTCAAAACTTCTGTATCAAAAGGAAGGTTCAACTCTGTGAGTTGAATGCACACATCACAAAGAAGTTTCTGAGAATAATTCTGTCTACTTTTTATGTGAAGATATTCCCGTTTCAACCATAGGCCTCTAAGTGCTCCAAATATCCACTTGCAGATTCTACAAAAAGAGTGTTTCAAAAGTACTCTATCAAAAGGAAGGTTCAACTCTGTGAGTTGAATGCACACATCACAAAGGAGTTTCTGAGAATGGTTCTGTCTAGTTTTTTGTCAAGATATTCCCGTTTCCAATGAAAGCCTCAAAGCGGTCCCAATATAGACTTGCAGATTCTACAAAAAGAGTGTTTCTTTTTATTTATTTATTTATTTATTTATTTATTATGATACTTTAAGTTTTAGGGTACATTTGCACAGTGTGCAGGTTAGTTACATATGTATACATGTGCCATGCTGGTGCGCTGCACCCACTAACTCGTCATCTAACATTAGGTATATCTCCCAGTGCTATCCCTCTCCCCTCCCCCCAGCCCACAACAGTCCCCAGAGTGTAATGTTTCCCTTCCTGTGTCCATGTGTTCTCATTGATCAATTCCCACCTATGAGTGAGAATATGCGGGGTTTGGTTTTTTGTTCTTGCAATAGTTTACTGAGAATGAAGATTTGCAATTCCATCCATGTCCCTACAAAGGACATGAACTCATCATTTTTTATGGCTGCCTAGTATTCCATGGTGTATATGTGCCACATTTTCTTAATCCAGTCTATCATTGTTGGGCAATGAACTCAAACAAATTTACAAGAATAAAACAAACAACCCCATCAAAAAGTGGGCAAAGGACATGAACAGACACTTCTCAAAAGAAGACATTTATGCAGCCAAGAAACACATGAAAAAATGCTCACCATCACTGGCCATCGGAGAAATGGAAATCAAAACCACAATGAGATACCATTTTGCACCAGTTAGAATGGCAATCATTAAAAAGTCAGGAAACAACAGGTGCTAGAGAGGATGTGGAGAAATAGGAACACTTTTACACTGTTGGTGGGACTGTAAACTAGTTCAACCATTGTGGAAGTCAGTGTGGCAATTCCTCAGGGATCTAGCACTAGAAATACCATTTGACCCAGGCAAACCATTACTGGGTATATACCCAAAGGACTATAAATCATGCTGCTATAAAGACACATGCACACGTATGTTAATTGTGGCATTATTCATAATAGCAAAGACTTGGAACCAACCCAAATGTCCAAAAAGAGTGTTTCAAAGCTGCTCTATCTAAAGGAAGGTTCAACTCTGTGAGTTTAATGCACACATATCAAAGTCATTCCTGAGAATTCTTCTGTCTAGTTTTTATGTGGAGATATTCCCGTTTCCAACGAAGTCCTCAAAGCAGAGTAAATATCCACTTGCAGATTCCACAAAAAGAGTGTTTCAAAACTTCTCTATCAACAGGAAGGTTCAATTCTGTGAGTTGAATGCACACATCACAAAGAAGTGTCTGAGAATTCTTCTTTCTAGTTTTTAGGTGAAGATATTACCATTTCAACAGAAGGCCTCAAAGTGCTCCAAATATCCACTTGCAGATTCTACAAAAAGAGTGTTTCAAAACTGCTCTATCAAAGGGAAGGTTCAACTCTGCGATTTGATTGGACACATAACAAAGAAGTTCCTGAGAATGCTTCTGCCTATTTTTTATGTGACGATATTCCCGTTTCCAACAAAGGCCTCAAAGCAGTCCAAATATCCACTTGCAGATTCTAAAAAAAGAGTGTTTCAGAACTGCTCTACCAAAAGAAAGGTTCAACTCAGTGAGTTGAATGCACACGTAAGAAAGAAGTTTCTGAGAATGCTTCTGTCTAGTTTTTATATGAAGATATTCCCGTTTCAAACATAGGCCTCAAAGTGCTCCAAATATCCACTTGCAGACTCTATAAAAAGAGGTTTTCAAAACCGCTCATAAAAAGGAAGGTTCAACTTTGTGATTTGAATGCACACATCACAAAGAAGTTTCTGAGAATGCTTCTGTCTAGTTTTTACGTGAAGATATTCCTGTTTCCAACGAAGGTCTCAAAGCGGTCCCAATATCGACTTGCAGATTCTACAAAAAGAGTGTTTCAAAACGGCTCTATCAAAAGAAAAGTTCCACTCTGTTAGTTGAATGCACACATCAAAAGAAATTTCTGAGAATCCTTCTGTCTAGTTTTTACACGAAGATATTTGCTTTTCTAACACAGTCCTCAAAGCTCTCCAAATACCCACTTGCAGATTCTTTAAAAAAAGTGTTTCAAAACTGCTCTACCAAATGGAAGTTTCAACTCAGTGAGTTGAATTCACAAATCACAAAGAAGTTTCTGTGAATGCTTCTGTCTAGTTTTTACGTGAAGATATTTCCGTTTCAAACGTAGGCCTCATGGTGTTCCAAATATCCAATTGCAGATTCTAAAAAGAGAGTGTTTCAAAACTGCTCTATCAAAAGAAAAGTTCAACTCTGTTAGTTGAATGCACACATCACAAAGAAGTTTCTGAGAATGCTTCTGTCTAGTTTTACATGAAGATATTTGCTTTTCTACCATAGTCCTCAAAGCGCTCCAAATATCCACTTGCAGATTCTAAAAAAGAGTGTTCCAAAAGTCCTCTATCAAAAGGAAGATTCAACTCTGTGAGTTGAATGCACGCATCACAAAGAAGTTTCTGAGAATGTTTCTGTCTAGTTTTAATGTGAAGATATTCCCGTTTCCAATGAAGGGCTAAAAGCAGTCCAAATATCCACTTGCAGATTCTACAAAAGGAGTGTTTCAAACTGCTCTATCAAAGGGAAGGTTTAACTCTGTGAGTTGAACACATACATCACAGAGAAATTTCTCAGAATACTTCTGTCTAGTTTTTATGTGAAGATATTCCCGTTTCCAATGAAGGGCTAAAAGCAGTCCAAATATCCACTTGCAGATTCTACAAAAGGAGTGTTTCAAACTGCTCTATCAAAGGGAAGGTTTAACTCTGTGAGTTGAATGCACACATAACATAGAAATTTCTGAGAATGCTTCTGTCTAGTTTTTATGTGAAGATATTCCCGTTTCCAATGAAGGGCTCAAAGCAGTCCAAATATCCACTTGCAGATTCTTCAAAAAGAGTGTTTCAAAACTGCTCTATCAAAAGGAAGGTTCAACTCGATGAGTTGAAGGCACACATTGCAAAGAAGCTCCTGAGAATGCTTCTGTCTAGTTTTTATGTGAAGATATTCCCGTTTCCAATGAAGGGCTCAAAGCAGTCCAAATATACACTTGCAGATTCTTCAAAAAGAGTGTTTCAAAACCGCTCTATCAAAAGGAAGGTTCAACTCGATGAGTTGAAGGCACACATTGCAAAGAAGCTCCTGAGAATGCTTCTGTCTAGTTTTTATGTGAAAATATTCCCGTTTCCAACGAAGGCCTCAAAGCGGTCCCAATATCCAATTGCAGATTCTACAAAAAGAGTGTTTCAAAACTGCTCTATGAAAATGTACGTTCAACTCTGTGATTTGAATGCAATCATCACAAAGAAGTTTCTGAGAATAATTCTGTCTAGTTTTTATGTGAAGATATTCCTGTTTCAAACGAAGGCCTCAAAGCAGTCCAAATATCCCCTTGCAGATTCTACAAAAAGAGTGTATCAAAACTGCTCTATCAAAACAAAGGTTCAACTCTGTGAGTTGAATCCACACATAACAAAGAAGTTTCTGCTAATGCTTCTGTCTAGTTTTTATGTGAAGATATTCCCGTTTCAACCGTAGGCCTCAAAATGCTCCAAATATCCACTTGCAGATTCTACAAAAAGACTGTTTCATAACTGCTCTATCAAAAGGAAGGTTCAACACTGTGAGTTGAATACACACATCAAAAAGAAGTTTCTGAGAATGCTTCTGTCTAGTTTTTATGTGAAGATACTTCCTTTTCCACCATAGCCCTCAAAGCGCTCCAAATGTCCACTTGCAGATTTTAAAACAAGAGTGTTTCAAAACTGCTCTATCAAAAGAAAAGTTCAACTCTGTGAGTTGAATGCACACATCGCAAAGTAGATTCTGAGAATGCTTCTGTCTACTTTTTATATGAAGATTTTTGCATTTCTACCATAAGCCTCAAATCACTCCAAATATCCACTTGCAGATTTTACGAAAAGAGTGTTTCATAACTGAGCCATAAAAAGAAAGATTCAACTCTGTGAGTTGAATGCACACATCACAAATAAGTTTCTGATAATTCTTTTGTCCAGTTTTTTTATGAAGATATTTCCTTTTCTACAGTAGGCCTCAAAGCGCTCCAAATATCCACTGGCAGATTCTACAAAGAGAGTGTTTGAAAACTGCTCTATCAAAACGAAGGTTCAACTCTGTGAGTTGAATGCACACATCAAAATGAAGTTTCTGAGAAGGCTTCTGTCTAATTTTTATGTGAAGATATTCCCGTTTCTAAAGAAGGCCTCAAAGCAGTCCAAATATCCATTGCAGATTCTTCAAAAAGAGTGTTTCAAAACTGCTCTATGAAAAGGTATGTTCAACTCTGTGGGTTGAATGCAAACATCACAAAGAAGTTTCTGAGAATGCTTCTGTCTAGATTTTAAGTGAAGATATTCCCGTTTCAACCATAGTCCTCAAAGTGCTCCAAATATCCACTTGCTGATTCTACAAAAAGAATGTTTCAAAACTGCTCTATGAAAAGGTATGTTCAACACTGTGAACTGAATGCAATCATCACAAAGAAGTTTCTGAGAATGCTTCTGTCTAGTTTTTAGGTGAAGATACTTCCTTTTCCATCATAGACCTCAGACCACTTCAAATGTCCACTTGCATATTCTACAAAAAGGGTTTTTCAAAACTGCTCTATCAAAAGACAGGTTCAGCTCTGTTCGTTGAAAGCACATATCAAAAAGAAGTTTCTGAGAATGCTTCATTCTAGTTTTTATGCGAAGTTATTCCCGTTTCCAACGAAGGCCTCAGAGCAGTACAAATATCCACTTGCAGATATACAAAAAGAGTATTTAAAAACTGCTCTATCAAAAGAAATGTTCAACTCCGTGTGGTGAATGCACACATCACCAAGAAGTTTCTAGGAATGCTTCTGTCTATGTTATATGGGAAGATATTCCTGTTTCAACCGTAGACCTCAAAGCGCTCCAAATATCCACTTGCAGATTCTACAAAGAGTGTTTCATAACCGCTCTACCAAAAGGAAGTTTCAAATCTGTGATTTGAATGCACACATCACAAAGAAGTTTCTAAGAATGCTTCTGCCTTTTTTTTATATGAAGATATTCCCTTTTCCAACGAAGGCCTCAAGGCGGTCCATATATCCACTTGCAGATTCTATAAAAAGAGTGTTTCAAAACTACTCTAAGAAAAGGTATGTTCAACCCTGTGAGCTGAATGCAATCATCACAAAGACGTTTCTGAGAATGCTTCTGTCTATTGTTTATGTGAAGATATTTCCTTCTCCACCATTGCCTTCAAAGTGCACCAAATATCCACTTGCAGATTCTACAAAAACAGTGTTTCAAAACTGCTCCATTAAAAGAAAGGTTCAACTATGTGAGTTTAATGCACACATCGTAAAGTATTTTCTGAGACTGCTTCTGTCTAATTTTTATATGAAGATATTTCCTATTGTACCATACGCCTCAAACCGCTCCAAATATCCACTTGCAGATTCCACAAAAGAGTGTTTGAAAAGTGCTCTATCAACAGGAAGGTTCAACTCTGGGAGTTGAATACACACATAACAAAGAAGTCTCTGAGAATGCTTCTGTCTAGTTTTTATGTGAAGATATTCCCATTTCCAACAAACGCCTCAAAAGCGGTCCAAATATACCCTTGCAGATTCTACAAAAAGCGTGTTTCAAAACTGCTCTATGAAAAGGTATATTCAACTCTGTGAGTTGAATGCTAACATCACAAAGAAATTTCTGAGAATGCTTCTGTCTAGTTTTTAGGTGAAGAAATTTCCTTTTCCACCATAGCCCTCACAGCGCTCCAAGTGTCCACTTGCAGATTCTACAGAAAGAGTGTTTCAAAACTTCTTCATCAAAAGACAGGTTCAACACTGTGAGTTGAATGCAGACGTCACAAAGAAGTTTCTGAGAATCCTTCTGTCTAGTTTTTATGTGAAGATATTCCCGATTCCAAAGAAGGCCTCAAAGCAGTCCAAATATCCACTTGCAAATTCTACAAAAAGAGTGCTTCAAAACTGCTCTCTCAAAAGACAGGTTCAAATCTGTAAGTTGAATACAAACATCACAAATAAGTTTATAAGAATGCTTCTGTCTAGTTTTTATGTGAATTTATTCCCATTTCCAATGAAGTCCTCAAAGCGGACAAAACATCCACTTGCATATTCTACAAAAAGAGTGTTTCGAAACTGCTCTATCGAAAGGTATGTTCAACTGTGTGAGTTGAATGCAATCATCACAAAGAAGTTTCTGAGAATGCTTCTGTCTAGTTTTTCTGTGTAGATATTCGCATTTCCACCATAGCCCTCAAAGTGCTACTACGGTCCACTTGCAGATTCCAAAAAAGAGTGTTTCAAAACTGCTCTATCAAAAGAAAGGTTCAACTCTGTGAGTTGAATGCACACATCTCAAATTAGTTTCTGAGAATGCTTCTGCCTAGTTTTTATATGAAGATATTTCCTTTTCTACCATAGGCCTCAAAGCGCTCCAAATATCCACTTGCAGATTCTACGAAAAGAGTGTTTAAAAACTGCAGTATAAAAAGGTATGTTCAACTTTGTGAGTTGAATGCAAACGTCACAAAGAAGGTCCTGAGAATGCTTCTGTCTAGTTTTTATGTGAATATATTCCCGTTTCCTACAAAGGCCTCAAAGCGTTCCAAATATCCACTTGCAGATTCCACAAAAAAAAGTGTTTCAAAACTGCTCTATCAAAAGACAGGTTCAACTCTGTGAGTTGAATGCACGCATCCCAAAGTAGTTTCTGAGAATGCTTGTGTCTAGTTTTTATGCGAAGATATTTCCTTTTCCCCCGAAAGCGTCAAAGCGCTTCAAATGTCCACTTGCAGATTCTACAAAAAGAGTGTTTCAAAACGGCTCTATCAAAAGAAAGGTTCAACTCTGTGAGTTGAATGCACACATCAAAAAGAAGTTTCTGAGAATGCTTCTGTCTAGTTTTTATGTGAAGATATTCCCGTTTCCAATGAAGGCTTCAAAGCGGTCCAAATATCTGCTTGCAGATCCTGCAGAAAGACTGTATCAAAACTGCTCTATCAAAAGGAAGGTTTAACTCTGTAGGTTCAATGCACACATCACAAAGATGTTTCTGAGAATCCTTCTGTCTAGTTTGTATGTGAAGATATTTCCTTTTACACCATTGCCCTC
Organism: Homo sapiens; assembly: GCF_000001405.40. Lineage (NCBI taxonomy): Eukaryota > Metazoa > Chordata > Mammalia > Primates > Hominidae > Homo > Homo sapiens. The sequence goes on along the minus strand of NC_000011.10, from coordinate 48,858,268 downwards.
AAAGCGCTCCAAATGTCCACTTGCAGATTCTACAAAAAAAAAAATGTTTCAAAACTGCTCTATAAAAAGATATGTTCAACTCTGTGAGAGGAAAGCAACCATCACAAAGAAGTTTCTGAGACTGCTTCTGTCTAATTTTTCTGTGAAGATATTTTCTTTTCTACCATAACCCTCAAAGGCTCCAAATGTCCACTTGCAGATTCTACAAAAAGAGTGTTTCAAAACTGCTCTATGAAAAGATATATTCAACTCTGTGAATTGAATGCAAACATCAAGAGGAAGTTTCCGAGAATGCTTCTGTCTAATTTTTAGGTGAAGAAATTTCCTTTTCCACCATAGCCCTCACAGTGCTCCAAATGTCCACTTGCAGACTACAAAAAGAGTGTTTCAAAACTGCTCTATCCAAAGAGAGGTTCAAATGTGCGAGTTGAAAGCACACGTCAAAAAGAAGTTTCTGAGAATGTTTCTGTCTAGTTTTTAGGTGAAGATATTCCCATTTCCAACAAACGCCTCAAAAGCGGTTCCAAATATACACTTGCAGATTCTACAAAAAGAGTGTTTCAAAACTGCTCTATGAAAAGGTATATTCAACTCTGTGAGTTGAATGCAAACATCAAGAGGAAGTTTCTGAGAATGCTTCTGTCTAATTTTTAGGTGAAGAAATTTCCTTTTCCACCATAGCCCTCACAGTGCTCCAAATGTCCACTTGCAGATTCTACAAAAAGAGTGTTTCAAAACTGCTTCATCAAAAGACAGGTTCAACTCTGTGAGTTGAATGCAGACATCACAAAGTAGTTTCTGAGAATGCTTCTGTCTAATTTTTTATGTGAAGATATTCCCGTTTCCAACGAAGGCCTCAAAGCAGTCCAAATATCCACTTGCAAATTCTACAAAAGAGTGTTTCAAAACTGCTCTATGAAAAGGTATGTTCAACTGTTTGGATTCAATGCAATCATCGCAAAGAAGTTTCTGAGAATGCTTCTGTCTAGTTTTTCTTTGAAGATACTTCCTTTTCCACCATAGCCCCCAAAGCGCTCCAAATGTCCACTTGCAGATTCTACAAAAAGCGTGTTTCAGAACTGCTCTTTCAAAACAAAGGTACAAATCTGTGAGTTGAATGCACACATCACAAAATGGTTTCTGAGAATGCTTCTGTCTAGTTTTTATGTGAAGATATTCCTGATTCCAACGAAGGCCTCAAAGCAGTCCAAATATCCACTTCCAGATTCTACAAAAAGAGTGCTTCAAAACTGCTCTCTTAAAAGACAGGTTCAACTCTGTAAGTTGAATACACACATCACAAAGAAGTTTATAAGAATGCGTCTGTCTAGTTTTTATGTGAATTTATTCCGTTTTCCAACGAAGTCCTCAAAGCAGACAAAACATCCACTTGCAGATTCTACAAAAAGAGTGTTTCAAAACTGCTCTATCCAAAGGTATGTTCAACTGTTTGAGTTGAATGCAATCATCACAAAGAAGTTTCTGAGAATGCTTCTGTCTAGTTTTTCTGTGTAGATATTCACATTTCCACCATAGCCCTCAAAGCACTACTACGGTCCACTTGCAGATTCTAGAAAAGAGTGTTTCAAAACTGCTCTATCAAAGAAAGGTTCAAATCTATGAGCTGAATGCACAGATCTCAAGTTAGTTTCTGAGAATGCTTCTGCCTAGTTTTTATATGAAGATATTTCCTTTTCTACCACAGGCCTCAAAGCGCTCCAAATATCCACTTGCAGATTCTACGAAAAGAGTGTTTAAAAACTGCGGTATAAAAAGTTATGTTCAACTTTGTGAGTTGAATGCAAACGTCACAAAGAAGGTTCTGAGAATGCTTCTGTCTAGTTTTTATGTGAATATATTCCCGTTTCCTACAAAGGCCTCAAAGCTGTCCAAATATCCACTTGCAGATTCTACAAAAAGAGTGTTGCAAAACTGCTCTATCAAAAGACAGGTTCATCTCTGTGAGTGGAATGCACGCATCCCAAAGTAGTTTCTGAGAATGCTTGTGTCTAGTTTTTATGTGAAGATATTTCCTTTTCCCCCGAAAGCGTCAAAGCGCTTCAAATGTCCACTTGCAGATTCTACAAAAAGAGTGTTTCAAAACGGCTCTATCAAAAGAAAGGTTCAACTCTGTGAGTTGAATGCACATATCAAAAAGAAGTTTCTGAGAATGCTTCTGTCTAGTTTTTATGTGAAGATATTCCCGTTTCCAACGAAGGCTTCAAAGCGGTCAAAATATCCACTTGCAGATTCTGCAGAAAGAGTGTATCAAAACTGCTCTATCAAAAGGAAGGTTTAACTCTGTAGGTTCAATGCACACATCACAAAGATGTTTCTGAGAATCCTTCTGTCTAGTTTGTATGTGAAGATATTTCCTTTTACACCATTGCCCTCAAAGCGCTCCAAATGTCCACTTGCAGATTCTAAAAAAAAAATTTTCAAAACTACTCTATATAAAGATATGTTCAACTCTGTGAGTTGAAAGCAACCATGACAAAGAAGTTTCTGAGACTGCTTCAGTCTAATTTTTCTGTGAAGATATTTCCTTTTCTACCATAACCCTCAAAGCGCTCCAAATGTCCTCTTGCAGATTCTACAGAAAGAATGTTTCAAAACTGCTCTATCAAAAGACAGGTTCCACTGTGCGAGGTGAAAGCACACATCAAAAAGAAGTTTCTGAGAGTGCTTCTGTCTAGTTTTTATGTGAAGATATTCCCGTTTCCAATGAAGGCCTCAAAGCCGTCCAAATATCCACTTGCAGATTCTACAAAAAGAGTGTTTCTAAAGTGTTCTATGAAAAGGTATGTTCAACTCTGTGACTTGATTGCAAATATCACAAAGAAGTTTCTGAGAATGCTTCTGTCTAGTTTTTAGGTGAGGATATTCCCATTTCCTACATAGCCCTGAAAGTGCACCAAATGTGCACAAGCAGATTATACAAAAAGGGTTCTTCAATATGAACTTTAAAGTAGTTTTTTCCAATTCTGTGAAGAAAGTCATTGGTAGCTTGATGGGGATGGCATTGAATCTGTAAATTACCTTGGGCAGTATGGCCATTTTCACGATATTGATTCTTCCTATCCATGAGCATGGAATGTTCTTCCATTTGTTTGTATCCTCTTTTATTTCCTTGGGCAGTGGTTTGTAGTTCTCCTTGAAGAAGTCCTTCACATCCCTTGTAAGTTGGATTCCTAGGTATTTAATTCTCTTTGAAGCAATTGTGAATGGGAGTTCACTCATGATTTGCTTCTGTCTTTGTCTGTTGTTGGTGTATAAGAATGCTTGTGATTTTTGTACATTGATTTTGTATCCTGAGACTTAGCTGAAGTTGCTTATCAGCTTAAGGAGATTTTGGGCTGAGACAATGGGATTTTCTAGATATACAATCATGTCGTCTGCGAACAGGGACAATTTGACTTCTTCTTTGTATGGAACCAAAAAAGAGCCTGCATTGCCAAGTCAATCCTAAGCCAAAAGAACAAAGCTGGAGGCATCAAACTACCTGACTTCAAACTATACTACAAGGCTACAGTAACCATGCTGGTACCAAAACAGAGATATAGATCAATGGAACAGAACAGAGCCCTCAGAAATAATGCCGCATATCTACAACTATCTGATCTTTGACAAACCTGAGAAAAACAAGCAATGGGGAAAGGATTCCCTATTTAATAAATGGTGCTGGGAAAACTGGCTAGCCATATGTAGAAAGCTGAAACTGGATCCCTTCCTTACACCTTATGCAAAAATCAATTCAAGATGCATTGATGACTTAAACATTAGACCTAAAACCATAAAAACCCTGGAAGAAAACCTAGGTATTACCATTCAGGACATAGGCATGGGCAAGGACTTCATGTCTAAAACACCAAAAGCAATGGCAACAAAAGACAAAATTGACAAATGGGATCTAATTAAACTAAAGAGCTTCTGCACAGCAAAAGAAACTACCATCAGAGTGAACAGGCAACCTACAAAATGGGAGAAAATTTTCACAACCTACTCATCTGACAAAGGGCTAATATCCAGAATCTACAATGAACTCAAACAAATTTACAAGAAAAAAACAAACAACCCCATCAAAAAGTGGGCGAAGGACATGAACAGACACTTCTCAAAAGAAGACATTTATGCAGCCAAAAAACACATGAAAAAATGCTCATCATCACTGGCCATCAGAGAAATGCAAATCAAAACCACAATGAGATACCATCTCACACCAGTTAGAATGGTAATCATTAAAAAGTCAGGAAACAACAGGTGCTAGAGAGGATGTGGAGAAATAGGAACACTTTTACACTGTTGGTGGGAGTGTAAACTAGTTCAACCATTGTGGAAGTCAGTGTGGCAATTCCTCAGGGATCTAGAACTAGAAATACCATTTGACCCAGCCATCCCATTACTGGGTATATACCCAAAGGACTATAAATCATGCTGCTATAAAGACACATGCACACGTATGTTTATTGCTGCATTATTCACAGTAGCGAAGACTTGGAACCAACCCAAATGTCCAACAATGAGAGACTGGATTAAGAAAATGTGGGGGAGGAGCCAAGATGGCCGAATAAGAACAGCTCCGGTCTACAGCTCCCAGCGTGAGTGACCCAGAAGACGGGTGATTTCTGCATTTCCATCTGAGGTACCGGGTTCATCTCACTAGGGAGTGCCAGACAGTGGGCACAGGCCAGTGTGTGCACGCACCGTGCACGAACCGAAGCAGGGTGAGGCATTGCCTCACCTGGGAAGCGCAAGGGGTCAGGGAGTTCCCTTTCCGAGTCAAAGAAAGGGGTGACGGAAGCACCTGGAAAATCGGGTCACTCCCACCCGAATATTGCGCTTTTCAGACCGGCTTAAGAAAGGGCGCACCACGAGACTATATCCCACACCTGGCTTAGAGGGTCCTACGCCCACGGAATCTCGCTGATTGCTAGCACAGCAGTCTGAGATCAAACTGCAAGGCGGCAACGAGGCAGGGGGAGGGGCGCCCGCCATTGCCCAGGCTTGCTTAGGTAAACAAAGGAGCCGGGAAGTTCGAACTGGGTGGAGCCCACCACAACTCAAGGAGGCCTGCCTGCCTCTGTAGGCTCCACCTCTGGGGGCAGGGCACAGACAAACAAAAAGACAGCAGTAACCTCTGCAGACTTAAGTGTCCCTGTCTGACAGCTTTGAAGAGAGCAGTGGTTCTCCCAGCACGCAGCTGGAGATCTGAGAACGGGCAGACTGCCTCCTCAAGTGGGTCCCTGACACCTGACCCCCGAGCAGCCTAACTGGGATGCACCCCCCAGCAGGGGCACACTGACACCTCACACGGCAGGGTATTCCAACAGACCTGCAGCTGAGGGTCCTGTCTGTTAGAAGGAAAACTAACAACCAGAAAGGACATCTACACCGAAAACCCATCTGTACATCACCATCATCAAAGACCAAAAGTAGATAAAACCACAAAGATGGGGAAAAAACAGAACAGAAAAACTGGAAACTCTAAAACGCAGAGCGCCTCTCCTCCTCCAAAGGAACGCAGTTCCTCACCAGCAACGGAACAAAGCTGGATGGAGAATGATTTTGACGAGCTGAGAGAAGAAGGCTTCAGACGATCAAATTACTCTGAGCTACCGGAGGACATTCAAACCAAAGGCAAAGAAGTTGAAAACTTTGAAAAAAATTTAGAAGAATGTATAACTAGAATAACCAATACAGAGAAGTGCTTAAAGGAGCTGATGGAGCTGAAAACCAAGGCTTGAGAACTACGTGAAGAATGCAGAAGCCTCAGGAGCCGATGCGATCAACTGGAAGAAAGGGTATCAGCAATGGAAGATGAAATGAATGAAATGAAGCGAGAAGGGAAGTTTAGAGAAAAAAGAATAAAAAGAAATGAGCAAAGCCTCCAAGAAATATGGGACTATGTGAAAAGACCAAATCTACGTCTGATTGGTGTACCTGAAAGTGATGTGGAGAATGGAACCAAGTTGGAAAACACTCTGCAGGATATTATCCAGGAGAACGTCCCCAATCTAGCAAGGCAGGCCAACGTTCAGATTCAGGAAATACAGAGAACGCCACAAAGATACTCCTCGAGAAGAGCAACTCCAAGACACATAATTGTCAGATTCACCAAAGTTGAAATGAAGGAAAAAATGTTAAGGGCAGCCAGAGAGAAAGGTCGGGTTACCCTCAAAGGAAAGCCCATCAGACTAACAGCGGATCTCTCGGCAGAAACCCTACAAGCCAGAAGAGAGTGGGGGCCAATATTCAACATTCTTAAAGAAAAGAATTTTCAACCCAGAATTTCATATCCAGCCAAACTAAACTTCATAAGTGAAGGAGAAATAAAATACTTTACAGACAAGCAAATGCTGAGAGATTTTGTCACCACCAGGCCTGCCCTAAAAGAGCTCCTGAAGGAAGCGCTAAACATGGAAAGGAACAACCGGTACCAGCCGCTGCAAAATCATGCCAAAATGTAAAGACCATCGAGACTAGGAAGGAACTGCATCAACTAATGAGCAAAATCACCAGCTAACATCATAATGACAGGATCAAATTCACACATAACAATATTAACTTTAAATATAAATGGACTAAATTCTGCAATTAAAAGACATAGACTGGCAAGTTGGATAAAGAGTCAAGACCCATCAGTGTGCTGTATTCAGGAAACCCACCTCACGTGCAGAGACACACATAGGCTCAAAATAAAAGGATGGAGGAAGATCTACCAAGCCAATGGAAAACAAAAAAAGGCAGGGGTTGCAATCCTAGTCTCTGATAAAACAGACTTTAAACCAACAAAGATCAAAAGAGACAAAGAAGGCCATTACATAATGGTAAAGGGATCAATTCAACAAGAGGAGCTAACTATCCTAAATATTTATGCACCCAATACAGGAGCACCAAGATTCATAAAGCAAGTCCTGAGAGACCTACAAAGAGACTTAGACTCCCACACATTAATAATGGGAGAATTTAACACCCCACTGTCAACATTAGACAGATCAACGAGACAGAAAGTCAACAAGGATACCCAGGAATTGAACTCAGCTCTGCACCAAGCAGACCTAATAGACATCTACAGAACTCTCCACCCCAAATCAACAGAATATACATTTTTTTCAGCACCACACCACACCTATTCCAAAATTGACCACATAGTTGGAAGTAAAGCTCTCCTCAGCAAATGTAAAAGAACAGAAATTATAACAAACTATCTCTCAGACCACAGTGCAATCAAACTAGAACTCAGGATTAAGAATCTCACTCAAAGCCACTCAACTACATGGAAACTGAACAACCTGCTCCTGAATGACTACTGGGTACATAACGAAATGAAGGCAGAAATAAAGATGTTCTTTGAAACCAACGAGAACAAAGACACCACATACCAGAATCTCTGGGACGCATTCAAAGCAGTGTGTAGAGGGAAATTTATAGCACTAAACGCCTACAAGAGAAAGCAGGAAAGATCCAAAATTGACACCCTAACATCACAATTAAAAGAACTAGAAAAGCAAGAGCAAACACATTCAAAAGCTGGCAGAAGGCAAGAAATAACTAAAATCACAGCAGAACTGAAGGAAATAGAGACACAAAAAACCCTTCAAAAAATCAATGAATCCAGGAGCTGGTTTCTCGAAAGGCTCAACAAAATTGATAGACCGCTAGCAAGACTAATAAAGAAAAAAAGAGAGAAGAATCAAATAGACACAATAAAAAATGATAAAGGGGATATCACCACCGATCCCACAGAAATACAAACTACCATCAGAGAATACTACAAACACCTCTACGCAAATAAACTAGAAAATCTAGACGAAATGGATACATTCCTCGACACATACACTCTCCCAAGACTAAACCAGGAAGAAGTTGAATCTCTGAATAGACCAATAACAGGCTCTGAAATTGTGGCAATAATCAATAGTTTACCAACCAAATAAAGGCCAGGACCAGATGGATTCACAGCCGAATTCTACCAGAGGTACAAGGAGGAACTGGTACCATTCCTTCTGAAACTATTCCAATCAATAGAAAAAGAGGGAATCCTCTCTAACTCATTTTATGAGGCCAGCATCATTCTGATACCAAAGCCGGGCAGAGACACAACCAAAAAAGAGAATTTTAGACCAATATCCTTGATGAACATTGATGCAAAAATCCTCAATAAAATACTGGCAAACCGAATCCAGCAGCACATCAAAAAGCTTATCCACCATGATCAAGTGGGCTTCATCCCTGGGATGCAAGGCTCGTTTAATATACGCAAATCAATAAATGTAATCCAGCATATAAACAGAGCCAAAGACAAAAACCACATGATTATCTCAATACATGCAGAAAAAGCCTTTGACAAAATTCAACAACCCTTCATGCTAAAAACTCTCAATAAATTAGGTATTGATGGGACGTATTTCAGAATAATAAGAGCTATCTATGACAAACCCACAGCCAATATCATACTGAATGGGCAAAAACTGGAAGCATTCCCTTTGAAAACTGGCACAAGACAGGGATGCCCTCTCTCACCGCTCCTATTCAACATAGTGTTGGAAGTTCTGGCCAGGGCAATCAGGCAGGAGAAGGAAATAAAGGGTATTCAATTAGGAAAAGAGGAAGTCAAATTGTCCCTGTTTGCAGACGACATGATTGTATATCTAGAAAACCCCATTGTCTCAGCCCAAAATCTCCTTAAGCTGATAAGCAACTTCAGCAAAGTCTCAGGATACAAAATCAATGTACAAAAATCACAAGCATTCTTATACACCAATAACAGACAAACAGAGAGCCAAATCATGAGTGAACTCCCATTCACAATTGCTTCAAAGAGAATAAAATACCTAGGAATCCAACTTACAAGGGATGTGAAGGACCTCTTCAAGGAGAACTACAAACCACTGCTCAAGGAAATAAAAGAGGACACAAACAAATGGATGAACATTCCATGCTCATGGGTAGGAAGAATCAATATTGTGAAAATGGCCATACTGCCCAAGGTAATTTACAGATTCAATGCCATCCCCATCAAGCTACCAATGACTTTCTTCACAGAATTGGAAAAAACTACTTTAAAGTTCATATGGAACCAAAAAAGAGCCCGCATCGCCAAGTCAATCCTAAGCCAAAAGAACAAAGCTGGAGGCATCACACTACCTGACTTCAAACTATACTACAAAGCTACAGTAACCAAAACAGCATGGTACTGGTACCAAAACAGAGATATAGATCAATGGAACAGAACAGAGCCCTCAGAAATAATGCCGCATATCTACAACTATCTGATCTTTGACAAACCTGAGAAAAACAAGCAATGGGGAAAGGATTCCCTATTTAATAAATGGTGCTGGGAAAACTGGCTAGCCATATGTAGAAAGCTGAAACTGGATCCCTTCCTTACACCTTATACAAAAATCAATTCAAGATGGATTAAAGATTTAAATGTTAGACCTAAAACCATAAAAACCCTGGAAGAAAACCTAGGCATTACCATTCAGGACATAGATGTGGGCAAGGACTTCATGTCTAAAACACCAAAAGCAATGGCAACAAAAGCCAAAATTGACAAATGGGATCTAATTAAACTAAAGAGCTTCTGCACAGCAAAAGAAACTACCATCAGAGTGAACAGGCAACCTACAACATGGGAGAAAATTTTCGCAACCTACTCATCTGACAAAGGGCTAATATCCAGAATCTACAATGAACTCAAACAAATTTACAAGAAAAAAACAAACAACCCCATCAAAAAGTGGGCGAAGGACATGAACAGACACTTCTCAAAAGAAGACATTTATGCAGCCAAAAAACACATGAAAAAATGCTCATCATCACTGGCCATCAGAGAAATGCAAATCAAAACCACTATGAGATATCATCTCACACCAGTTAGAATGGCAATCATTAAAAAGTCAGGAAACAACAGGTGCTGGAGAGGATGTGGAGAAATAGGAACACTTTTACACTGTTGGTGGGACTGTAAACTAGTTCAACCATTGTGGAAGTCAGTGTGGCGATTCCTCAGGGATCTAGAACTAGAAATACCATTTGACCCAGCCATCCCATTACTGGGTATATACCCAAAGGACTATAAATCATGCTGCTATAAAGACACATGCACACGTATGTTTATTGCGGCACTATTCACAATAGCAAAGACTTGGAACCAACCCAAATGTCCAACAATGATAGACTGGATTAAGAAAATGTGGCACATATACACCATGGAATACTATGCAGCCATAAAAAATTATGAGTTCATGTCCTTTGTAGGGACATGGATGAAATTGGAAACCATCATTCTCAGTAAACTATCGCAAGAACAAAAAACCAAACACCGCATATTCTCACTCATAGGTGGGAATTGAACAATGAGATCACATGGACACAGGAAGGGGAA